>NC_000018.10:49124577-49425243 GCF_000001405.40 Homo sapiens | reverse complement strand
TGTGTGGTATTATTTCTGAGGGCTCTGTTCTGTTCCATTGATCTATATCTCTGTTTTGGTACCAGTACCATGCTGTTTTGGTTACTGTAGCCTTGTAGTATAGTTTGAAGTCAGGTAGTGTGATGCCTGCAGCTTTGTTCTTTTGCCTTAGGATTGACTTGGCAATGCGGGCTCTTTTTTGATTCTACATGAACTTTAAAGTAGTTTTTTCCAATTCTGTAAAGAAAGTCATCGGTAGCTTGATGGGGATGGCATTGAATCTACAAATTACCTTGGGCAGTATGGCCATTTTCACGATATTGATTCTTCCTATCCATGAGCATGGAATGTTCTTCCATTTGTTTGTGTCCTCTTTTATTTCGTTGAGCAGTGGTTTGTAATTCTCCTTGAAGAGGTCTTTCACATCCCTTGTAAGTTGGATTCCTAGGTATTTTATTCTCTTTGAAGCAATTGTGAATGGGAGTTCACTCATGATTTGGCTCTCTGTTTGTCTGTTATTGGTGTATAAGAATGCTTGTGATTTTTATACATTGATTTTGTATCCTGAGACTTTGCTGAAGTTGCTTATCAGCTTAAGGAGATTTTGGACTGAGTTGATGGAGTTTTCTAAATATACAATCACATCATCTGCAGAGATAATTTGACTTCCTCTTTTCCTAATTGAATATCCTTTATTTCTTTCTTCTGCTTGATTGCCCTGGCCAGAACTTCCAACACTATGTTGAACAGGAGTGGTGAGAGAAGGCATCCCTGTCCTGTGCCAGTTTTCAAAGGGAATGCTTCCAGTTTTTGCCAGTCAGTACAATATTGGTGGAGGGTTTGTCA
Organism: Homo sapiens; assembly: GCF_000001405.40. Classification (NCBI taxonomy): domain Eukaryota; kingdom Metazoa; phylum Chordata; class Mammalia; order Primates; family Hominidae; genus Homo; species Homo sapiens. Next base: position 49,424,418 of record NC_000018.10, on the reverse strand, counting down.
TAAATAGCTCTTACTATTTTGAGATATGTCCCATCAACACCGAATTTATTGAGAGTTTTTAGCATGAAGGGCTGTTGAATTTTGTCAAAGGCCTTTTCTGCATCTATTGAGATAATTATGTGGTTTTTGTCCTTGGTTCTGTGTATATGATGGATTACGGTTATTGATTTGCATATGTTGAACCAGCCTTGCATCCCAGGGATGAAGCCCACTTGATCATGGTGGATAAGCTTTTTGATGTGCTGCTGGATTCAGTTTGCCAGTATTTTATTGAGGATTTTTGCATCGATGTTCATCAGGGATATTGGTCTAAAATTGTCGTTTTTGGTTGTGTCTCTGCCAGGCTTTGGTATCAGGATGAAGCTGGCCTCATAAAATGAGTTAGGGAGGATTCCCTCTTTTTCTATTGATTGGAATAGTTTCAGAAGGAATGGTACCAGCTCCTCTTTGTACCTCTGGTAGAATTCGGCTGTGAATCCATCTGGTCCTGGACTTTTTTTGGTTTATAGGCTATTAATTATTGCCTCAATTTCAGAGCCTGTTATTGGTATATTCAGGGATTCAACTTCTTCCTGGTTTAGTCTTGGGAGGGTGTATGTGTCCAGGAATTTATCCATTTCTTCTAGATTTTCTAGTTTATTTGCATAGAGGTGTTTATAGTATTCTCTGATGGTAGTTTGTATTTCTGTGGGATCAGTAGTGATATCCCCTTTATCATTTTTTATTGCGTCTATTTGATTCTTCTCTCTTTTCTTCTTTATTAGTCTTGCTAGTGGTCTATCAATTTTGTTGATCTTTTCAAAAAAACCAGCTCCTGGATTCACTGATTTTTTTGAAGGGTTTTTTGTGTCTCTATCTCCTTCAGTTCTGCTCCGATCTTAGTTATTTCTTGCCTTCTGCCAGCTTTTGAAAGTGTTTGCTCTTGCTTCTCTAGTTCTTTTAATTGTGACATTAGGTTGTCAATTTTAGATCTTTCCTGCTTTCTCTTGTGGGCATTTAGTGCTATAAATTTCCCTCTACACACTGCTTTAAATGTGTCCCAGAGATTCTGGTATGTTGTGTCTTTGTTCTCGTTGGTTTCAAAGAACATCTTTATTTCTGCCTTCCTTTTGTTATGTACCCAGTAGTCATTCAGGAGCAGGTTGTTCAGTTTCCATGTAGTTGAGCGGTTTTGAGTGAGTTTCTTAATCCTGAGTTCTAGTTTGGTTGCACTGTGGTCTGAGAGACAGTTTGTTATAATTTCTGTTCTTTTACATTTGCTGAGGAGTGCTTTACTTCCAACTATGTGATCAATTTTGGAATAAGTGCTATGTGGTGCTGAAAAGAATGTATATTCTGTTGATTTGGGGTGGAGAGTTCTGTAGATGTCTATTAGGTCCACTTGGTGCAGAGCTGAGTTCAATTCCTGGATATCCTTGTTAACTTTCTGTCTTGATCTGTCTAATGTTGACAGTGGGGTGTGAAAGTCTCCCATTATTATTGTGTGGGAGTCTAAGTCTCTTTGTAGGTCTCTAAGGACTTGCTTTATGAATCTGGGTGCTCCTGTATTGGGTGCATATATATTTAGGATAGTTAGCTTTTCTTGTTGAATTGATCCCTTTACCATTATGTAATGGCCTTCTTTGTCTCTTTTGATCTTTGTTAGTTTAAAGTCTGTTTTATCAGAGACTAGGATTGCAACCCCTGCTGTTTTTTGTTTTCCGTTTGCTTGTTATATCTTCCTCCATCCCTTTATTTTGAGCCTATTTGTGTCTCTGCACGTGAGATGGGTTTCCTGAATACAGCACACTGATGGGTCTTGACTGTTTATCCAATTTGCCAGTCTGTGTCTTTTAATTGGAGCATTTAGCCCATTTACATTTAAGGTTAATATTGTTATGTGTGAATTTGATCCTGTCATTATGATGTTAGCTGGTTATTTTGCCCTTTAGTTGATGCAGTTTCTTCCTAGCCTCGATGGTCTTTACAATTTGGCATGTTTTTGTATTTTATTTCTCCTTCACTTATGAAGCTTAGTTTGTCTGGATATGAAATTCTGGGTTGAAAATTATTTTCTTTAAGAATGTTGACTATTGTCCCCCACTCTCTTCTGGCTTGTAGAGTTTCTGCCGAGAGATCCGCTGTTAGTCTGATGGGCTTCCCTTTGTGGGTAACCCAACCTTTCTCTCTGGCTGCCCTTAACATTTTTTCCTTCATTTCAACTTGGTTGAATCTGACAATTATGTGTCTTGGAGTTGCTTTTCTTGAGGAGTATCTTTGTGGTGTTCTCTGTATTTCCTGAATTTGAATGTTGGCCTGCCTTACTAGGTTGGGGAAGTTCTCCTGGATAATATCCTGCAGAGTGTTTTCCAACTTGGTTCCATTCTCCCCGTCACTTTCAGGTACACCAATCAGACATAGATTTGGTCTTTTCACATAGCCCCATATTTCTTGGAGGCTTTGTTCATTTCTTTTTATTCTTTCTTCTCTAAACTTCTCTTCTTGCTTCATTTCATTCATTTGATCTTCAATCACTGATACCCTTTCTTTCAGTTGATTGAATCGGCTACTGAAGCTTGTGCATGTGTCCCGTAGTTCTTGTGCCATGGTTTTCAGCTCCATAAGGTCATTTAAGGGCTTCTCTATGCGGTTTATTCTAGTTAGCCATTCATCTAATCTTTCTTCAAGGTTTTTAGCTTCTTCGCGATGGTTTCGAACATCCTCCTTTAGCTCGGAGAAGTTTGTTATTACCGATCTTCTGAAGCCTTCTTCTCTCCACTCGTCAAAGTCATTCTCCGTCCAGCTTTGTTCTGTTGCTGGCGAGGAGCTGCGTTCCTTTGGAGGAGAAGAGGCACTCTGATTTTTAGAATTTTCAGCTTTTCTGCTCTGGTTTCTTCCCATCTTTGTGGTTTTATCTATCTTTGGTCTTTGATGATAGTGACGTACAGATGGGGTTTGGTGTGGATGTCCTTTCTGTTTGTTAGTTTTCCTTCTAACAGTCAGGACCCTCAGCTGCAGGTCTGTTGGAGTTTGCTGGAGGTCCACTCCAGACGCTGTTTGCCTGGGTATCACCAGTGGAGGCTGCAGAACCGTAAATATTGCAGAACAGCAAATGTTGCTGCCTGATTGTTCCTCTGGAAGCTTCGTCTCAGAGGGGCACCTGGCCGTATGAGGTGTCAGTCGGCCCCTACTGGGAGGTGCCTCCCAGTTAGGCTACTCAGGGGTCAGGGACCCACTTGAGGAGGCAGTCTGTCCATTCTCAGATCTCAAACTCCGTGCTGGGAGAACCACTACTCTCTTCAAAGCTGTCAGACATGGACATTTAAGTCTGCAGAACTTTCTGCTGCCTTTTGTTCAGCTGTGCCCTGCCCCCATTGGTGGAGTCTACAGAGGCAGGCAGTTCTCCTTGAGCTGCGGTTTGGGCTTCCCGGCTGCTTTGTTTAGGTACTCAAGCCTCAGCAATGGCAGGTGCCCCTCCCCCAGCCTCGCTGCCACCTTGTAGTTTGATCTCAGACTGCTGTGCTAGCAGTGAGCAAGGCTCCGTGGGTGTGGGACCCTCCGAGCCAGGCGTGGGATATAATCTCCTGATGTGCCGTTTGCTAAGATTGTTGGAAAAGGGCAGTATTAGGGTGGGAGTGACCTGATTTTCCAGGTGCTGTCTGTCACGGCTTCCCTTGGCTAGGAAAGGGAATTCCTTGCACTTCCCTGGTGAGGTGATGCCTTGCCCTGCTTCGGTTCACGGTCCACAGGCTGCACCCACTGTCCTGCACCCACTGTCTGACAAGCCCCAGTGAGATGAACCAGGTACCTCAGTTGGAAATGCAGAAATCACCCGTCTTCTGTGTTGCTCATGCTGGGAGCTGTAGACTGGAGTTGTTTCTATTCAGCCATCTTGGAACCTCCCCCCAAATTTTAATTTTTAACTTTATTGTATACAATTGGATTGGGCCTTAGAAGTTTACCTTAGTTTAAGCCAGGTGTGGTGGCTCTTGCCTGTAATCCAAACACCTTGGGAGACCGAGGCAGGTGGATCACCTGAATTCAGCAGTTCAAGACCAGCCTGGTCAACGTGGTGAAACCCTATCTCTACTAAAAATACAAAAAATTAGCCAGGCGTGGTGGCGGGCGCCTGTAATCCCAGCTACTCGGGAGGCTGAAGCAGGAGAGTCACTTGAACCCGCGCGGCAGAGCTTGTGGGGAGCTGAGATCGCGCCATTGCACTCCAGCCTGGGCGACAAGAGCAAGACTCCATCTCAAAAAAAAAAAAAAAAAAACGAATTTTAACTTAGTTTATAATTAATCTGATGGCTTGGATTAGATGTATTTTATATTGAAGTGGTTACTTATTCTTGCTTCTGAGATCCTTGGAAAATTAAAGGTGGCTGTGGATTGGTGAGAAAGGTCATACTGGGGATGAGCTATAGCATCAACAACTTTTGAAATCATTTCCTTAATCCTTGCAGAATTATCACTGAGTACTGCTGCTCATGTGATAGTGATACGACTTAGAGGAAAAGAGGGCGAAATGGAGAGCATGATTTATTGTCCAAAATAATTTTTCTTTTCACTTATGTAAATTCTAAAGTAATTTATAAAGCTATTCCAAATTATAGTATATGGTTTTTACATTGAAATATACTAAAGTAGACTTAACTAAATAGAGATATGTACCATGTTTAAGGAATAAGGAGACTATTGTAAAAATGTCACTTCTTTTCAAATTGACCTATAGATTGAAGACAATTTGAATTAAAATTCTGAAAGCCTTGTTTTGGAAGATTGGGGGATCTTGATAAGTTTATTCTGAAATGTGTATGAAAAAGTATAATGAACAAGAATAACTAAAATACTTAAGAATAAGAATAAATGTATGTGTATGTACTTGATTTATGTGGAGCTGGCATTTCAGTGGGGAAAAAGATGAACTTCTTAAAAAATAGTGACGGGAATAATTTGTTAGCCATTTTTGTCGACCTGTGCCAGTGCCTCACAGTTTAAGTTATTATGGCTTTATAGTTTGTTTTGTTAATTATTATTTTTACTCAAATTTTATTTTATTTTATTTTATTTTTTTAATTTTTGAGACAGAGTCTTGCTCTGTCGCCCAGGCTGGAGTGCAGTGGTGCAATCTCAGCTCACTGCGACCTCCGCCTCCCAGGTTCAAGCAATTCCCTGCCTCAGGCTTCCGAGTAGCTGGGATTACAGGTGCCTGCCATCACGCCTGGCTAATTTTTGTAGTTTAGTAGAGGTGGAGTTTCATCATCTTGGCCAGGCTGGTCTTGAACTCCTGACCTCCTGATCCACCTGCCTTGACCTCCCAAAGTGCTGGTATTACAGGCGTGAGCCACTGCGCCTGGCCACCATTCTCTTTTCTTAAATCACCCAGGTGATTTAAGAGAAACGTATAAAGGGATCTTAGAAAGTGAAAAAACTGTAAAGTAAATAAACTGCATTGTAAATCTGTGAGAGTATATTTATAAAGGTTTCTTCCCACCCCCACCGCCACAAGTGAGTTTACATGATAGAGGTTTCATTTGTGGTGTTGCATATACTTTTGGTCTGTCACTTTCTCTTTGGCACTGCCCTGCTCCTCACTGATGGTATTTGATATTTGACCTTGGGACTGAGTAGGCTTTGAGGTAGCAGGTGCCCCCTTGTTGACAGAGTCAGGGGCCAAAATTACCTAGTTCATGAATTATTCAGGGCTAAGATGAATCTCAGTAGAGGAGACTCTGAATCTAGATAATTCTGAGATTGTTCACTCTTGGAATTCGTTAGATACATATGTGCCGTCTTCAAGTAAAGTCCATTTTTGTAGCCAAAAATCGATGTTTGCTGCAATTTTTAGAAATACTAATAAGGCCTTTAGGACGAATCTAATCCTTCCTTACTATTAACTGTTTTTAGCATCAGAGTAATCAGATTTTGTAAGAGTTTCCAGGTGTGGTTCTAAAATCTTTCTTAAATTATTTAATAGTTTTTATTTTTTCACCCTGTTAAAATTAGTTGTGCAGCAAAGATCTGAAACAAAATGAAGAATAATTAAAGACTAAAGGTTAATAATATACACTGTTTTTTTCCTAAATATTTTAAACTACTTATATGACTGATTTTATACATGTTTCTAAACTACATAATAGCAACAAAAATGAAAAACAGACCTGTACTTATTATTTTTTGGTTCATAGGCATCTGAGGCTATGGTGTGTGTGAACATAATCGTGTGTCATGCTTATCATTGAGAACTGCTGGACCAGATGACTTATCTCTGAGTATCAAACTGTTATTCATTTATTTGTTTCTCAGGCTATAATAGTTAGCTGGATATATGATGTCTCTTGTCCTTAAAGGCTTATAATCTTTTTTTTTTTTTTTTTTTCAGACAGAGTTTCACTCTTGTTGCCCAGGCTGGAGTGCAATGGCATGATCTCGGCTCACCACAACCTCTGCCTCCCGGGATTAAGTGATTCTCCTGCCTCAGCCTCCCCAGTAGCTGGGATTACAGGCATGTGCCACCATGCCCGGTTAATTTTGTATTTTTGGTAGAGATGGGGTTTCTCCATGTTGGTCAGGCTGGTCTTGAACTCTCGACCTCAGGTGATTCGCTTGCCTCGGCCTCCCAAAGTGCTGAGATTACACGCCCAGCCAGAGCTTATAATCTTATCTGTAAATCAGCAAACAAGTATGGTGAAATATGATAAAGGGTGTTATAGAAGAATTGCATTTTATGCATATGCAAACAAATATGCACATATATCCCTTCTCTTTTTTTGATAAATAATAGCATGTATATTATACACACTTTTTCACTTTGTGCTTTTTTTCATCAGTTATATCTTGAAGAGCCTTCTATATATTAACTTCCTCACTCTTTTTAATGGGGGGGCATATATACCAAAATTAATTGGATTTACCATTTGGGTTTTACCATTTGGATTGCTTCCAGTGTTTTGTTATTACATATAATGTAGCAGTGAATAGCCTTATACAAGCTGGGAACGGTGGTTCATCCCTGTATTCCCAGCATTTTGAGAGGCTGAGGCAGGAGGATCTTTTGAGACTAAGAGTTTGAGACCAGCCTGGGCAACATGGCGAGACCCCCATCTCTACAAAAAATAAAAAAATTAGCTGAGCTCGGTGGCTTATGCTTGTAGTCCCAACTACTTGGGAGGCTGAGTCAGGAGGATTCCTTGAGCCCAGGAGTTCAAGGTTGTAGTGACTATGGTCAGGCCAATGCTTTCGCCAGCCTGGGCAACAGAACAAGACCCTGTCTCAAACAACACCACCACCAACACCACCGCTACCACCTTATACATATGGGTAGAAGTGACTTCTTGTACTATAAAGGAAACGTGGCCAGATGACTTCTAGTAATGCTTCCAGTTTGTGTTGAGAGGAATGGGAATCAAGTGTAATAGGTTGGGAATGTAGAAATTGCTTCCCAACATAGTTCATGATGCTTCAGGGTAAATTGATAAGGCTGCTTGGGTCTAGAGTGGTCTGGGGCTCTGAAGGGTGTAGGGGCTCTAACTATGAAAGGCTGAACTGGGAAATAAAAATATGTCCACCTGTTACCTATTTTTGGCACACTTGTTAGAAAGCTGAGGATTAGAAGTAGGGTCCCTTGTAGGCTCTTGTTGAGTGGATTTGGAGAAAACATTGTTTCAGAGACATTATTTTTTTAAGTAGGGTGAGTAGGTGGAAAGTGCAGGAAGAAAAACTAGGGCAGGAAAACAAAATCTGAGACATCTGCAGCAATATACCTGTGATGTGCTGAAGGTCTGAATTTCTATTACTGTGTAGGAAATGGAAAGTCCTACATCTCAGTAAGTGTGTGTAACCAGCTAACAGCAGTATAGAGAATAATATCTTTAAAAAGTTCTTTTGTTTTAAATTAACACCTGATTTGAGTGTTAATACTTAATGAGCTTAGAGTTCCAGATTTGAGAGCAGCTCTGAGCAGTATAGCAGCAGCCTGAATACTCTTCTCCAGAGGAATTGTTTTGCTAAAAGGTGCAGTGACTTTGGGTGAAGTGTGAAGAATGGAGACCATGTAGCATGGCAGGGGGAACATGGATTTTGGAGCCAAACTGACCTTGCCTGAGCTCCACAACTGACTAGTTTGTGAATTCAGGAAAGCTGCTTAATCTCACTGAACCTGTTGTTGCTTTTGTAAAATGGAAATAATAACCCCTACCATGTAGATTCATAGGGATGATGAAACACTATCATGCATGTAAAGTGTCTGACTTTGCTCTTCTTTCAAGGAGTAATTACCTATTAGTTTACAAAGACCTAGGACTCTGTCTTGAGAGTTAGTCTAAAATATTTGAGGAATGAAAATAAGCAGCAGAAATTTAACCAATTTTCTGATGACCGCTTTATCTTGATGATTGAAAGTCCTGTGCCTCTTTTGAACTAATTGTTCTGCTGTTTTAAAAATTAAGCCAGACAGTGATTATAGTAATAGTCATCTTTGTGTATAAGCAATCTACCTTTTTTTTTTTTTTTTGAGTCAGAGTTTCGCTCTTGTTGCCCAGGCTGGAGTACAGTGGCACGACCTTGGCTCACTGCAGCCTCTGCCTCCCAGGTTCAAGTGATTCTCCTGCCTCACCCTCCCAAGTAGCTGGGATTACAGGCACATGCCACCATGCCTGGCTAGTTTTATATTTTTAGTAGAGACAGGGTTTCACCATGTTGGTCAGGCTGGTCTCGAACTCCTGGCCTCAAGCAATCCACCCACATCAGCCTCCAAAAGTGCTGGGATTACAGGCATGAGCCACCATGCCCAGCCACACCCTACTTTTTATAAAGGCTACTTTTCAGAAAACTTTACTGTGTTACAGAAATTGTATTATGTGTACTGAGCACTAGATGGTGCTCATATAAGGCAAAAAGGGCAGCTCTTGGCACAGTCACTTAAAACTAATTTTTCTAAGTACCAAAGTAATGCATGTTCATTTTTAATACTTTAAATACAGAAAAGCACCAGGAAGGCAAAAAAAAAAAAAGATAAAAATAATAACAACCAAGAGTAACTTGTTAACATTATGGTGTATATCGTTTTAATTCTCTCTCATTTTTAAAATTTTTTTAATTTTTTTTTTTTTTTTTTTTTGAGAGACCCAGTCTCACTCTGTCTCCCAGACTGTAGTGCAGTGGTGTGATCTCAGCTTACTGCAACCTCCACCTCCTGGGTTCAAGCAATTCTTCTGCCTCAGGCTCCTGAGTAGCTGGGACTACAGGTGTGTGCCATGCTCGGCTAATTTTTGTATTTTTGGTAGAGACAGGGTTTTGCCATGTTGGCCTGGCTGGTCTCAAACTCCTGACTTCAGGTTGAAGCAGGAGAATCGCTTGAGCCCTGGAAACAGAGGTTTCAGTGAGCTGAGGTCATGCCACTGTACTCCAGCCTGGGAGACAGAAAGAAACTCCACATCAAAAAAAAAGGAAGTATTTTTTTGATTAATATACCTAAAAAAATAGTTATGGAATGTCTTCTAGTTGCTAGGGACTGTTTTTAAGGACTAAAAACATGAGTGACAAAGTCCCTGCTCTCATGCAGTTTATATGTTACTAGAGGAGATGAGCGATAAACAAGTGAACAAATAAATATGTTAAGTCATTTCTGGAAGTGTCAAGTGTAAGGAAGAAAAGCGAAGCGGAGTGAGGTGATGGAGAGCAATAGCTTTAGGAGATTTCTTTAGCCAGAGAGTCTCTGGGAAAGCAGCATTTGAGCAGAGACATTATGATGCCAGGGAGTGAGCCATGCATGTTTTGTGGAGAGTATTCCAGGTAGAGGGGCAGCGAGTGTAAAGAGGCTGAAGTGGAAGTAAGTTCTGCTTGTTAGAAGAGCAGCAAAAGGCCCGTGTAGCAGAACAGCCAACACGAAACAAATAACATAAGGACTTGGCTGTGTGAAAGATCTTATAAGTTGTATGGTATTCCAGAGATGAGCCTGTTTCATTATCACTATTTGGGAATTGAGTCTAGTCTGCTATAATTTACTAACTATCCTATAATATGGAAAGATTTTATTCATGTTTTTTTTATTGTGGTAAAATAAACATAAAATTTACCTTTTCAACCATTTTTTAAATTATTGTTTTTTCGTCTGGTCCTCTTGACTCTTGTAACCTTTTCAACCATTTTTAATTGTACAGTTTAAAGTACATTCACAGGGTTGTGCAACCATCCCCACCATCCCTTTCCAGAATATTTTCATCACCTCAGATAGAAATGCTATACCTATTAAACAATAACTTCCCATCCTCTCCCTCCAGTTTCTGGTCACCTCTATTTTTACTTTCTGTCTCTATGAATTTGACTACTCTGGGTATTGTCATATAAGTGGAATCATACAATATTTGTCTTTTTGTGACTGGCTTATTTCATGTAGCATAATGCTTTCTTTCTTTCTTTCTTTCTTTTTTGAGACAGAGTCTCTCTCTGTTGTCCAGGCTGGAGTGCAGTGGCGTGATTTTGGCTCAATGTAACCTCCGCCTCCTGGGTTCAAGTTGTCCTCCCGCCTCAGCCTCCCAAGTAGTTGGGATTACAAGTGTGCACCACCATGCCCGCTAATTTTTGTATTTTTTAGTGGAGACGGGGTTTCACCATGTTGGCCAGGCTAGTCTTGAACTCCTGACCTCAAGTGATCTGCCTGCCTTGGCCTCCCAAAGTGCTGGGATTATAGGCTTGAGCCACTGTGCCTGGCCTAGTATAATGCCTTCAAAGTTCATAATCCATGATGTAATTTCCTTCCTTAAGTCTGACTAATTACCCATTGTAGTTATATACCACATCATATAATGTTTTCTAAACTTCAGTTTGCTGTACTCTTATCCTTTTAAAGGGCTTCCATTTCTCTTTAGCATTGTTAGTTTCCACTTGTCACTTTGACTTTTCTTTCAGGGATTTTTCTTACATGATAAAAAATTTAATTCTACTGAGATAAATGATAAAATAGAATGATAAAATGATATAATGATAATATAATTCTGCTAAAAGGATTCGCTAACGTAAGCATCATTGTTACTTTACCAGTTATTTATTGAGCTCACTGTTTGTCAGATGCTGGACCCATTGCTGTAGACACCTCCATTTTTTTAGTTCTGTTATTGTTATTCAAGTCTATTATTCCCACGTGTGAGAGAACTGAGGCCTAGGAAGGTTGTCTAAAGCCACACAGTGAGTAGCAAGTAAGGACCAGATTTAATTTAAACCAGGTTTATTTGTCTAAGTCCAGAGAGGAATTCCGTTGACCATCATGCCACACTGTCTCCTTGGGAAGCACAGGCTAATCTGAGACCCAGTTTCATGTAAGTACTAAAGAGCTGCAGCATTAAATCGTATGGTAATCTTTGAGAGTAGAACCACCAGATTATATGTTCACATTTTCAAGCATTTTTCAAAGCTGCAGATCATAATCAGAGGAATCTTGAGTGCCATCATTTACAGTGATCACACAAGCTGATGGGTAATCTGTTTAGTATTTTCACCTTGCCTTGAGTAGAGTGTATCTTCTCTCTTTTTAAGCAGAGCTGCCTGAATGATCCTTTGTCAAAGTTTCTTAGTCTGTTTCCTCAGTTGACACACAGGAAGAGAGACTTTTGTTTAATTAGGTCACGTTTTTAACTGACAGAAGCAAGTGATTGTAAAATTACTTTCTTCTTTGAATCTTTGATGCCTGTCTCTGTTTCTATATTTTTAGGCTCTTTGGCACACTTTATGTTCAATTTTATTAGAACTTTTCAAGTTGAAAAATCTGCTCTGTTGTAGAGGTGGGCCTGGGATCGCTGCTAAACCATCTTCTAAATTCTGTTTTAACTTTTTCTTTGTAGGTTTGCTTGGTTGGTGACCAAAATAATGTACTAGGCTGTTTTACTCAGGGAATAAATAATTTGAGACTTTTCTTGGCATCTTATTATATTTTTCAAATTGAGGGACCACAAGAAGTTCAGTTTTTACATCTTGAGTCAAAACCTTTATTTCCCATTCTTTCATTTATACCTTTCTATGCAAAAATCATTTTAGAAGATGCTTAAGTTTTCCCAGGATTAATCAGTCCCTTAAACTAAAAGCTTAAATGGGGGAAATATATCCTTTAAAGCATTAAAGTAAAGGGACATGTAAGTTTTACTGCAGGTGCACCCTTGATTCCTCTTCTTTCTCACTGTGTTGGTTGGAATTTTTTTTTTTTTTTTTTTAAGTCAATGTTTTTCTCTTTCTTGGGAAAATAAACACCGTATTATCTAGCATAGTAGTTGCTGACATTTTGACATTTTAATAGTTATATTTCCTTTCATTTTGGCAGTTGAATGACAGCATATACGATTGTCTGTGAATCACATGAATGTAAACACCTTTTTGGTTCTGCATGGGTGCGTTAAAAATTGCTATAATTTATATGCAGTTTTTGTCCTTTGACTTTTTCCTATTAATAGGTCCTCTTAAAACATTAACCTTCCCACAGTTTAACCACTGAATTGGCTGATTCTTGTTAGTTTTGTGAATGATTTCTGTAATTCTCTTTGCTAAGGTAAGGGGGAAAATGTCTTCAGAAGTGCTTCTGTCCTTTCCTGAATCGTTACTTGTTGATTTTTTCAGGTTATATCTTTGACTAACATTATATATTTATCAGAATTTGTATGTTGTTGGCTGAAATTGACATCATTAATATAAAATGTCAGTTTTGAAAGAATTTTATGGCGGAACTTTCAGCTGAAGGGACTAAGGATTTTCAGTGTTTATGTTATGAAACTTACAGTTTGATTGTTCAGCAAACCTGTGTTCAGAGGTCTGTTATAACTTCTCCCCCAACAATTTTTTTGCCTATCTGCTTTTCTTAAAAATATTTGAGCTATTAATTTCTCACTTTTCATTATTGAGATTCATATATGAGAACGGTGTGCCTAAAAGTAAAATAAAACCAGTCTAAATTACAGAAAACTGTGAAGTAGGGAATACTTAATTTAAAATTTTAGCTTCCCGACCACACTATAGTTTATGATTTCATAGCAGTTACAAGAAAGTCGTCTATCATCTTACCATTTTCCTTATTAGATTTAAAATTTTGTTTTCTTCCAATTCTTTATAATTCACATAATTTTTGCATGATTGGAATTATAATGTAGATATACTTTTTATAATAATTTATGTGTGACACAACTTCTTTTAGGAATATATAGAAATTCCAACTAGTTGCTGGAGTGTTTCTAGGTTGATATTATGTGGGTTTGCCTTAAGAGTATCTCATTTAATATTATTCATATTGAAAGAGTATTAATCTGGAAGTTAAATATGTTTATTCTTATACCGTGACATTGGACAAGTTACTCTGCTTCTCTATTTCTGTCACTTGTAAAGTGAGGATACTCCCATTTCCTCGGTCAACTTCTCAGGGTTTTTAAAAGAAATCAAATGAAATAATAAAGGTGAAAGAACTTTGAATAGTGTATATAGGCCTGTACAAAATGCAAGTTATTTCAGCAAATTTATTTGCATATGGACAATAATATGCTAACATCTTTAAACACATTTCTTTTGTAGAAGGTTAAATAATACTTTTTCTAAATCCCCTCTCCCTTGTCAAAATGATTTCTTTAAAGTATAACACAAAAGTCAGTTTCAACTCAATTTGTTTAATTTTAATTTTAATTTTAATTTTTTTGAGACAGGGTTTTGCTGTATTGGCCAGGCTGGAGGGCAGCTCATTGCAGCCTCCACCTCCAGGGCTCAAGGAGCAGCTGGGACTACAGGCACTCTACCATGCCCAGCTAATTTTTTTTTTTTTTTTGGTAGAGAAAAGGTCTCACTATGTTGTCCAGGCTTCAACTCAATTTTAGACAAACAGCCCCCAATCCTGAATTAGTAAATTTCAGATCAGTGAAGTCTGCTAAATGTATATAATAAGACTTTTTTTTTTTTTGAGGTTGTGGTGTTATTATACAACCAATTGGTAAGCTTTTCTTCTAAGAGTATATATTATTCAACTTCTTATTTTTTTTTAACCTTAATCCCTGAGGACCAACACCATGGCCTGGCAGTGTCCATTGGTACCTCTTATAATACTTAAAAATCCAGTGACTGGGTACTGTGGCTTATGCCTGTAATCCCAGTACTTTGGGGGTCAAGGCAGGAGGATTGTTTGAGGCCAGGAGTTCTAGACTAGCCTGGGCAACATAATGAGACTCCATTGCTACAAAAAAAAATTTGCTGGGCATGGTGGCACACACCTGTAGTCTTGGCTACTCGGGAGGCTGAGGTGGGAGGATTGCTTGAGCCCAGGAGTTCTAAGCGGCAGTGAGCTGGGATCATGACACTGTAATCCAGCCTTGGGAATGCATCGAGACCCTGTCTCTAAAACACACACACACAAAATCCAAAGTGTTCAGATGAAGAAGAAAGAGACAGATGAGTTAGTAGAAAAGCAGATTGAGATGACAAAGGAAAAAAGTGTTGGATGATAGAAACCACTAAAGAGGCACAAATCGTTTCTTTAGGTACTACGTATAGGCTCCACGACCTAAGTCACAGAACATCAGCTGAGTTAGCTTAAGTGTGCTGCTTCTGTTGACCCCAGTTGTGAGTATTTCACTTGCAAACTGTAGCCTGCCTGACCTGCTACACCAATTGACCAACATATTGTAAATACCTCTTGCATATTTTCATATGTGACAATTATCAGGACTAGGTATTTAGTTTATTAGATGGTCCATGTTATATATTTATTTTTATTGTGGAAACTTGAATTCTTGAACTACAGGCTTCATATGAAAGAGGCTTTTTTTCCCTACCAACAAATATTTTTTCCTTATTAATTTGCCAGGATGGGAAAACTAATTGACATCCAACAGTGGTACTCTGTTGATGAATGAAGGGATACATGCTTTAACACCAAGCTCTGGTCTTTTTATTCCATCATTCATGAGCTGTGGTGGGGTCTCCCCTGAGTTGTGGTGGAGAGCAGATCTACCATCAAGGCCATGGTTGTTTCTCTTCCATCACCTCCTGAATTGTGGCTCATGACATTTGGAAGCATTTTCTGCTTAAGCAGCAATATAGTCAATCATGTGTCTTTATAATGAACAAATATAATCCAGAATTTTTTATTTAATATTTGCTAAGTTTTTTTCTTTTTTTTCTTTTTTTTTTTTTTTTGAGACAGAGTCTCACTCTGTCACCCAGACTAGAGTGCAGTGGTGCAATCTCGGCTCACTGCAACCTCCACCTCCCAGGTTCAAGTGATTCTCCTGCCTCAGCCTCCTGAGTAGCTGGGACTACAAGTGTGAGCCACCATGCTCGGCTAATTTTTGTATTTTTAGTAGAGACGGGGTTTCGCTATGTTGGCAGGCTGGTCCTGAACTCCTGACCTCAGGTGATCCACCTGCCTCGGCCTCCCAGGGTGCTGGGATTGCAAGTGTGAACCACTGTGCCCAGCCCACATTTACTGAGTTTTTACTTTTTCTGTCACAACTGAATATTTCTGTATTTTGTTGACTAGACCATTCTTGAAGTTTAGGCCAGAGCCGTTTGTTATGCCAGAGGATTCTCACATGAGTTTAAGTCCATAGAGGTTATAAACTCTGTACAATATTTATGTGCCCCGTCCCTCTTGTTATTTAATACAACAATTGATTGCCTGGGACAGCTAAAGAATTTAGGTCATGTTGAATAGGGTTCCTTCTAAATTTACATGGCACGGTAATAATTTGCTACTTAGACATCATACCCTTTATGGGTTCCTCTGTAGGCCATTTTAGAGGGAAAACAATCCATATTTGTAATAAAGCTTTATGCTTGCTTACTATCATCACATACTTATTTGAGTTTAAAGATAACTGGATTTGGTGTCAAAAGATCTTGATTTGCAACTTTGCAAATCTAGCAATGTGTGGAAGATTATAAGCCACAATTATGCACTACTGGTGGGTAATCTTTCTGGAATATAATTTGCGACATTCATCAGAACAGAAGTGTTCATTGACCTAGCAATTGCACTTCCAGATTTATGTTAAGGACATAATTGGACAAGTTCAGAAATATATGTGGAGAGACATGTGTAAAGACATTCATAGCAATGTTTATGGTAGAAAATTGCTAACAACTTAAATGTCCACCAGTAAGATCGGCTACATAAATAAAAATGGTGCATCTGCACACTGGAACAACATATAGCCGTTAAAAACAATCCTATGTTTTTAGATATGGAAAAGGACCTACAGCATATTAAGTAGTTAAAGCCAGTTATAAAACCATGTGTATAACATAATATTGTTCATGCAAAATTGTATATATATTTTAAAATGTATATGATATATTCATTTAAATTTTTAATATGTTTGTATAGCTTTTTATGGTTCAGTTTTTTTTTTTTTTTTGAGATGAGGTCTTGCTATGTTGCCCAGGCTGTTCTTAAATTCCTGGAATCAGGCAGTCCTCCCCCTTCAGCCTCTTGAGTAGCTGGCACTACAGGCATGTGCCACTGCACCTGGCTGGTTCAGTTTTTAAAACTTACTTGGAAATAATTTAAATGGATTAGAGGTTGCAAAAATGTACAGGGTGGTTCTTTAGCTCCCATAGTTTCTTGTAACTGTAACATCTTGTATAACTACAGTACAGTATCAAAAATAGGAAACTGACATTGGTACAATCCCCAGAGCTTATTGAGATTTCAGCTGTCAGTGATACGGTTTGGATATTTTGTCCCCTCCAAATCTCATGTTGAAATGTGACCTCCAACGTTGGAGGTAGGGCCTGGTGAGAAGTGTTTGGGTCATGGTGGCAGATCCCTCATGAATGGCTAGCGCCATCCCCTGATGATGAGTGAATTCTTGCTCAGTTTGTTCACACAAGATCTAGTTGTTTAAAAGAGTGTGGCATCTCTTTCCTTTCTCTCTCTTGCTTCTTCTCTTGCCTTGTAACATGCTGGCTCCTCCTTCACCTTCTGCAATGATTGTAAGCTTCCTGAGGCCTTACCAGAAGCTGAGCAGTTGCTAACACCATGCTTCTTATACAGCTTGAAGAACCATGAACAAATTAAACCTCTTTTCTTTATAAATTACTCAGGCTCCGGTATTCCTTTATAGCCATGCAAAATGGACTAACACAGTTATTTATCCGTGCATTCATTTATGTGTTTATGTATAGCTCTATACCGTTTTATCATGTGAGTAGATTTATGTAACCAACCATGATCAAGATACAGTGCTTACCCTTTATAGCCACACCCATCCTCTCCTCCCCATCCCCATCCCTAATTCCTGGCAGCCACTAATTAGTTTTCTATTTCTGTAGTTTTATTTCAGCAATATTATGTAAATGGAATTTTACATTACGTAACATTTTGAGAAGGGCTCTTTTCTTTCACTCAGCATAGTGTCTTGAAATCCATTGAAGTTGTTATGGATCTCACTTGTTCATTCCTTTTTAATTGCTAAGTAGTGTTCTGTGTTGTAGATGTGCCATAGTTTGTTTAGACAGTCACTCACTGAGGGACATTTGGATCATTACCACTTTTTGGCTGTAATGAATAAAGTTGCTATGAAATTCATGTACAAGTTTTTGAGTGAACATAAGTTTTCATTTCTTTGAGATAAATGTTCAAGAGTACAATTGCTGTGTTGTATAGTTAGTGCATATTTAGCCTTATAGGAAATTGCCAAATGGCTTTCCAGAGTGGTTTTATCACTTTACTTTCCCATCAGCAATGTGTGAGAGAGCCAGTTTATCTGCCTCCTCGCTGGCATTTGATGTTGTCACTATTTTTTATTTTTGCAATTTTGATAGGTGTTTAGTGTTGCCTCCTGGTGATTTTGGGATGGTTCATTTTTACAATAATAAAAAGTAATAGCCACTTTCTTTTTTCTTTTCTTTTCTTTTTTGAGACAGAGTCTCACTCTATCACTCAGGCTAGAGTGCAGTGGCATGATCTCGGCTCTCTGCAACCTCTGTCTCCCAGGTTCAAGTAATTCTTGTGCCTCAACCTCCTGAGTAGCTGGGATTACAGGTGTGAGCCACCAGACCTGGCTAATTTTTGTATTTTTAGTAGAGACGGGGTTTCACCACTTTGGGGCCAGACTGGTCTCAAAATCCTGCCTCAGGTGATCTGCCTGTCTCAGCCTCCCAAAGTGTTGGGATTACAGGCGTGAGCCACCATGCACATCCAAAGTAATAGCCATTTTATTTTAAAAAATAAAAATAATGGTCATCCTAGCCTGAGCAATCAGGCAAGAGAAAGAAATAAAAGGTACTCAAATAGGAAAAGAAGAAGTCAAACCATCTCTTTTTGCTGACAATATGCTTCTAGAAAATCCTAAAAACTCCTCCAGAAGATTCCTAGAGCAGATAAATGACTTCAGAAGGATACAAAATCAATGTACAAAAATCAGTAGCATTTCTATACATTGATAATATTCAAGCTGACAACCAAATCAAGAATGCAAACCCATTAACAACAGCCTCACAAAAAAGAAAATACCTAGGAATACATTTGCCCGAGGAGGTGGAAGATCTCTATAAGGAGAACAATAAAACACTGCTGAAAGAAATCATAGACAATACAAACAAATGGAAAAACATTCCATATTCATGGATGGGAAGAATTGACATTGTTAAAATGGCCATACTGTCCGAAGCAATCTACAGATACAATACTATTCTTATGAAACTACCATGTCATTTTTCACAGAATTAGAAAAAACTGTTCAAAAATATGGAACCAAAAAAAGAGCTTGAATAGCCAAAACAATCCTAAGCAAAAAGAACAAAGCTGGAGGCATCACATTATCTGACCTCTAAGTATACTATAAGGCTACAGTAACAAAACCAGCATGATATTGGCACAAAAACAGACCAATGGAACAGAATAGAGAACCCAGAAATAAAGCCATATACCTACAGCTATCTGATCTTTGTCAAAGCGGACAAAAATCATAAGGAAAAGACTTCCTATTCAATAAATGGTTCTGGAATAGCTGACCATATGCAGAATAATGAAACTGGACCACTACCTTTCACCATATAAAAAGTTTAACTGAAGATGGATTAAAGATTTAAATGCAAGAACACAGAGTGTAGGAATCCTACAAGAAAACCTAGGAAACACCATTCTGGACATTGGCTGTGGGAAAGAATTTGTGACTAAGTTCTGAAAAACAATTGTAACAAAAACAAAAATTGACCAGTGGAATCTATTTAAACTAACGAGCATCTGCACAGCAAAATAAAAAATCAACAGAGTAAACAGACAACCTACAGAATGGGAGAAAATATTTGCAAACTGCATTCAGCAAACATCTAATATCCAGAATCTATAAGGAATTCAAACAGTTCAACAAGCAAAAACCAAATAACCCCATTAAAAAATGAGGAAAAGGCATGAATGGACAATTTTCTTTTCCTTCTTTTTCTTTCTTTTTTTTTTTTTTTTTGAGATGGAGTCTCACTCTGTCACCCAGGCTGGAGTGCAATGGCGCAACCTTGGCGCACTGCAACCTCTGCCTCCCAGGTTCAAGCAGTTCTCCTGCTTCAGCCTCCCGAGTAGCTGGGATTACAGGTGCCCACCACCATGCCTGGCTAATTTTTGTATTTTTAGTAGAAGTTTCACCACATTGGTCAGGCTGGTCTCGAACTCCTGACCTCGTGATTCACCTGCCTTGGCCTCCCAAAATGCTGGGATTACAGGCGTGAGCCACCATGCCCAGCCGTGAATGGACAGTTTTCAAAGGGAGACATATAAGAAGCCAACAAACATGAAAAAGTGCTCCACATCATTAATCATTAGAGAAACGCAAATCAAAACCGCAGTGATTTGCCATCTCACACCAGTCAGAATGGTGTTATTAAAAGGTCAAAAAATAACAGATGCTGGTGAGGCTGCAGAGAAAAGGGAGTGCTTATACATCGTTGGTGGGAATGTAAATTAGTTCAGCCACCATGGAAAGCAGTCTGGAGATTTCTCAAAGAACTTAAAACAGGATTACCATTTCACCCAGCAATCCTATTACTGGGTATATATTCAAAAGAAAATAAATAATTCTACCAAAAAGACACATGCACTTGTATATTTATCACAGCAGTATTTGCAATAGCAAAGACATCACATCAACCTAGGTGCCCATCAACAGTGGATTGGAGGCTGGGCATGGTGGCTCACACCTTTAATCCTAGCACTTTGGGAGGCCTAGGCGGGAGGATCACTTGAGGTCAGGAGTTCGAGACCAGCCTGGCCAACATGGTGAAACCCCATTTCTACTAGAAGTACAAAAATTAGCCAGGTGTGGTGGCATACACCTGTAATCCCAGCTACTCAGGAGGCTGAGGCAGGGGAATTGCTTGAATCCGGGAGGCGGAGGTTGCAGTGAGCCGAGATTGTGCCATTGCACTCCAGCCTGGGTGACAGAAAGAGACTCCATCTCAAAACAAACAAACAAACAAAAAAAAAACAGAAAAAACAACAGTAAATTGGATAAATAAAATGTGCTATATATATGCCATAGACTATTATGCAGCCATAAAAGGAATGAATTCATATCCTTTGCAAGCAACATGGATGCAGCTAGAGGCCGTTATCCTAAGGAAATTAACATAGGAACAGAAAACCAAATACTGCATGTTCTTACATACAGGTGGAAACTAAACATTGATTACTTATGTATATAAAGGAGAACAATAGACACTGGGTACTACTATGGGGGGAAGAAGGAGGGGGACAAGGGTTAAAAAACTGTTGGGTACTTTGCTCATTACCTGAGTGATGGAATCATTCATATCCCAAATCTCAGCATCATGCAATATACCCATGTAACAAACCTGCACACGTACACTCTGAATTCAAAATAAAAGTTGAAATTTAAAAAAAATAAAAAACCTAGACTTAAAAAAGTCTTTGTTCTGCCACTTAGTATTTTCTTTATCAGTGTGAATATCTCATCTATAATAGAAATACTACCTGCTATTCCTTTTTCACAAGATGGCTGTATCAAATGAAATCATATATTCAAAACCACCTTGTAAACTATAAAACATCATACAAATGTAAGTTGCTTAATACTGAGAGATGTCCTAGGTGTGAACAAGGATGTTGATTTTCTTTGTCATCTACTAGGTTTATACTTCTATTGTAATGAAACATTAATGTAAATAAAATCAAAGCAGATCACTTACAGTTGTTTAATAGAGCTGCTTTGGTACTATTTCAAAACGTATAACCACTTCAAAATTACTAAATGATGTTTTATACTCCCCTCCTGCTCAGTGCAGGGGAAGATAAGGGAAGGCTGATAAATTAGTAATTTAAGTGTGTATTAAGGGATAAATAAATAAATATTTGACAGTTCAATACTTATGGGTTTTCTTGTTGGTTTTGGGGAGTTAGGGAACTCATATTTATTGAGCTGTGTGCTGGGCACTTTCCACACATTGCCATATCATCTTCATAGCTGTCCTATGAGTTGGTGGCATTTTTACCTCCATTTTACAGATGAGAACTGCGATTCTCAAATTAAGTAATTTGGCTAGGTCATACCAGTAGTTAATGAAGAAGTTGGAACTTAAATATGCAGCTTCAAAAATCGATCGCTTTCCATTATACCAGGGGCATATCTGCTTTTCAGTAACAAGCACAAGATTGGAAATCTATGTGAGCAGTGTGCAGGAGTTTTGCTAATTGATGGCAGTGGTTAAACTGAGAGGTAGAGTGCACTTGGTGTATATGTTTTAAACATGATCCGCCTATGAATCCAGTGGGTGCAGAGACGTTCCATATTCTTGCTGTTGGAAATCCTTCCTAGTATTTTAATTTGGTCTATAATTTTAGTGGAATTAAACAAGAATTTTTAAAGATTATGTACCTGATTGTGTTGTGATTTAGTAACAGTTAGTGGTTCATCAAAATCTGCTAGCCAGACACTTGGCAGCAGTGGTTAATTATATAGGGATTGTTGTGAGCACATGGTTAGACTTTATCATATACTCTAGTGGAGACCTGATTATTGCTGTCGTTCTCATTATCTTTTTCTTCCCCCCTAAAAATCTCAGGATGGTTGTAGCCAGGGTCAGATATTTAACCATTATATGCCCTGACCATCTTGCTGCTGCTCTAAGAGTTTTGTTAATGTTTGTGTTTTATTTTGTGCTTAATGACTCCCCATTAGATGTAGGATGGAATCCAAACTCCTTAGCATGACATAAGGATACTCCATTCTTTTGCTCTGATTTACCTTACCAGTCTTCTCTGCAACCTACACTTCATGTAGAGGGTGTGAGGTTGAGGTTGATGACAGTTGTCTCCCTAGGGAGATTCTCTTCATGAAATCCAAGGAAGCAAACAGAATATGGCCCAGAAGTGGCAATGGTAATGTTTAAGAGCTTCCTCTATAGTTGTGAACATTTTCTTTTTTCTTTTTTTTTTTTTTTGAGACAGAGTTTCGCTCTTGTTGCCCAGGCTGGAGTGCAGTGGTGTCATCTCGGCTCACTGCAACCTCCACCTTCCGGGTTCAAGTGATTCTCCTGCCTCAGTCTCCCAAGTAGCTGGGATTACAGGTGCGCATCACCACACTCAGCTAATTTTTGTATTTTTAGTAGAGATGGGGTTTTGCCACGTTGGCCAGGCTGGTCTTGAACTCCTGATTTCAGGTGATCCACCCGCTTCAGCCTCCCAGAGTGCTGGTATTACAGGCATGAGCCACAGCACCCAGCCTAGTTGTGAAAATTTTCATAACCACTTCCTTACTGAATTATCTTCCGGGTAGCCCAATGAAGTTTCTTAACCGTGTTTCAGATTTTGTGTGTGTGTGCGTGTGTGTGAGAGAGAGAGAGAGAGAAAGGTTGATTGATTGATTCTTGGGCATAGTTCTCCAATCCCTTAGTAATTGTTTATTGTGATGTCACCAGCAAAACTGACACAAAGAAATGACAGATGTTTGAGATGAGGATGCCCCAATTACCCTGATTTGATCTTTCACAGTGTGTACATGTATCAAAATACCACATGTATCCCACAAATATTTACAATTATTATGTATCAGTAAAAAACAAAATAAAACTGAGATTCCAGTTTTGTGACTCCCATCTGTTTATGTTGCTGCCAAAGTGATAGTGTGGCCATCCTCTGAGAAGAAGGCTTCTAATATATGGATTGCTTCAGGGAGAGTCACACCTGGTCATTGGATCAGTATGGTTGTTGAGAGTTTAGTTTGTTTAGCTACTTTGACTAAGAGATTACTAGTTTTAAGTATTTATCCCTAATTTCCCACTATTGACAGTTTTCAAATTGACCTGGAGGTATGGAATTTATGTATGCATTAAACTTGAAGTATACTGTGTGATACTTATTTAGTCTGAATTAGTATGAATATTTGACACTGCCTTTTTGCCCCCTTTTGTGTGTTTTTACTGCCCAAATCTGCCTTCAGAAACAACATTTGGTTTCTAATTGTAATATTCTTGGAAACACTGGCATATTTTTACAGTACCATTTTACTTTTATTTACTGCAAATGATGGTTTGTTAGTTGCCTGCTGCCAGCACATCTGAGCTCATTTGTTTAACTAAAACAGCATTGTGCATAGATGCCTGTAACAGGCAGCAACAGTTACCAACCACCCCAGTTCCTTACTACCTCATTATAGCTCTAAATCAAGCAAATAGGAAAGCAGATTATTCTTAAAATGTTCCAAGAAGTTTAGAAAATTGAGGGATGGAAGGATGAAAGGAAAGGAATTCTAATGTAACAAATAATTGGTGTGTTGCTTTTGGCAGGGGTGTGCCTGGCTGATTTCTTCTGTAGAAATAACTAACACTTCAGAGTGCAGAAATTGCAGGCATCCTGCAACAAACAGAGCTCTATGACTCCTTTAGTTAATAAATAATTACCAAGTGGTTTTTTTCTGGCTGAGCCACTGTATCAGACACAGTGGGGGATGTATAAGTGAATGAGATCTTCCTGTTCTCTTGGAGCTTATAATGTGGGCTCTGAAGATGCTTCTGCTCTAAAGTGTTGATTGTTGAACGAGGCAGTGGCAGTGGTGCTGTTTCAGATTGTGGCTGTGTGTTGGGGGATCCAGGCCTGGGGGACATAGTCACAGAATGGCAGGTGCTGGCTGGCTCACCACAGTGGGGAGCTTTCCAGATAATTCTGACAAATCAGACTGCTTCAAAAGGATATGCTCTTTTATATTTGGAAAGAAAGAAATGTCTTTTAGTCTGGGTGCTATGGCTCACACCTGTAATCTCAGCACTTTGGGAGGCCAAGGTGGGTGGATCACCTGAGGTCAGGAGTTCAAGACCAGTCTGGCCAACATGGTGAAACGTCGTCTCTACTAAAAATTCAAAAATTAGCCAGGCGTGGTGGCAAGTGCTTGTAATCCCAGCTACTTGGGAGGCTGAGGCAGGAGGATTGCTTGAGCCTGGGAGGCAGAGGTTGCAGTGAGCCAAGATCACTCACTGCACTCCAGCCTGGGTGATAAAGGAAGACTCCGTCTCAAAAAAAAAAAAAAAAAAAAAAAAAGAAAAATAAAAATAAATGTCTTTTAAAAAATATTTTAACAGAAATTTAAACTTGAGCGGCAGACCTTGCCTTGAGGGCTGGAGACTGGGAAGTGTTTCCTAAGGAGCCAGGGGAAATAATTCTGTCTCCTGGTAATGAAGGTCTGAGTGGTGTCTGACAGTGCCTAACTGCCTGCTCTGTACCAGGCTGGAATACTGTGATGAACAAGGAGCCCACAATCTAGTGGGGGCCATAGACAAGCAACTGGGCAATCTTACTGCTGCGTGCTCAGTTTTATGATTGAGAGCTGTTGGGTGTTGGGGTGGAGAATGGACTTCTTACCTTGTCTTAGGTGAGACCTGATCAAAGAAGGCTTCCTGGAAGGAGTGATGTCCAAACCAACCTCACTAATATACGTTGGAATTAATCCCCTTTTCAGGCTAATACTGTTGTAAAAATAAACCAGAGCCCTGTTTTGGTTTTTGTTTATACCCAAAACAAAAATGGAGAGACTGAACTTGGTATTCCAGCCGTCTAGAATACTTTTCCAGCTTTGTAGTTTGCCATTCCCCTGTGTTGATTAACCACCCCTTCCCAGGGCATGCCAGGCTCTCTGTGACTGCGATGCCTCTGCATGCACTATTCTCTTTGTTCTGCCTGCCTGATGTCTCTTGGCCCTTCAGGAAGAATAGTTACTTCCTCCAGGATAGCCTCTTTGATTCCTTCTATGGTACGTTGAGTGCACATCCTGTGAGCTCACACACAGGGCTGGTTTCATAATTCATACTTCCCCTGTACTGAACTGTCTGTCTGCTTTTTCATTCCTCCATGTAGCCTGGAGGCAGAGGCAGCATCTTTCACGAAGCCTAGCATGTCCTAGGCACCCAAGCACTATTTGCTGATGAACAAATTTAGCAGCTTCGAAGATTACAGCCATATGTGTATAATTGAAACTCTTGGTTCCAGTCAGCTTTAAAAGAGAGTGCCATTGACTGAAGAAAGTGAAATAGATTTTATGCATGTGGTCTAGTTATTAATTTCATAAAGCTTTTTACAATCCTTTGCATTTTATACCTCTTTTACTTTTTGTCTGAGTAACCAATAAACCGAGTAATTCATAGTTCCCATTTCTTGCCAACTACTAATGTGTATCATTAAATCTGACCACAGTGATTTATTAATTAGAAGTCTTCTGGTTGTCAACAAAAATCAGTTTTACTTACTATATGCCAGAAAAAGGGGAAGATGTGATGAAGACACTGGAGTGTCTCATAGAATCCAAGATCAGGAACACACTCAGGCTTCTGGAAGAACTGGTCCCAGGAATTGGAAAGCCATCAGCAATCCTGAGGGTCCTTTCTGTTTATGTCTTTCTTTCTGCAAAGCTTTTACTCATCTTTCTTACTAACTGGCTTTCTCTGCCACTCTGTCGGTAGAGGGTGGCCTCCCACAGCCCTAAACTATGCAGCCAAGTTCTAGCCAAATGGAAAGCCTGTCTTTCCATCTCAATTCTAAATTCTCTAAGACTTGGGCTAGGCTTGGGTTAGATGTCTATCCCTGGACTAGTCAGCTGTGGCCAGGAGCGGAGACATGCTGCACATATCTGTCTGCCTCTGCTCACCTCCGAAAAGTAGGTGGGAAGATAGAAAAAGGGGTAGGGAGGCAGCAGACAGAGAGACAGACAGCAGAGAGACATTGTAAGGCTGGCAGACACCTTATAAATATCTAATATGGTGAGTCTCCATAAACTACTACCCTTAAACTATATCATAGGATCACTTCTAGGTTATTTTGTTAAAAAAAGTCAGTCCTAGGTGAAACTTAAAAAATTTAACTTTAAAAAGACGATATCTTTTAAAATATGCATATAATTTGAGACTCTTAAGGTAACGGGATATTCACTATAGTTAGTAAGTCTTAGCTTTGTGTGTATATATGATTTTTATGCATGACACTCTTTAATTGCTGGGAGGTTCTAGCAGCTCTGTCCAGCAGAAATACAAGATAAGCCACATTTGTAATTTAAGGTTTTCTAGTAGCCACATTGAAAAAGTAAAATGAAAAAGGTGAATTTAATTTTAATGTATTTTATTTAACCCCAGTTTCCCAGATATAATCGTTATATGAATATAAAATTAATGAAATGTTTTACATTCTTTTAAAAACCTTTGAAATATGGTGTGTATTTTATGCTTTAGCAAATCTCAGTTTGGACCATTTCAGGTGGTCAGCAATTACACATGGCTAGAACTAAGAGCAATCAGTTTTCTTCCACAGTTTTTCTAAAATTTTCTTGTCAAAAATCTTGATGGTATGAATTACTCTTTTAAAAAGTGCACTTCACCAGCAACAGAAAAGAACCCTGGAGGGGTATGGGTTTTAAAGCTGGTACAAAAGAGTTGCCCATTTGGAGGATTTACTGCACCATGTGTATTGGTAAAAAAGAAAACATAATTTTTAACCAAGTCACCAGGCTCTAAAGCCAGTTCTTGTTCTTCTCAGACTTCTGATTCCTGGAATTTTACTTTAAACTCCTTGGATGCCTCAGTTTGCTTATCTGTAAAAATAAGATTTATAATGGTCCTGTCCCACAGAAGAGATTTTCATGGAATTTAATTGCACCAATATATTTGAAAGTGTTTTGAAAGATATTTAAAGGGTTAAACAAATGTGAAGCATTATTTTAATTTATCATCTATGGGTAAATTACTACATTTTGGAATCAATAATAGTTATCATTTTTAAAAAGTTTTATTTTGTTAATTGACACATAATTGTACATATTTATGGGGTACCATATGATGTTTCGATGCATTATACATTGTGTAATGATTAAATCAGGGCAATTAGCATATCCATCACCTCAAACACTTGTTATTTCTTTGTGGTGAGAACATTCAAAATTATTTTAGCCATTTTGAAATGTAAAGTACATTATTGTTAACTCTAGTCACCTTACTGTATAATAGAACATTAGAACTTATCCCTTTTATCTAATGTAACTTTATACCTGTTGACCTCTCTCCCTCTCCCTGCCTGTCCTACCCAGCCTTCAGTACCACTATTCTACTGTTTATCTCTATGGGATCAACTTTTTAAGTTTTCACAGATGAGTGAGATCATGTGTTATTCGTCTTTTGTGCTTGACTTATTTCACTTAATGTCTTGTGGGTTCATCCAGGTGCCGCAAATGACGGGATTTCATTTATTTTTATGCCTGAATAGTATTCCATTGTGTATATGTACCTCATTAAAAAAATTCATCCATTGATGGATACTTAGGTTGATTCCATATCTTGGCCATTGTGAATAGTGCTGCAGTAAACATGAGAGTGCAGATATCTCTTTGACATACTGATTTTGTTTTCTTTGGATATAGAGGTTGAGTATCCCTAATCCAAAAATCTGAAATCCAGAATGCTCTAAAATCCAAAACTTTTTGAGCACTGACGTGATGCTTAGAGGATAATGCTCACTGTACTATTTTGGATTTTGGATTTTTGGATTAGGGATGCTCAGCTATAATGCAAATATTTCAAAATCGGAAAAAAAAATCTGAAATCAGAAATGCTCCTGGTCTCAAGCATTTTGGGTAAGGGATGCTCAATGTTTATACCCAACAGTCGGATTATTGGATTATATGGTAGTTCTATTTTTAATTTGTTGAAAAACCTCCCTACTGTTGTCCTTAATGGCTGTACTAATTTACTTTCCTAACGTCTTGGTCTGTTTTGTGTTGCTATAAAGAAATACCTGAAGCTGGGTAATTTATAAAGAAAAGAGGTTTATTTGGCTCACACTTCTGCAGGCTGGTACCAGCATCTGCATCTGATGAGGGCCTCAGGCTGCTTCCACTCATGGCAGAAGGTGAAGGGGAGCTGGTGTGTACAGAGAACATATGATGAGAAAGGGTGCAATGGGGCGGGGAGGTGCCAGGCTCTTTTTCACAACCAGTACTAATGGGAACTAATAGAGTGAGAAGTTACCCACTTCTGAGGGAGGGTATCAGTCTGTTCATAAGGGATCTGCCCCCATGACCCAGACACCTCCCATTAGGCCCCACCTCTAACATTGGGGATCAGATTTCAATATGAGGTTTGTAGGGATCAAACATCCAAATTATAGCACCTACTAACATTGTATGAGAGTTTCCCTTTCTCTGCATCCTTGCCAACATTTGTAATTTTTTGTCTTTTTAATAATAGCCATTCTAACTGGGTGATGTGATATCTCATTGTGGTTTTGATTTGCTTTTCCCTGGTGATTAGTGGTGAGGTATATTTTTCATATACCTATTGCCATTTGTATGTCTTCTTTTTTTTTTTTTAGACAGAGTTTTGCTCTTGTTGCCTAGGCTGGAGTGTAATGGCACAATCTTGGCTCACCACAACCTCTGCCTCCCAGTTTCAAGCGATTCTCCTGCCTCAGCCTCCTGAGTAGCTGTAATTACAGGCATGAGCCACCACACCTGGCTTATTTTGTATTTTTAGTAGAGATAGGGTTTCTCCATGTTGGTCAGGCTGGTCTTGAACTCCCAACGTCAGGTGATCCTCCTGCCTCAGCCTCCCAAAGTGCTGGGATTATAGGCATGAGCCACTGCGCCTGGCCTTGTGTTTCTTCTTTTGAGAGGTGTCTATTTAGGTATTTTGTTCATTTTTAAATTGGATTTTTTTTTTTGCCATTGAGTTCCTTATGTATCCTGGATGAGTCCCTTGTCAGATGCATAGTTTGTGAATATTTTCTCCTTTTCTGTGGATTGTCTCTTCACTTTGTTCTTTCCTTTGCTGTGCAGAAGCTTTTTAGTTTGATATAATCCTATTTGTCTATTTTTGCTTTTGTTCTCTGTGCTTTTGAGGTCTTATCCAACAAGTCCTTGCCCAGACCAATGTGCTGAAGCATTTTACTTAAGTGTCTTCTAGTAGTTTTCATAGTTTCAGGTAGTACATTTAAGTCTGTATTTTAAGTTGATTTTTGTAAGTGGTTAGAGATAGGGGTCTAGTTTCATTTTTCTGCATGTGAATATTCAGTTTACACAGTACCATTTGTTGAAGAGATTGTTCTTTCCCCATTGTGTGTTCTTGATGCCTTTGTCAAAAATCATGTGTGGATTTATTTCTGGGTTCTTTATTCTGTTGAACTATCTGGAAAAGAAATAAGGTAATACATTTACAGTAGCTATTAAAAAAACCTAGCAATAAATTTAACTGAGGAGGTAAAGATCTCTGCAATGAAAACTATAAGATATTGATGAAAAAAATTGAAGAAGACATAAATAAATGCAAAGAATATCCCTTGTTACGTATCGGAAGAATAAATATTGTTAAAATGTCTATGCTATCTCAAGTGATCTACAGATTCAATGCAATCCCTATCAAAATACCAGTGATATTTTTCACAGAAATAGAAAAAAAATTCTAAAATTTCTATGGCAACACAGAAGACCCAGAATAGCCAAAGCAATCTTGAGCAAAAAGAGCAAATCTGGAGACATTACGTTACCTGATTTCAAAATATACTACAAAGCAATAGTAACCAAAACAGCATGGTACTGGTATAAAAAAAAACAGACAAATGAAACAGAATCTATCATTTGTTGAGGACTTACTTTGTGCCAGGCACTGTTCTAAGTGCTTTATCGATATCATATAATTAATTTAATCATAATAACCTTATGAAGGTACTGTTACTATTTCTGTTTTATATATGAGGAAATTAAGACATAAAGATTTAACAAACCAGCCCAAGCTCAACTATCTAGTAAGTAGTTGAACTGGAGTTGAAATGCACTTAAAAAAATTGTGGTGAAATATACACAATGTAAAATAATCATTTTAACCATTTTAAAGTATATAGTTCTGTGGCATTAAGTATATTCACATTATCATGCAATCATTAACACCATCCATCTCTAAAACTTTTTAATCTTGGCAAACTGAAACTCTATACTGACTAAACACTAGTTCCCTATTCTCCCATCCCCAGCCCCTGGCAATCACCTTTTTACTTTTTCTCTTTGAGTTTAACTCCTCTAGGAGCCTCATATAAGAGGAATCATACAATATTTATCTTTTTGTGGCTGGCTTATTTCACTTAGCATAATGTCTTCAGGGTTCATTCATGTTGTAGCATATATTGAAATTCCCTATTTTATTTTTATTTATTTATTTTTATTATTATTTTCTTTTGAGATGAAGTTTCTCTCTTGTTGCTTAGGCTGGAGTGCAATGGTGCCATCTCAGCTCACCGCAATCTCTGCCTCCTGCATTCAAGTGATTCTCCTGCCTCAGCCTCCCGAGTAGCTGAAATTACAGGCATGCACCACCACACCCGGCTAATTTTGTATTTTTAGTAGAGATGGGGTTTCTCCATGTTGGTCAGGCTGGTCTTGAACTCCCGACTTCAGGTGATCTGCCCGCCTTGGCCTCCCAAAGTGCTGGGATTACAGGCATGAGCCACCGCGCCTGTCAAAATTCCCTATTTCTTAAGACTAAATAATATTCCATTGTGTGTATGTACATTTCATTTATCCATCTATCTGTTGGTACACATGTGGGTTACTTCTACCTCTTGGCTACTGTTAGTGGAGCTGCCATGGACACGAGTGTACAACTATCTCTTCAAGACCCTGCTTTCACTTCTTTTGGGTATCTACCCGGATGGTAATTTTATGTTTAATTTTTTGAGGAACTGCCATATTTTTGCCATAGTGGCTGCATCATTTTACATACCATCAGTGCACAAGGGTCCTAATTTCTCTGCATCCTTGCTAACACTTGTTACTTTCTTTTTTCCTTCCTTCCTTCCTTCCTTCCTTCCTTCCTTCCTTCCTTCCTTCCTTCCTTCCTTCCTTCCTTCCTTCCTTCCCTCCCTCCCTTCTTTCCTCCTCCTCCTCCTCCCCTCCTCCCCTCCTCCTCCTCCTCCTCCTCCTTCTTCCTCTTCTTCTTCTTCTTTTTTTTTTTTTGAGATGGAGTCTGACTCTGTCTCCCAGGTTGGAGTGCAGTGGCACGATCTTGGCTCACTGTAACCTCTGCCTCCTGGGTTCAAGCAATTCTCCTGCTGCATCCTCCCAAGTAGCTGGGATCACAGGCGTGTACCACCATGCCTGGCTAATTTTTGTATTTTTAGTAGAGATGGGTTTCACCATATTGGCCAGGCTGGTCTTGAACTCCTGACCTCAAGTTATCTGCCCTCCTCAGCCTCCCAAAGTGCTGGGATTACAGGTGTGAGCCCACCTCGCCTGGCCTCTTTTTTTTTTTTTTTTTTTTTTTTTTTTTAAATAAAAGCCATCCCAATGGGTGTGGAGTAGTATCTCGCTCTGGTTTTAGTGTTTCACTAATGACTAGTGATGTTGAGCATGTTTTCATGTACTTATTGGCCATTTCTATATCCTCTTTGGAAAATGGCTATTTAAGTCGTTGGTCCATTTTAAAATTGGGTTGTTTGGTTTTTGTTGTTGTTGAGTTGTAGGAGTTTTAAAAGTATATTCTGGATATCAATCTCTTATCAGATATGTGATTTACAAGTACTGTTTTCCATTCTGTGGGTTGACTTTTCACTCTGTAGATAGTATCCTTTGATCCACAGAAGTTTTTAATTTTGGTAAAGTCCAGCATGTCTGTTTTTTTCTGTTGATACCTGTGCTTTTTGGTGTCACATCCAAGAAATTGTTGTCAAATGCAATCTCAAGAAACATATTTTCTTCTAAGCTTTATTTCTGTCTCTGTCTATCTGTGCCTCTTTTCTCTGTGTCATCTTGAGTCTGTCTCTGTATCTGTTTCTGTATGTTTGTATCTTTGTATCTTTTTTCTATATATTTATAAACCACCAAAACATATATGTATCGTCTCTCTTTTCTTGCTTTATTTCTTCCTTTTCCTTTTTTTCTAGAACTTTTTGAAAGTATTGTAGCAATCATGACACTCCATGTATTTCCTAAAAATAATAGCATATTTCTAAACTATAATTAGTACTGCCTTTAGAATTGGGCACACAGGGCCCTTGCCTTGAGCTCTCTACTTTGGAGTGCCTTTCTTGAATTTTTCTAAGTCTCCCTGCTGCCTTAATGCCTGAAAGGCAGGGTGCCCCAAGCTCTTCTCTTTAGGAGTCTCATATTTAGAAATACAGTAAATTTCCTAATTATATTGAAAATTGAAGCCTAACTTTTTTTTTTGCTGATCTTATTGTTCACTACTGTGCACCATATTTTTCTTCTAAATTATTTTTCTTATCTTTATATATTTCTTTAACTGATTAGCATGTACATATTTAGTATTATAGTCATTAATTACCTTTATTCTTCTGTCTCTCCAGTAGTGAGTTGAAACTCTTGGAGGAAGCAACCATTTCAGTCTGCAGGTCATTAGGTAAGTGGGAAAAATGTGTGTGGGGTGTTGTTTTCAAATTTTGTTTTAGATTTTGATAGTATAATATGAACTGAATTAATGAAGTAATTACTCTTCTTTGATAGCAATAGTAATAATTTTTTCTATTTGTGGCATTCACAGATGCTGCTAGAAGGTACCCTTCAGTCAATAGCAATATGACACATGCTTGGCTATATCTGCAG
Organism: Homo sapiens; assembly: GCF_000001405.40. NCBI lineage: Eukaryota > Metazoa > Chordata > Mammalia > Primates > Hominidae > Homo > Homo sapiens. Next base: position 49,391,389 of record NC_000018.10, on the reverse strand, counting down.
TAGTGGTAATGGACTCTGCTAAGCCATAGACACTCTTTCGTCTTGTTCTTTTTGTGAATTTTGAAATACTGAAAATAATGTGATTTACCAAGTGCTGTTATTGACTATGTTCACCAGAACAATATTAAAATCTATTAAGAATGTATATTAGGAAGTTTCCATAACAACTTGATATTATGGCAAAGAGCATGGAATCCAGAATCATTTTATGATTTTAATTTCAGCTGTGCTACCTATTAGCTGAGCCTTAATTTCCTCATATAGATTGAGGATAAGGACAACTATTTACAGGATTCTTATAAGGAAAAATTAGGTAATATGAAATATTCAGTACAATGTGTGTCATGTAGTCATTGCAAACCATTTATGTCAGCAAATGTTACCCTTTTCAGGTCTTGTTTCTCAAATGCTTAACTTTCAAGTTCATAGCAATTGGAAGGAAATTGTATATATTTTTAAAATGCAGGCAGTTTTACTTAGATTGCATTGGTGCTTTGAAAAGTAAGACAATGTGTCTGTGAAATACCTAGGGTACAGGAATGTAATAAGTGAGAACAATATTCTGTTTTAAAATCAGGCTGTCTAGGCCGGACACAGTGGCTCACGCCTATAATCCCAGCATTTTGAGAGGCTGATGCGAGTGGATCACGAAGTCAGGAGTTCAAGACCAGCTTGGCCAAGATGGTGAAACCCCGTCACTACTAAAAATCCAAAAATTAGCAAGGCATGGTGGTGGGCGCCTGTAATCCCAGCTACTTGGGAGGCTGAGGCAGAGAATTGCTTGAACCCGGGAGGCAGAGGTTGCAGTGAGCCGAGATCGCGCCACTGCACTCCAGCCTGGGCGACAGAGCGAGACTCTGTCTCAAAAAACATTAAAAAAAAAAATCGAGCTGTATGGATAACTCCCATATAAACTATTTTGCTAAAAACAGTTTTTGATGATTTATTTTTTTTTTTAAAGAGATAGAGTCTTGCTTTGCTGCCCAGGCTGGAGTGCACTGGTGCCATTGTGGCTCACTGCAGCCTTGATCTCCTGGGCTTCAGTGATCCTTCCACCTCAGCCTCCTCAGAAGCTGGGGCTATAGGTGCATGGCACCACACCTGCCTAATGATTTTATTTTATTTTTGTATAGATGGGGGTCTCCTGTGTTGCCGAGGCTAGTCTCAGGCTCCTGGCCGCAAGCCTTCCTCCTCCTACCTTGGACCCCCAAAGTGTTGGGATATTACAGGTGTTAGCCACCGTGCCTGGGCCCAAATATTTTTGTTTTTAAAAACAAACTATGTTGATAATGAAAAGGTGTTATTGTAGTAGTTGTCTTGCCTTACAACCATAGCTTAGGGAATTTTTTGCTAAATAGAGCTGGCTTTCAAAAGCCATGTCGCAATTCAGTGCTGAAAATTAAGGAGTTTTATGTAACAATATTAGTGTAGTTACTGTGATAATGGCTTTTAAGGTGACTTTGGGTTTTTAAAAAAATTATAAAATTAAAAGATGAAAAAACAAAAATATAACAAAGCAATGAGAAAACAAAGAAAAAATTACATTAAGAAAACTGAAAGTAGCTGGGAGTGGTGGCTCATGCCTGTAATACTGGTAACTTTAGGAGGCTGAGGCAGGAGGGTTGCTTGAGGTCAGAGTTCAAGACCAGCTTGGGCAACATAATAAGACCCCATCTCTTACAAAATCTACATCTTACCCATCTACACGCAAAAAAATTGAAAAAACTTAACCAGGCATGGTGGCATGTGCCTGTAGTCTCAGCTGCTTGCGAGATTGAGGTAGGAGGATTGATCGAGCCCAGGAATTTGAGGCTGCAGGGAACCATGATGGCGCCACTGGACTCCAGTCTGGACAATACAGCAAGACTCCAAATCTAGGGGCGAAAAAAAGCAAGTAATATTTACTCATTATACATAATGTGGAAAGCATACTAAAATGTAAATGAGGTAGTAATTGCTCATAATTTGAAAACCCTGACATAGGCATTGTTGATATTTTTGTATTTTTTCTTCTACTACTTATTCAATAGATATAAATTTATATATATATCATCCACCACACACACACACACACAGACACACACACACATTTTAATCTGTGTTTTTCACTTGACATTGTATCAGGAATGTGTTACATGTTTAAAAATACTTTTGGGAACAGCAAAACAAGATATACATTTATTGCCCCAAATTCCAGTAATGTGATGGTATGGCTAAAATAAAAATCATCTCATATTAAACAGTACATGTGTAATCACTGCTAATCTTTTGTGACAATTTCATATAAATGGTATTATTTATATTTTGTTTACACGCAGCAACATGTCAGGAACCTCTTCACATCAATAAGTATAAGTGCATATCAACTTTAAGGGCTATGTGAGTGTACTTAGTTTCCTTTTTGAAAAAAAAATTTTTTTAAGTGCTGGTCTACTGGCAACAATTTTCCTTCTCTTTTTTCTTTTTTTTTTTTTTTGTCTGAAAATGTGCTATTTTTTTTCTTGGCTTTTGAAGCATATGTTTTGCTGGATATAGAATTTTAGATAGACGTTAATTTATTTTCCGTACTTTAAAGGTGTCATTTCGTTATTTTCTAGCTTTTCTTGTTTTTGTTGTGAAGAAAGCAGTCAACCTTATTGTTGCTTCTTTGAAAATAATGGAATTTTTAACTTCGGCTGCTTTTAAGTTTTTCTTTTTATCTTTTGATTTTCAGTAGCCTTAGAGTGATGTGCTGAGGAGAGGTTTTCTTTGTTTTTTTGTCGCCTGAGGTTTGTAGAGATTCTTAAATCTGTGAGTTGGTGTCTTTTATCAGTATTGGAAAATTCTTAGCCATTATGTGTTTATATATAAAATTTTTGTTCTATTCTGTCTCTCCTCTCCTCCTGGGACGCTTGTTACACTTCTGTTCAATGTTTTGTTTCCATTGTGTCCCATATACTTGTTAGGCCTTTTTTCTTTTGTAGTTTACATTCTTTTTCTCTCTGACCTTCAATGAGATATTTTCTGTTAATTCATCTTTAGTTTCTAATGTTTTCCTTTTTTTTATTTTTATTTTTATTTTGAGACAGGGTCTCACTCTGTTTCCCAGCTAGAGTGCAGTGGCACTATCACCGCTCACTGCAACCTCAGCTTCCTGGGCTCAAGAGGTCCTACCACTTCAGCCTCCTGAGTAGCTGGGATTACAGGCATATGTCACCATGCCTGGATAATTTTTAAGTTTTCTGTAGAGGTGGGATCTTGCCATGTTATGTTGAACTTCTGGGCTCAAGTGATCCTCCCACCTTGGCCCCCACAAAGTGCTGGGATTACAAGTGTGAGCTACTGTGCCTGGTACTAATCTTTCCTTTTGATATGTCCCATTTGCTGTTAAAACTATCTACTGAGATTTTTAAAACAAGCTTTTAATTTTAGAATAGCTGTAGATTTATGGAACTGTTTCAAAGCTAGTATAGAGCATTCTTGTATACTCTTCAGCTATTTCCCCTATTTTATTATCTTATTTTAGTATGGTACATTTATTTCAACTAAGGAATCAACATTGGTACAGGTATACCCCAGAGATATTGTGGGTCAGTTCCAGACCACTGAGATAAAGCCAGTATTGCAATAAAGTGAGTTGCATGAATTTTTTGGTTTCCCCATGCTTATAAATGTTATGTTTACATTATACTATGGTCTATCAAATGTGCAATAACGTGTTAAATGTATGTATCTTAATTTTATAACTGTGTTGCAAAAAAATGCTAACACATCATCTGAGACTTTAATGAGTCATAATCTTCTTGCTGGTGACAACATGACATCAAAGATCACGGATTCGACCAGGCACAGTGGCTCACTCTTGTAATCCCAGCACTTTGGGAGGCTGAGGTGGGTGTATCACCTGAGGAGTTCAAGACCAGCCTGGCCAACACAGTGAAACCCTATCTCTACAAAAATACAAAAATTAACTGGGCATGATGGCAGTTGCCTGTAATCTCAGCTACTCGGGAGGCTGAGGTGGGAGAATCACTTGAACCCGGAAGGCAGAGGTTGCGGTGAGCCGAGATCACAACTTTGCACTCCAGCCTGGGCGACAGAGTGAGACTCCGTCACAAAAAACAAACAAACGAGATCACTGATTAGAGATCACTATAACAGATATAACAGTAAAATGCTTGAAATATTGCAAGAATTGGCTGGGCATGGTGGCCTGTAATCCCAGCACTTTGGGAGGCCAAGGCGGGAGGATTCTTGAGTCCAGGAGCAACATAGCAAGACCCTGTCTCTACAAAAAACTAAAAGAAAATTAGCCAGACATGGTGACTCCTGAGTAGCTACTCAGGAGGCTGAGATGGGAAGATCTCTTGAGCCTGGGAGGTTGAGGCTGCAGTGAGCTGTGATCACACTACGACATTCAGCCTAGGTGACAGAGTGAGACTCTGTTTCAAAAAAAAAAAAAAAAGTAAATAAATACGAAGAAATTTTGCAAGAACTACCAAAACGTGATGCAGAGACATGAAGTGAGCACGTATTGTTGGAAAAATGGTGCTGATAGACTTGCTCACTGCAAGGTTGCCACAAACCTTCAATTTGTAAAAAATGCCATGTCTTTGAAGCACAATAAAGCAAAGCACAGTAAAATGAGTTTATGTTAATTTTATTGACTAAACTACACCCTTCACTCAGACTTTCACTAACTTTCTCCTAATCTGCCTTCACTGTTCCAGGATCCCACCTAGGGTGCCACATGACATCTAGTCATCATGTATTTCTCTGGTCTGCAACAGTTTCTCAGATTTCCCACATTTTTTATGCCTTTTGATGATTTTGGGGAGTATTAGTAGGGTATTTTCCAAAACGTTCCTCAATTTGAGTTGTCTGATGGCTTTCTCATGCTTAGACTGGGGTTATAGGTTTGTGGAAGGAAGACCATGGAGGTGAAGTGCTGTTCTCAACACACCGTATCAAGGGGACATGCTATTAATATGACTTATCACTGATGGTGTTGATGTTGATCACTTGGCTGAGGTACTATTTATCAAGTTTCTTCAGTGTAAAGTTGTTTCTTTCTCTCCTGATCCCTTCATTTTCAAAGGATAGTTTTTCTAGATATAGAATTCTTGGTTAACATTTTTTTTCTCTTTCAGCACTTTGAACATATTATTCTACTGCCTTCTGGTCTCTATTTTTTTCAGATAAATCTGACGTTAATTGTATTATTGTTCCCCTGAAAATCATGAGAAATTTTTTCCTGCTGCTTGTAAGGTGCTCTCTTTGCCTTTTAAAAGAGTTTTTTGGCCAGGCATGGTGACTCACACCTGTAATTCCAGCTCTTTGGGAGGCCACGGCAGGAAGATTGCTTGAGGCCGAGAGTTAGATGCCAGCCTGGGCAACATAGCAAGACCCTGTCTCTACAAAATAAGAAGAAAAATAAAAATTAACCTGGCATGGTGGCATGCATCTCTTAGATGTGTAGATTAATGTTTTTCAACAATTTTGGGAAATTCATTGCCTTTTTTTTTCTTTTTTTAAGGAATAGGGTCTCACACTCTTATCCAGTCTTGTCTTGAACTCCTGACCCCAAGCATGCCTCCCACCTCAGCCTCCCAAAGCACTGGCCATTATTTTTGTTAGGCTTTTTGTGTTTAGCTTTATTACTTTTTTCCTGAATGTACACATAAGGTTTTCTGGATCAGATTTCTTTTTTTTTTTGAGACAGAGTTTTGCTCTTGTTGCCCAGGCTGGAGTGCAATGGTGTGATCTCCACTCACTGCAACCTCCACCTCCTGGGTTCAAGCAATTCTCCTGTCTCAGCCTCCCAAGTAGCTGGGATTACAGGCATGCACCACCACACCCAGCTAATTTTGTATTTTTAGTAGAGTTGGAGTTTCACCATGTCAGTGAGACTGGTCTCAGAACTCCTGACCTCAGGTGATCCACCCGCCTTGGCCTTCGAAGTGCTGGGATTACAGGCTTGAGCCACTGTGCCCAGCCCAGATTTCTTATTAAATACTTCACAGTAAATAAGACGTCCATTGGTCCTTCTTTGTCCTAGTTCTTAACCCACTAGGATGATGTGGTGAGAGCCAGGTCAGTTGTTTTTTATGATAGTCAGACTCCCTGTAGGTGAGGGATGAGGAAAAACGTTTGCCAGCTTTATAAAGGGTAAAAAAGCAGCTGTACCATCCTCTCCTGAAAGAGTGTGCTCTTTAGCCCTTTGGCATATAAATACAATCTTTTCAGGAGCCGGGTATCCTCACTTCTTGTTTTGGCATTTTAACCTATGGATATCTCCAAGTTCTGTGGCCTCATTTGTCCTTTTTTTTTTTCTTTTTTCTTTTTGTTCATGAGACTTTTTCCTTTAACCCTTGGTGATAAATATTTCTCATTATGCTTTTTCTCTTTATGGTTTTTCCTATAATTTGATGAGGTGTTTTGATTGGTGTACGAAGATCTTTTTCAGTTCAGAAGGTTTTTTTTTTTCTTTTTTTCATTATGGCTCTGATTTTGTGTTTTAGTTTCTTCTCCCTACCTCTTGATCACCTGTAATGTTCAGGTTGGATCTCTGTTCTTTACTTTCTGTTATCTTTTTGTCTCTGTTCTTTTCTCATATTTCTTCCTTTGTATGATTGATTTCAATGTTTTCTACACTGCCAGTTCTCCTCTTTTACTATTGTAGTGTATGTTTTAGCTGTTATTGCATTTTTAGTTTATTTCTTAATCATTTCTAGTCGTTTGTAGATCTTTTAATGTCAGGCTGCTCTCTTCTTTTTTTTTTTTTTTGAGATGGAGTGTTGCTGTGTCTCCCAGGCTGGAGTGCAGTGGCGCAATCTTGCTCACTGCAACCTTCACTTCCTGGGTTCAAGCCATTGTCCCACCTCAGCCTCCCAAATAGTTGGGATTACAAGCATGCGCCACCATGCCTGGCTGATTTTTGTATTTTTAGTAGAGATGGGGTTTCACCATATTGGCCAGGCTGGTCTTGAACTTCTGACCTCAAGTGATCTTCCTGCCTTGGCCTCCCAAAGTGCTGGGATTACAGGTGTGACTCACTGCACCCAGCCTTTTTTTTTTTTTTTTTTTTTGGAGACATGGTCTCACTCTGTCGCTCATGCTGGAGTGCAGTGGTGTGATCATGGCTCACTGCAGCTTCAACCTCCTGGGCTCAAGCAATCCTCCTGCCTGGCCTCCTGGGTAGCTGGGACCATAGGCATGCGCAACCACACCTGGCTAATTTTTGTATTTTGTGTAGAGATGGGGTTTTGTGATGTTGCCTAGGCTATCTTGAACTTCTGGCCACAAGCAATTCTCTCACCTTGGCCTCTGAAAGTGCTGGGATTACAGGCGTGTGCTACTGTGCCTGGCTTGCTCTCTTTTCATTCATGCATTTCCCCCAGTGGATTTCTGTTCTTTTTTAAAAAATAGGTGATTAATTTTCCTGTTGTCTACTGTTGATTGCTGTGTATTAAAATTCTTTTGGCAATTTTGATTTAGCTTTTCTTCTGAGGTTTCAGCGTAACTCATTTCTTATCCTCTGGTTGCTGTTGTTGTTATTTTCTCCTTTTCATTAAACTAACACATATTTATGGAGCACCTACTATATTACAGGCATTATCCTATAAGCTTGGGCTGTGACTGCAAAAAACACTGACCCGGGTCTCTGACCTCATGGAGCTGTCTATTTCATTGAGGAACCAGAGAATAAATAAATATATCTGGTTTATACAATGTTGGCTGTTCAGAAAAATAAAGCAGAGTAAGGGGATGGGGTGTAACCCATGAAGCTGCATTGTTTGCTCCCAGAGAGGCTGTGTTTATTTCCTCTGTTGCTTATATAGATCCTATAGATGCTTGTTGAATCTGCTGTTATTTTAGTTTGAGAGCAAGTTGATATAGTTTCCCAACCTAATTTATAGAGCCCAAGAAGGTTTTATTTGTCCAAGTTTCTTAGTTTAAATGGGACCTTCATTATCCTCACTTCTTGGCTTTGGGGTATGAGGGAATTTGGAAGTTCCCAGATTGAACATCTGTATCAGTGTCTTTCTACCTCTCCCTCCACCGTATGCTGCTGTGTTGTCCAGGCCGAATATGTATCTCTAAATAAGGATTCTTAAAAAAAAATACCACTATCTTATTAAAAAAACAACTTTTAATATCACAAAATATTCAGTGTTCAAATTTGTAATTGTCTCATTTTGTTTGAATTGGGGGCCAAATAAGTTCACACATTATTTTTGGTTATGTCTTTACATTTCTTTTCAAAGCAAGTTTCCCTTTTCATCTGTCTTTTTCTTCTTTTCCCTCTCTCAGTGTATTTATTGAAGAAAATGGGTGGTGGAGTTTCCCACAACGTAGATTTTGTTCATTGTATCCTTGCGTGGGGTCATCTTGTCCTCTCTCCTCTGTATTTTCTCTACATTGGTTGTTGGATTTTAGAGCTCATGAGTCTTTCGGTGAGATCTTAGAAAAGTTTGTTTCAGGGTCTAGAAGCAAATTTAATCTCTCATCTCAAACAGAAATCCTGTCTACAATACCCTTATCTGAATGTTACCCAAACTTTGCTTGAATTCTTGTAGGGATGGGGGCATTCCCTTCTTTACACAAGCATCACTAGTTAACAGACTGCTACAAGTTCAAGCTCTAGCATCAGGTAAGTTAGCTCTTTATTAAGCATTCTTGTTATCTTAATTTTACAGATGAGGAAACTGAGGCAGGGGCCAGTTAGGTAAGTTGCCAAGTGTTCTACAGCTGGTCAGTGGTGGAACTGAGATTTGAACTTCGTCAGAGTCTATAATCTAGTCCCATTACACTTTTCTGCTTTCCTGTCGGACCTCCTGTGTTGTTACTCTGGCTCCCGAAGCTCATTCAGCTTCAACATAGCATTTTATTTGCACCAATTAACTGTGATCATGTAAAATTTCTTTTCTTCTACCATTGAGATATTTTGGAATCTTGAATCTACCATGGAGTATTGTTTAAAATCATTGAGTGTATTTAATTTTATTAACTTATTGCCCTAATCTTCATCTTATCCAAAAGAGTATCATGGAAACTTTTTAACTGTCTTGGTAGGTAAGCTCCATGAAGACAGGGAGTTCTCTTTACAAGTATCTCCTTAGTATCTGAAACAGTGTGGGCACATATGAGTAGCTCAATAAATACACGCTGATTGAGTGAATCAGTGAAGAAGGTACACGGCGCTTTAATTACATCAATCAAGTAGTCGGGTTACTCTTTCCAAAAACACAAGATGTTTTGTTTTGTTTTTTTAAATAGCTAATCATTTATACATTCAACAATTACAAGGCCATTCAGTAATAAAGGGGGCTGTTGAATGAACAAAGATTTCAAAGTTGGGATTCTGAGTGGTGATTGTAGTCATGTTACCCTCAGCTTAGTTTGTTTCAGCATTTTGTTTGGATTTACAATAGCTAGATAATATTAAGTCCCACAGAGATGCGTTTGCAAACCTTAACTATTCTTTTTTTTTTTTTCTTAAAAAGTTTACCCTGAGGTCTCTGGGTATTCTTTCATTAACCCTAAAGCTTTAAAGAGGAATAGGACATTTTTGTTTCAAAGTGAAACTCTTAACATTATCTACTATCTGATCACATATCTATTCTTGATTGTGAAGGCTGGATAAAAACTCCGCTGATTGACAACAAATGTTGCACCTTGCTACTCACAGTGGGATTCTCCAGCCAGCAGCAGCAGTAGTGGATGTCACTGGGGAACGGTAGAGATGCAGAATCTCAGTGCACATTTCACACATGTGCAGTCCATTTGCATTTAAATAAGAATGACTTGTGATTTAAATGCACATTAAACTTTGAGAAGTACTGTCAGCTTCAGTTAGGAGTATGGTGGACCTGGGATTCTGAACTTCCACCAAGCTCTCAGATAATGCTGTTGTGGCCGGTCCATGAGCCACGCTTGGAATAGCAAAGTGCTTGACATTTTATCACAGTTAGAAAGTTAGGCAGTTACTTGAATAGACTCTTAAGTCATGACAAAAATATATATGCAGCAGGGAGTGAGCTTGGCAGTTAGTAAGCACAATGCAGGTATGCTGTAATGCTGTACTTATTCCCATGTATAATATTTTAAAATATATATGTATGGGCCTGAATTTTAAAAAAATATTCTGGAAAACTTCATTTTTTTCAAATCTTGACACATTTCAGTAAGTTCAAATATACCAGCTTGGGCAACATAGGGCAAAACCATCTCTACAAAAAATACAATTAGCTGGGCATGGTGGTGCATGCCTGTAGCACTAACTACTTGGGAGGCTGAGGCAGAAGGATCACTTGAACCCAGGAGCTCAAGGTTGCAGAGAGCTATGATTGCACCACTGCTGTCCAGCCTGGGTGGTAGACCGAGACCCTGTTTCTATGTTAAAAAAAAAAGAAGTTCAAATATATGCGAAATTCCCAGATCTGCATAAGAATGAACTTTCCTGGCAGCCTAAGTCAGTGTGTTTGAGTGTTTGCATTTCCAGTTTTCAAACTAGTTAAAAATACTTCAGAAGAGAAACAATTATCCAGGACTCTGGAATCTCACATTTTGAAAACCATTGGTCAAGGAAAAAGACTGTGTTTGCTACTAACATATTGTTGACTTTAAGCTCAGCGCTTAGCCTTTCTGAGCCTGTCTCTTCATCAGTCAAATGGAAGGTTCTACAAAATAGTCTCTCCCTTCTGATGAATTCTTAGCTTCTGTGACTTGCTGTGCAGCCCAATAGAGCTTTATAGTTTCCTTAAGTCCAATTTCTTGATTATAGAGGTTGCTTCAACCTAGCAGTTTAAAGTCAAAGATTTGAGCCAGTTGATAAGGATGTTTCCTTGAGCAAGTAACAACCTCCAGGTGAGGATCGGTGAAATGCAAGTGATACTAGTGCTTTTCCTGGAGGGTTGGTGTGAGGATTAAATGAGTTAATGCATGTAAAGCACCTACTCTATGTTGTTCAGCATATGTTAGCTGTTGTTTCTTTTACAGATGAGAAAACTGAGGTTGGAGAAGTACAGTGATTTGTCTGAGATTCAGTATTCAGTTAATTATAGACCTGGATCTAGAAACTAAATCTTCTGATTCCTGATACAGTTGCTGAAATGCCCATCGTTTAAAGTTAAAAAAAAATTCTTTAAAGTTTTGTCTGGTCAAATAGCTCCCCTTCTAGCCACACTGCTTTGTTGATATGTTTTCTTAATTTTTCATTCAAATGATTTGTAATCTGAAGAGTGTTTTAGATTTAATAAACTTTTATAGTTTATTATATTCTATATACTGGAGACATAGATAATCAATTTTTGAGTTTTTAAAAATCTCCTTTCTAGAGAAAGATTTAGTGTGTAAGTTGAATGTGTCTATTAACTATTTTTTCCTTTATGATTTTGGATTCTGAGATAAGATGGCTACTTGTACTGTTTCTATCATTTTCATTTTGCAAATCAGTTTTTGATGTTCAGAATTAAGACCAAGAGCAGCAGTTTCTCTCATTGCTTAGTTCTCTAATTAGGTATGAAATTAACAGTAAAGTTGGTCACTGAGCAATTTTAATATGACATTTGGTTTTATAAATGTTATGATAAGCTCACTTTGATTTTAGTTCTTAAATTTAACTTTTTAAAACCTTTTCTTCTCTTGCAGTTGAAAACAATCCTCGAACAGGAAATCTTGGTGCACTAATTAAGGTCTTCCTTTCTAGAACCAAAGAACTAAAACTTTCAGCAGAATGTCAGAAGTAAGCTGGCTAATTAAACCATGTTTGCTTTATATTTAACAATGTGAATTTTAGTTTTCATTTATTGATGGAAATGGACTGTGGTCTTTTGAAAATCTCTGTGAAGGAATTATTCTCATTATTAAGAAAAAAAGGTAGAGAGGTTTTAGGTTAGTGTCTAAGTCACTGGGGTGAGATTATAGATTCGGGAATCTGATTTCAGCTTTTTAGACAATCTTTAGATTATATTCTTTAAGAAGGTGAATAATGATGTAATTATCGTTAAGAAGGTAATTCCCCTCCCCCCCATTATCACTGCTGCTGCTATCTAGTTTAAATGATGACTTAGTCTGAGTTTTATTTCATTCTACATCTGTTGCAGTTATTTCCGTTATATTCTTTACATCAATGGAAGGTTAACTTTTTATGCACTGAAGCATTTTTCAAAACCATGTTTGGATGTCAGTCTCTGAAAAGATTAAAATATTTTGCATTGTCTTGCTTATAAACAAATTACATTGAATCCAATAAAGTTTTTCTTGGGAGTTCATGGTCATTAATACAAATAAAAAGTATTTTACCGTGCTGCTGGCAATGCCTCGTCGAAAATTTTGGTTACATATTTGCATATATTCTTTTTATGTTACCACAATTTTTTAAATTTTTTGGTAGCTTTCTTCTCTTTTAATCGCATGTACGTGGTATACCTATTAAGAACAAAGAACAGTCATTCCTACAGTCATCAGTAAAGATTTTTATTAAGTAGATTCACTATGTAAAGTACATGGAATGAACTATGAAGTAAAACATAATATCACTGGTACAATGAAATAAATCATGAGCCATTAAAAGATATGGACATTATCCTAATATTACCAATAGGATGGACAAAACGGTTGTCAAATCAGGAAGAAATCATGAACTAGAAATAAACTATGGTGCTTATGTTTAAATATTGATTCTTGTATGATTTTGGTCTTTCTAGCCACATCTTCATTTGGCAGACACACAATGCTTTGTTTATTATTTGCTGTTTGCTGAAAGTGTTCATCTGTCAGATGTCAGAGGAGGAATTACAACTTCATTTTACTTATGAAGAAAAATCTCCTGGCAATTACAGTAAGTATTGTTTTTAAAGATGTTCTGGATATATCATGTGTAACATTTAAGGATAAAATTTCAGGAATAAAAGTATGATTTTGAAAATTCCAGTTATCCTTATAATTTTCATTTTAAAATGAACTTATACTGTCATTTTTTCTTTTTCTGTGTTAATTTAAATGAGTCAAGACTCAAGCGTTTTTTGTTTTTGTTTTTCGTTTTAAATAAGAAAGCTGGTGGGGTTGAAGCTTTCATTTATTTTGACTTTCATGCATGTGGATGAAGAAGAAAGTAATATAAAAAATAAAACTCACACAAATATGTATTTCTTTCAGAAAACAGAGGTGTCAGTTTTAAATATCATTGCCAAGTCAATATATTATTAAGGGAGCCAACTAGTCAGATTTTATGGTAAAGGTTACTTTCATAGCGTGCAGCAATAGCTTCTGGGTCTGAGTGTCTTTGGGACTACGACACTTTATCAGAAGTAACATTTTCAAGGACAGTTTTATGATGCCAAAGTGTCTCATCTTTTTCTGAAGATACAGGGAAAGATTACCCTTCACACAATCTTTCCTTTCTGAGGGCAAGGCAGTGTTGCCCCATAGTTTTCCGAGTTCTGTTTTCAAAATAGATCTCTGCCCTCATCAGGCTGACAGCGTCACCTGTGTGATTCAAGGTCATATGTTAACATCTCTTGTGGGAACAGGTATTGGGAGAGAACTTTGAGATGTGTATACTTTTAATGGAGGTCTGTGTGCTATGTGGATTTCATGCATATGTATAATAACACTTTCATATACCTAGGAGTAATTTTTCACTGTGGTTTCAACTGTGTTGCTAAATACGTGTTTTTAAATGTCAAAGTCAAATATTGACAAAGGGAAACAAACGTATAAAAGAGTTACTGTTCATCCAGGTCAACATCACAATGTACTGATTTTTCAGTATATCCATGTCTATGGGGAATATTTCTTAAATTCTATTATAGAATTTTTATTTATATTTTTATTTTTATTTTTTTTGAGATGGAGTCTCGCTCTGTTGCCCAGGCTGGAATGCAGTGGTGCGATCTTGGCTCACTGCAGCCTCTGCCTCCTGAGTTCAAGCAATTCTCCTGTCTCAGCCTCCTGAGTAGCTGGGACTACAGGTGCATTCCACCAAGCCCAGCTAATTTTTGTATTTTTAGTAGAGATGGGGTTTCAGCATGTTGGCCAGGCTGATCTTGAACTCCTGACCTCAAGTGATCCACCCACCTTGGCCTTCCAAAGTGCTGGGATTACAGGCATGAGCCACCGTGCCCGGCCTAGAATTTTTAAAAACAATATTATGGGGAAGTAGAAAAGATTCTGTGGAAAGTTAACCTTTTGTGCATTCAAGCATTTCTTAAAACTATTTTTAGATGGCAAAAATCTTATGGAAATTCTGGTTATATCATTTAAATGTATTAAGGTATTATGTTACATTTTGAGCAAATGAAATGACATGGTACAAGAAAACAATAGTTTACAATACTTTCAACTCAAGTAGCAGAGTGACCATGTGTATTTATCTCTTCTCCCTCTGAGACCCCATTACCTGATGGTAGAGCAATTTTCTACACATACTGTTGAGCAACTTAGGACAGTCATTTCATCCTTCTTTAGGCTCCTTATGGCCTCTTTCAAGATCAGGAAACGGTTTTGGAGAAATAGAATATGAATTTCTGTTTTACTGCAATCTTTTTCTTCATTCTTATCCTCAGTGTATTTCCAAATTAGAAAAGGACATTCTTCTTGACTCACACTTTGAAAATACGATTTTACCATCTTCTAACATTTTAACAGCTTTTCTGTGACTGGCCACCTTGATAGCCATTTGGCAGGTTCATGTCCAAGGAGTCTATCGCCTTTCATTTCTGTAAGGTCCGAATCTCACTAAGTTCTGCAGGTTTTGAGAAAACTGAAAGGTGGCAAACATCACAGGGCAGGAAACTACTGCCTCATAGCAATGCTGTGTGCAAGGCATGCAGAACATTTAGCAGGCAAGAGCTCTTCATTTTCTTTGGTCAGAAGTTTGTAGACTAAATGGAATTTGCTGCAGTTTACATATGCCCTGTCCCCAAATAGGCAGATAGATGAGCAGACTCTAGTTTGTGCTTGAGCAAGATATCAGCAATCTTTTGTTTTCTGTTTATGTGGAAACATTTTTGTTTTCCTCTACTGATACTGGACAAATATGGTTGAGTGTATTTAAATTCAAGTTTCATCCTTGAGAGCATACTGAATTAAAAATATCACAATTAAGTTTGTTTCGTAAGTGTTCTAAAGTTTCTTTCCAACAGATGACATAGTTGGCTGGTTGCAGGGAAGGGAAATCATATGTTCTACTTTTCTTTGAAAGTTATTGTATTAGGGTTCTCTGGAGGGACAGGACAAATAGCATAGATGTATATATGAAGGGGAGTTTATTAAGGAGTAGTGACTCACATGATCACAACGTGAAGTGCCACAATAGGCCCTGTGCAAGCTGAGGAGCAAGGAAGCCAGTTTGAGTCCCAAAACCTCAAAAGTAGGGCTGACAGTGCAGCCTTCAGTCTGTGTCTGAAGGCCCAAGAGTCCCTGGCAAACCACTGGTGTAAGTCCAAGGGTCCAAAAACAGAAGAATCTGGAGTCCAGTGTTTGAGGGCAAGAAGCATCCAGCATGGGAGAAAGATGAAGGCCAGGAGACTCAGCAAGTCTGTTCCTTCCATGTTCTTCTGCCTGCTTTATTCTATTTGTCCTGGCAGCTGATTAGATGGTGCCCACCCAGATTGAGGGTGGGTATGCCTCTCCCAGTCCACTGACTCAAACGTTGATCTCCTTTGGCAACACCCTCACAGACACATCCAGGAACAGTACTTTGCATCTTTCAATCCGATCAAGTTGACACTCGATATTAACCATCACAGTATCTCAGGTATTATTCTACATTTCATAGTTAAAATGTGGATAACTTTATTATTCTTGAATAAAGCAAGCATATCAATTTTAGCAGTTTTATTTGCTGTCATCTTTTATTTTCCCTTCTGTCCCAGAAGACCATTTCATGGAAGGTCACTTATTGTTTTGTCCAGTTTTGAGTTAGTATGAATTACTACCTCATTAACTTTGGGGGATAGGGGGAAGGGGATAGGTACTGAAATTCTCTTTGATGCTGTTAAAAAAATGTTAAATTTCAGATACTGTACCAAGTTATAATTTATTAAGAATAGTTTCCTATAAAGGGTGAATAAAATGACAATGAATATGTGTGTGTGTATATATACATATATATATGTGTATATATGTTTATATATATATATTTTTTTCTTCTAAAGCCCAAGGTAGGTATAGATGTGTGTGTGTGTGTGTGTGTGTGTGTGTGTGTGTGTCTTTTCCCCTTTCCCGCTTTGTAACTGTGAGAGCCCCAGGTGTTTAGGGGCTGCCCCACGAGTATTTCCCTTGGATAAAAATGTTTACCTTGTCTTCTCAGGGGAAACAACTCTCCAGTTTCACTGTAGATCAGCCATTCCTTTCTTGGATTCTGTGCTTTCTACTCTGAAGTAATTCCTGTTGAACTTTTGAGATTCTGCTCTAAAAAAGATAGGCAGCCAATTTTTTTTTTTTTGAGACAGTTTCACTTTTGTTGCCCTGGTTGGAGTGCAATGGAACGATCTCGGCTCACTGCAACCTCCGCCTCCTGGGTTCAGGTGATTCTCCTACCTCAGCCTCCCAAGTATCTGGGATTAGAGGCATGTGCCACCATGCCCGGTTACTTTTGTATTTTTAGTAGAGACAGGGGTTTCACCATGTTGGTCAGGCTGGTCTTGAACTCCTGACCTCATGTGATCTGCCCACCTCGGCCTCCCAAAGTGCTGGGATTACAGGTGTGAGCCACTGGGCCTGGCCTAGGCAGCCAAATTTTATTGAAGCTACCTTTCATTAAGCTACCTTGGAAAAGGGAGCTGAGGCACAGGAAGCAAACTGAACCATCCTAATATTTTTAGAGATTGAGCATTTGTCATTTCACCAAAATTTATTTCAATAATAAAAGTCCCTTTGACTCCACATTTGATTAGTGGTACTGGAAAAACAGGTACTGCTTCCTCTTCCCCCTAAACTTTCACAGGCAAAATACATTTTCTGTCTCTTTCTCAGTCACTAAGTAGGAAAGGAACATAAGACCTTCTAAGTTGTTTCTGAATATAGCTAGATTTTTTGCTGGTCTTGATCTTCTTTTGGGATTGACCATTATGTTCTCTGACTACCATATAACTGTATGTTATAGTATAGACTTAATCAAGGATTTTGAGGAAGTTAACTAAGTTGGTGTGTGAGAGATACTGCAGAATTTTGGTATTTTGAATGTTATATACTTTATTTTTTTCTAGGAGAGAATATTTGTGAGAATTATGTAGAATCTAATTAATTTAACTATTCCCAAACCACCCCATCATCTTTCACAGTTATTGTTTATCATTTAGCATGATTTTCAGAGCTTGTGCTTTATACATTGAGTTTGAGTTTCAAGAGATGGATATGTTTAATTTACTATTTTGATCATTAGCCTTCTATATTTTTTAAATATATACTGATGTCTGAAGTTAGAGCTTTTAATTAGAATTGTGTCTTGCGTGTGTTAGTTTTGTTAATGCTGGCCTTCATGTTTGTGATGCCAGTAGTACCAAAAACATAGTTCTGCTTGGTAAGTTGCAAACCTTCCCATGAAGTGCTAGCAGCAAGAATGGAGTGAATGTTTATCCTCACAGGGCCCAAGAGCATAGCCCACTCAATACCTGCAAACCCAGCACTTTGTTTTGTATTATGTCCTACAAAATGTGCATATTTTTACTTTATTTAACGTGATATTGTCAGAGGCATGGGAACCAGAACAACTCCATCTTGAATAGGAGCTGGGTAAATTAAGTTGAAACCTACCAGGCTATATTCCCAGACAGTTAAGACATTCTAAGTCACAGAATGAGATAGGAAGTTGGCACAAAATACCAGTCATGAAGACCTTGCTGATAAAACAAGTTGCAGTGAAGGAGCCAGCCAAAACCCACCAAAACCAAAATGGCCACGAGAGTGACCTCTGGTCATCCTTACTGCTACACTCCCACCAGCGCCATGACAGTTTACAAATGCCATGGCAATCTTAAGAAGTTACCCTATATGGTCTAAAAAGGGGAGGCATAAATAATCTACCCCTTGTTTAGCATATAGTCAAGAAATAACCATAAAAATGGGCAACTGGCAGCCCTGGGGACTGCTCTGTCTCTGGAGTAGCCGTTCTTTCATTCCTATACTTTCTTAATAAACTTGCTTTCACTTTGCATTGCGGACTAGTCCTGAATTCTTTCTTGCACGAGATCCAAGAACCCTGTCTTGGGGTCTGGATTGGGACCCCTTTCCTGTAACATATTTCTCTGTCCTGTAACAATATCATTTTTATTGTAATATAAAATTATTTTTCATTATATACCATTAAGTGAATTGATGCATTTTAGAGATATACTGTATTTATTTTGGGGTCCAAATCTCAGAGTATCCCTGCACCCCCCACCCTTGTCCAAGCTTGAGAAGCAAGGTTTTTTGTTGTGCATCCTAGGTAACCTAATGTAAGGGTAGTGGGAGAATGACACTTTTTCAACCATAGGCCACTTTATCAAGATGGTTATCTCACTGAAAGAGCCATCTCTGTGGTAATCTCTGTGATTCTGTCTGCATACTGACAGACCTTTTCTTTCTTTTTTTTTAATTTGAACCTATCATTGTGAATATATGCTTCCTTTATACAGAGTTGACAGTTCAGGATTTTATACATGGTTTTTTCTTTTTCAGGCAGAGTCTTGCCCTGTCACCTGGGCTGGAGTGCGGTGGTGCAATCTCGGCTCACTGCAGCTTCCACCTCCCAGGTTCAAGCAATTCTCCTGTATCAGCCTCCTGAGTAGCTGGGATTACAGGTGCCTGCCACCATGCCTGGCTAATTTTTGTATTTTTTTAGTAGAGACGGAGTTTTGCCATGTTGGCCAGGCTGGTCACGAACTCCTGACCTCAGGTGATCTGCCTGCCTCGGCCTCCCAAAGTGCTGGGATTACAGGCATGTGCCACCTCACCCGGCCCTATACATGTTCTTTAGTGTTTATAATTGAGCCTACTCTTGGTCCACCAGCTTAAGTCCAATGAATATCTTTTAAGACTAAAAACTTTCTGTTTTTGGCATATGTAATTATTTTTACCTTAGTCTTCCATGTTGTTAGTTTGAGATTTCTACTTTAGCCCTTTTTATATTTTCTGCCAATTTCTTTTTACAGTTGATAAAAGAGCAATAAAATTAAATGATTACAGAGATACTGTTGAAAGGGGGAAAAATGGAGCATCACCATGCAGTAGCTGAAGACATCCATTTATCAGCTGATATATGATATCTGATTTAGGTATATGAAAGAGTGGGGTCGATAATATACAGTGGTACAGGTTGTTTGAAGGTCGAATTTACAAAAGTAGAGGGCCATCTGCAAACAATTGAGCAAAGTCAACTGAGGCATCTTAGGTATGTTGGCTTATTCCACATACAGCATTTTTTTCTTTATTCCAATCCATTGTAATACTGCTGTGATCACATGGATATTGCTGGCATTTTCAGTGAAGCAGTCTTTATGAGAGTAATGTGACTGTCAGTAAGCTCTTAGTTTGTAATCTAAATTTGTGAGGATTTTGTATTTGAACATTTTCCCATAGGCTATGTATGATGTGGTAGCAGATTGTTAGGGAGAATTTGTATTATTATATGAGGATAGCTCTTCCATTAGTCCATGCGTTTGAGAATCAGTCAAAGGGGACAAAGCCAGCCCTAGGCAAAACTATGAAGTAATACAAAATTGTTTCCATTTTCCTTTTGCCTTCAATGTGAGTTTTTCTTTCCTCTGGCTTGGTATTATACCCCATTCTTGCCAAGGT
Organism: Homo sapiens; assembly: GCF_000001405.40. Classification (NCBI taxonomy): domain Eukaryota; kingdom Metazoa; phylum Chordata; class Mammalia; order Primates; family Hominidae; genus Homo; species Homo sapiens. The sequence goes on along the minus strand of NC_000018.10, from coordinate 49,371,622 downwards.
AATACTGATATTTATTTCACATTTGGCGTCTTATAAATCCAATATTTTAAATCCTTAGGGGCCTAAATCTGCTGTTTGTTTTTGGAAACGCTTCTCATGGCTTGTTTCCTTGTGTATTTGATGTCATTGATTGTATTATTATTATTATTATTTTGAGACAGAGTTTCTGTCACTCAGGCTAGAGTGCAGTGGCACAGTCACAGCTCACTGAAGCCTCAGCCTCCTGAATAGCTAGGGCTACAGGCACATACCATTAAGCCTGGCTAATTTTTAAAGATTATTTTTGGTAGAGATGGGGTCTCACTATGTTGCCCAGGCTGGTCTCAAATTCCTGGCCTCAAGCAATCCTCCTGCCTTGGCCTTCCAAAGCACTGGGATTATAGGCATGAGCCACCACACTTAGCCTTGTTTGATCTTATTTGAGGCTCCAAATAAGGGAGAGATTTGCATTTGCTTCTAAAGGGATCCAGGGCCTGTAACACCTGATGCCATGTTAGCATCCTGCAGCAATTCTTGACTTAATGTGGAGTCTCAGGTTCAGGCCCCATTCCTTGCCACTGACTGAGGCTTAGTCAGTGGGCTTCATTCTAACTGGCATTCATCCTCAGGGTTACCTATCTTAGCGTTTGCTTACTTCTCAGTGTTTTACTCTGGATTCAAGTCCATTTATTTGCTCGTAGGTTGTTCTTTTGGTTATAGGGTTGGAGTCCTTAGAAATTTGCTTTACATTCTGGGAAGCCCATCAATGCACTAAAAAGTGTTATTTTAGCCAAGAACTAGATGTTTTGTACAGGAGGGCTTATTGGAGTAACTACTCCACCATGCTGCAATGATAGTTTCTTTTTCTTTTATTTTGGAGACAGAGTCTTGCTCTCTTTCCCAGGCTGGAGTGCAGTGGCACGATTTTGGCTCACTGCAACCTCCACCTCCTGGGTTCAAGTGGTTCTCCTGCCTTAGCCTCCCGAGTAGCTGGGAATCACAGGCGCATGCCACCATGTCCAGCTGATTTTTATATTTCTAGTAGAGATGGGGTTTCACCATGTTGGCCAGGCTGGTCCCAAACCCTGACCTCAAGTGATCTGCCCTCCTTGGCCTTCCAAAGTGCTGGGATTACAGGTGTGAGCCACTGAACCCGCCTATAGTTTCTTTACAATTATTTTTTGTTTATTTATTTTTTAAATGAGGGAAGAAGCCTTTGGAGATTGAGAGGCTGAAGATAAAAGCAACAAAGTGGGGGTGGTGGGAAATAAAGCTGAAAGGAAGGTCCAGGGAAGTAGGAGGTGCTAGGATGAAGAGCCCAGAGAGGGAGTTAGTCCTGTTTTGTTTTTTTTTTTTTTTTTTTCTGAGATGGAGTTTCGCTCTTGTTTCCGAGGCTGAAGTGCAGTGGTGCGACCTTGGCTCACTGCAACCTCCGCCTCCCAGGTTCATGCAATTCTCCTGCCTCAGCCTCCCAAGTAGCTAGGATTACAGGCGTGGGCCACCATGCCCAGCTGATTTTTGTATTTTTAGTAGAGACGGGGGTTTCACCGTGTTGGCCAGGCTGGTCTTGAACTCCCGACCTCAAGTGGTCCGCCCATCTCGGCCTCCCAAAGTACTGGGATTATAGGCGTGAGCCACTGCGCCCAGCGTTATTCCTGTTTTGAAAGAGATTACCACCTGTGGCCCAGTGGGCAGCTCTGTGAGCACTGAGGGGAGGGAGGCAGCAGATCAGCTGCCCAGACCTGGGGCGAGCAAGGTGCTAGGCCCAAGACACTGTATGACCTGTGAGTACAGCTTTGTGGAGAGTAGAAAAGGGACAGGGACTCGACAAAGCCAAGCGGAAGCCTGGCTTTAATGGCACTTCCATGGCACAAAACAGTTTCAATATAAACTTATTTTTAAAAAATTATTTTGTGGGACTTATTCTCAAGCATAGTAGATTAAACATGCATGTTTGCTTTCTCCTGGAACTCCAATAAAATATCAGCAAAGGGACTTCTAAAAAGTCATGAATTTATTAGATTGAAGAAGAGAGGGGAACACAATGTTAATAACATTTTGAAAGTTGGAAAATGGAGTAATGATGAGCTTCACTGATCTGTGAAAGCTGAAAGCTAAATGGCTTCAAGGTTGGAGAACTCCAGAAAAAAAGCCAGTTCTTACTCCAGAACCCTGGAAAGTCTTAGGAATCAGAAGTGCCAGGGGTCTCTGAAGGCATTCAGGCTTGGTTGGAAGAAGCAGTTCTGTCCAAGGTTCTGTCCCTTCCCATGTGTTAGGAGGCCACCCCCCTTCCCAGTTTAATACTAGAGATCTGTTATCCATAGAGGCTGAACCCAGAGAGTCTCCTGAATGAACTCTCAGGCAATGGGGAAGGAGGGTGGCCTACTGAGACGAGGGCTCAGTGGAAAGGCCACATATGGAAGGGTAAGGTATCTTGACTAGGCTGCTAGAATGCTGGCACCAGGATTTTACCCACCCTATTCCCTTTCCTGCCAGATTAGTGGATACTCTTATAGAGAAAATGAACCAAAACGGGGAAAAGGCTTACATTTCAGCGTCCCCTAGTGAAGCAGCCCGAAACCCTCCAGTGGGAACCGCCGTTTGGCAGGCTCTGCCTGTGCACACCGCGCTTTCAGTCAGCATTGGCCTCACGCTGGCAGGTCAGTGGAGAGCCAAGGATTCCAAACAGTGAAGGCAGTGGCTGACTTGTGAGAGATCAAAACGAAACAAAAAAGTGATACAAGATAGGAAATTTGTGGAAGTATATTTAAAATTTGTTAATTACCCCCTGTCTAACACAAGCAGTTTCCTTTCCATTCTCCCCAGACTTAAAACATTTTTGAAACTCTTTCTTTGGAATCACCTTCAAAACCTGTGGCATGTTTGTTTTGCCAAACTCGGTGGCGGTGAGTCCTGTGAAACCAGCTTTGTTTTTCCAGATGGCTCAGGTGCTTCGGCTGCCACGGCAGCAGGTTCTCTGCTCTCTTTTCTCTGCTGGAACTGGGCCCTAGAGACTGGGGCAGGCGGTAGGTAGCTCAGGAGGTAAACCCAAAATTGTATAGTATGTGGTTGGGTGGTTTTTGCTTTATTTGTTTAAATACCAAATTTAATAATTTAACCTTATTAGTTATAGGTAAGCAATGCAAAAAACAAACCCATATGGAAAAATGTGGCCCAGAGAAAAAAGAAAGCATGGACTTATTCCTTTAAAATATTGACTTGTAATATATAAGACTTGTAATCTGTATCTGCAGAAAAACAAAAGTGCCTCTAGGAATTCCTGAACTGTTCTTTGGTCATATAATAGGTGTGATTGTTTTGTCATATTTCTGTCTCTTCTCTCCCTTTCTTTCCCTTATGTTATCAGTGGAACAAAATCAATTAAACTTTTCTATAGGCACATTTTATAATCAAACCTGGTAGAGTATATTATCTTTTAGGGTAATTAGAAACATTTCTGTTTGACCAAAATAATAGCAGTCAACCAGAATTATTACTGATCTGATTGGAATGGTACAGGACACAAGCTTATAAATACTGTAGTGCACTGAAATGCAGATCACTTTTCTTTTTAGAAGAGTCCTTTTGCCTTTCCTCTTTATGATTAACCTACAAGAGACATTTTTGGTTTTGCTAATTAGAAGTTTAAATCTAATATTTTAGAATAACTTCAATGTTAGTTTCACTATTAAAGTGGCAAAAACATAGACTCTACCGTGAGTCTTTTATTTTCTGAATATAAGTTTTTAATAAATATAATTTAATTATGTGTCTTCCATTTTAAAGAAGCCAATTTTATTCTGAACTTCTAAGGTACTCTTTTAACCTATTTTTGGAGTACAGCCCTGTTCGATTAAGTTTTTAGTACTTGTATTTGGCACAGTGTAATTTTGGGCAGCATTAAAAAACTGGCAGTTCAACCTTCTGAACGCAAAGAAAACAAAGACAAAAACTCTGTCTTTTAACATTTCTTTTAATGACTGTATGTATTCTGATTTAAATCCATATGTTTCATTTTTCTGGTTGCTTTGTTTTCTAATGATCAGTGAGTGCTTTTTAAAAATAATTTTTTTACTGTCTTCCCTTCCCCTCCTACTGTGTTGGAAGGCATTTGATTAGGACAGTATTGTACTGTTCTCTGCTTCTCTCCCTAAGGACAAAACAACAGTGCTGTCTCACTCAGCACATGGTGCTGAATGGATGCTGAATAGAATGAACTAACAGGGACTGCAGCTTAATTTTGGGTATAGATTATTAGAACCTTAAGGGACCCTAGATATCATCTCGCTTGTCTACTTCTTCCCCTGGTGAAGTTCTTAGGGACTAGAGCAGTGGGGCTTTAGAGTGAGAAAACTCCAGGGATAGGGCTGGGATTTTAGTGACCTTGTTCTGCACAATACGGATGATAATAGCTTATATTTATTCATTGTTTTAGATTATTTGTACATTGGATTTTGAAGGAGTCAAGAACTTCTAGTATGTGTTGATGAATACATAGTGTGTCATCTTTATGTATAAACTAATATGTAGTACTTCAGATGTCTCCCTCCTAACCGGGCCCATAGTACTTGGGGTTTTGTGTTTACAGTGTTCAGTAAAACATGAATTGGTTGAATATTTTCCCCCAACTTTGTGTAGAAACATATCTTTAAAAATAATTTAAAGGATATTTTCCTTTTAATTTTTTTCCTTGAGAGTATAGATTTGAGTTCCAATCTGGTTTCTGCCCCTTACTCTAATTAAACTAACCTATCTGAGCCTTGATGTCTTCATCTGTAAAATGATGATCATAATCATTAACTATTCATCAAGAGTTACTGTCAGGATTAACGTTAACATGACATTGAGTATAAAGTGCTCATCACAATGCCTGTCAAAGGGTAGAGTACTTGGTAAATGTTTGCTGTTAATATGATCTTATAGAAACTAAGACTTAAAATATTAAAATATTTGTCTGGACCTATTGTGGTAATTTAAAACTCTTTAAGGGAGAACTCTTGTTTGTTTGTTTGTTTTAAGAGATAGGGTCTTGGTATGTTGCCCAAGCTGGCCTCCAACTCCTGGGCTCAAGAGATCCTCCTGCCTCAGCCTCCTGAGTAGCTGGTGCTATAGCAGGTGCCACTGCACCAAGCATTGAGAGAGAACTCTTAGGAGAGAAATGTTCTTTCTTAGAGAACTCTAAGTTATAAAACTTTACAATACAGTAAACACACTGAATCTTTGCAAAGACCTTTGCTCAAAGAACCTCAGTTTATTTTGTCATTGACCTGCAAATTTCAAGAACTTTTAAGATTCTTTTTACTGTATGAAATGCTTGAATGTGTTACTATACTTTTTGTAGGTGAGTTTATATTTATTTTTTGGAACTAAGGAAGATATTTGGCCTTATAAGAAAGCTAAGGTGATATAAGTGCTAGTTGGGAAATAATGCAATATGAATGGCTTGCTTGATGTCAAACCTAGTAAGCAGTCAAATCTTGTCAATCTTCACTTAAAATACAATTATTTACTTCTAGATTAGCTGAGAAACAAGAATTTAGAATTCTGAGGAATTTTTTTTTTAGTGAATGGAAGTCTTAAGATATTTCAGCTGGAAATTGCTTATTGTCTTTTGTTAGAGCTTTGGCCTTGAAATATTACATTTTACTTCTATGAAATATGTTTATCATCATCTTCATTATTTTATTAGATTGGTAACAAAGCTGTGTGTATACTCCTTAATTGACCCAACTGTAAATTTGGCCGAGGTTGTGATTTGAGTGGCACATGGAATTGAATAGAGAATCCTTGTCATCATTTTAAGATGTAAAAATTAGGTGTTTTTATACCCCTGGAAGTTAAAAAATCAAATCAGGCACCATCTGTGGTTCCTGAGTGCTTGGTCTCTCACCTTCCGTAATTAAAAAACTGTGCTGGCTGCTTGGCTGAACAGGGATGTTATTAAACTGGCATTTGGTCTGAAATGTTTCTTAGGGAATCACTGAGTGATTTTAAGTGTTCTTTCTTGGGCCTGGGACATTGCATCCTGTAGAATGAGTTAAGGAGTGACCATTTAGCAAACGTACATTGAGTATATATTACATACCAACAAATCAACTTGTTGGAGTAGGTTGTTAACTTGAGTTATGTTGGACAGCCTTGGCAATGAGAGGGATTTTAGTTAGATCTGGTAACTAATCATGCAGTCCCAGAGACAAGTGTGACTTACTCTTTTATTTTTTTTTCTTCACTAATAATAGAGCCAAGCCCGATGTTTCTTGGAGTGAGATTTAATTTGGTTGTTGAACTTGAGTCTTGCTGTGTATCCTTTTTAGCATCGATTGCTGTGTTCAGCATGATTTAATATTCTTTTTAAGATTTGTACTTACCTCTCACGGGGTTACTGTGCCAGTTCTTTGTGGCAAAGCAGGATGAAATTTCTTTATAATTTCTGAATGCTAGGTGATATTGTAGCCTAGAAAAGAAATTGCTAAACTTTTTTTTTTTGAGACTCCAAGTGCTTTGATGCTTTGCAATTAACTGCTGGATTTTTTCTGAGATGCTTGGGCTCAGTTCAGCAAATTGTATTGAGTACATACTATGTGCAAGCTCTTTGTGAGTCATCATCCTCTAGAAGTATAGAGTCCAGTAGGGGCCTGCCTGCTTGTAGACAAAAAATGATGGCATAATGTAACCAACATATGCAACGCAAGAGGCATGCACAAGGCATAGATACTTTATAGATTATTCAGGGTGAGACAAGGGAGTGGGTTTCATGGAGGATATGAAACTGAGGATGGTTCAGATGGATACAGATGGGCTTTTTAAAAACTAGGTTTTTATTGTTGGAGGCTATTCCAGGCAGAGGGAATGTTACTGAGGTGTGAAATGGCATGTAGTGGATAGCTTGGCATTGCTGGAATATACACTGCAGTACTGGAGGAAGATAAATGTAGAAAGGGATGCAGGACCTATATCTCCAAGAGTCTGGCATGCTGTACTTTGGAGCATGGAATTTTTCTGATATATATTAATCAGCTTAAAGTAATTGAAAAGATCTAAGCCAGGAGAGTGAAAGGATGGAGTTTAGTTAGCTCTGTCTGATTGCAATCTGGAGTTTGGATTGCAGAGGAGTAAAATTGGAACTACAATACTAACTAGTTATGAAGGTTAAAGGAGTCCAGGAGTCAGTTTTCTTTCTTTCTTTCTTTTTTTTTTTTGAGACACAGTCTTGTTTTGTCACCCAGGCTGGAGTGCTGTGGCGCGACCTCAGTTCACTGCAACCTCTTCCTCCCGGGTTCAAGCAATTCTCCTGTCTCTGCCTCCTGAGTAGCTGGGACCACAGGCGTGCGCCACCATGCTGGACTAATTTTTGTATTTTTATTAGAGGTGGGGTTTCACCATGTTGGCCAGGCTGGTCTCGAACTCCTGACCTCAGGTGATCTGCCTGCCTTGGCCTCACAAAATGCTGGGATTATAGGTGTGAGCCACCACACCCAGCCCAGGAGTGAGTTTTAATTTAGTAAACTTGTTTAGCTGCACTGTGGTGATGAGATAATGAACAAAAAAGCATGACAATGGTGGAACTCTGGGGAACATGCCAATAGTTGAAACGTATTTTGAGGAAGCAGACACTGGGAAGAAATAGAAAAAGAAGTTGGTTAAAAATAAAGTATTATAAGAACTGAGAAAAGAAAGAATTTCATGAAGGAGTAGGTGTCAGTAATGTCCAAGACCAGAAGTCACATGAGATACTGACTGACTTTGGGAATTTGGAGGTCACTTACCTGTAGTAGTTTGGGATAGGGGAACATTTCCATTGGAATGGTAATTTGCATCCTGCCGTTGCCACTTATTTATTCTGTGACTTGGGAAAGCCCTTTTACCTTTGACTCATTGTCTGTAAAGAGGAGGTTGGCCTCTTTAATGGGGTTCAGTCTATGATCCGTGGAGTGCCAGAGGTTCATAAAAGGTACCTTCAGGCCCTCCCATCAAGAAATCAAGGGTAAGGCCAGATATTTGTTGGGGAGGGAGGGATAAAAGTCCTCTACCCCTGCTTCAAACAAAGCAGTGAGAGCAGCTTGATTTTTATCTGTTTCATATATTTGGCTTTAATGTAAGATTTCATTGAAAGAAACACAGTGCAGTATAAGAAATCTGACAACTACTGGCGTACAGGAGCCTAAAGTACCTTCAAGCTTTAAAAGCTGTATTATTAACAGCAGGTGTTGAAAGGTCCTATGCTAGATGAAGATCATCATAGATGCTAACCTATTCATGATTTGGATTTTATTCAGAGGTCAACATTAATATCTGAGTTTATATAATGATAACTGTTTGTATTCTCATTAGGAATGAAAATGTAACTTCTGAACAACTGTATTCTACTGTGTACTTTGTTAAAAAAAAATCTTTTTATGTGTCTTACCAGGTTCTGACTCAGAAGATCTTTTGGAAGAATTGCTGTGCTGTTTGATGCAGTTGATCACTGATATTCCACTCTTGTAAGTTCTGGCTAGGCCAGGATTTGTTTTATCTTCTTTGTATATGGCAGATAATCATTGATCATGTTGAGAAGTTTGTGGGTCCTTGTATAGAACTTATATGTGTGCCTTTTAAGGATTCTATATCCACAGAGTTCTTTTCTCTCTACCTAATATTTAGACTGACTATTCATTGTCAAAACAAAAATGTTACGTTGTTAAGGGGAAAACAGTGAAACTATATTAAGAATATGGTAGGCACAGAATTAATCTCTGTATTAAGAGATCTTATAGATCTTTGGAAACAAGATTTTAAGAGAGAAGCAGTTTGAATCTACTTCATATTGTGGTAGACACAGTGAGTTGAGTTCTCCTTATCTTCCTGACTTCCTGATTGTATTTCCAGCCTCTTTTGAAGCCAGGTTTTCGTTTCCAGCCTTCTTTGAAGCTAGGCATAGTCAGTGAGATGTAGGGGAAGGTCCTCCAATGAAACCTCTGGGTAAAGCTCTCTAAAAGGAACTGATTGAGTCAGCTAGGAGGCACATCTTTTTGATCTTAACAGCCCTTTCTCCTGCTGTCTGGAATGTGGATAGTCTTTTGAGTTGCATAGCCTTCTTGGCACCATGAACCAAGAGACTTACAGAAAATTCTGTTTTGATGTCATTGAGCTGCTGAACCAAAGCCAACAACTACCAGTACCACCTTTTTTCATCCTGGACTTCTCATGTGACAGAAATAGACCCTTATTTGTTAACACTGCTGTAACTGGGCTTCTGTCACTGCAGCTCAATGCAATTCCTTTGTGATTCGAAATGTTCATCTCATTTGTTGCTTTTAAAAATTTAAAGTAGAGACAGGGCCTCACTATGTTGGCCAGGTTGGTCTCGAACTCCCAGCTTCAAGTGATCCTCCCACCTCAGCCTCCTAAAGTGCCTGGATTACAGGTGTGAGCCACCGTGCCTGGCCTCATTTGTTACTTTTAAAGCAGTGATTCTCCACCTTTAAAAAAAAGTATTGGCCAGGTGCAGTGTCTCACGCCTGTAATCCCAGCACTTTGGGAGCCTGAGGCAGGTGTATTGTTTGGATGCAGGAGTTGGAGACCAGCCTGGGCAATATAGTGAGACCCTGTCTCTACTTAAAAAAAAAAAAAAAAAATTAGGCCGGATGCAGTGGCTTATGCCTGTAATCTCAGCATTTTGGAAGGCCAAGGTGGGCAGTTCATGAGGTCAGGAGTTCACGACCAGCCTGGCCAACATGGTGAAACCCCGTTTCTACTAAAAATACAAAAACTAGCTGGGCGTGGTGGCGCATGCCTGTAATCCCAGCTACTCAGGAGGCTGATGCAGGAGAATCGTTTGGACCAAGGTCGGGAGGCAGAGGTTGCAGTGAGCCGAGATCACGCCACTGCACTCCAGCCTGGGCTACAGAGCGAGACTACGTCACAAAAAAAATAAAAAATTAAAAAATTAAAAAAATATATTGTCCCCCTGAGAAGCCTTGTTTGACATTTCTTTGATAATTGCCTCTCCCACTTAATGAAATTTGAATCCCCAGACACACTGAATATCTGTTTATGTCCTGCAGCCCTTTGGAGGACCGCAAACCATTATTATTGTATCTATGAAGATTTTTACTTACCTCTGTGGAACCAATTTACATCTCCTGTTGAAAATGCATATGTACAAGGAATTATTTTTGAAATAAAAAAGTAGATTTTAATGTTTCTCATCACAGAATCTCAGTCTACATGGAGATATAATTGGAAATGTGCTATTTGTCTATGGCCCCAAAAGGAAAGACAGGTATTTGTGAGAAAATAGGCTCCAGGCTGCTGTCGTACATGAATGCAGCATCTAGAATTTTAATATAGATTTCGAAGTGAGAACCACCAACCCCTGTCGTGATATGGCCTGGTGGTATGCACCCAGGAAAGTAGGGCTGAGGCAGCTGAAGAGTCATTGCCTAGGGAAGGAAATGGGACAATTTCCCATTCAACCGGAGCTCCTGCAGCAGACACTTGCATGACATCCTTTCTCCCCTTCCATTCTAACAGAACTCCAGTATTGTTTAGAGTGGTGCTGTGTGCCCAGATTAGTTTTTCAGACACTTTGGCGGTTCCATGTGACCATGTGACATAGTTTGGGTCAAGTATATGTGAGCAGAAGTCATGAACTTGCAGAGCATATCCACTCTAGCCTTTTGCTCATTGCCTTCTCTTCCTTCCTGGAATGTGGAGGCAATGCTTGGGCTGTCTTGAAACTATGTTAATGAGCATTGCATGCAAAGACTAGTGTCCTGGGAGCATGGGACATTGGTGACAATATGAAACTATTACATTGGCCCTGGATCCCATATCTTTGGGTTTCCTCTTACATGAGAAAAATAGATACCTATCTTGCTTAGGCCACTGTGGTTAGGTTTCTTTTACATGTGGTCAGATCAGGGAAGGGAAACACATATACTGTGTACTGTTTCTTTGTCATGGTATGTGGAGTGCTTCATGTGTTCCTGATGTAATTTTAAAAGTAGCACCACCTGCAATTTTTTTTCTTTTTTTTTTTGAGATGGATCTTACTCTGTCACCCAGGCTAGAGTGCAGTGGCGTGATCTCAGCTCACTGCAACCTCCGCCTCCTGGGTTGAAGCGATTCTCCTGCCTCAGCCTCCTGAGTAGCTGGGATTACAGACGAGCGCCACCACACCCGGCTAATTTTTGTATTTTTAGTAGAGATAGGGTTTCACCATGTTGGTTAGGCTGGTCTTGAACTCCTGACCTGTGATCTGCCCGCCTCGGCCTCCCAAAGTTCTGGGATTACAGGCATGAGCCACCACGCTCAGCCCTAAATATTTTTTTTTTTTATATAACACAATACCAGGAATTTAGTATATATCTTAAATGAGTACACGCTTTTTTTTTTTTTTTGCCTTTATTGATAAAATGTTTTGGTGACATTCAGGGTGATGGAAACAGTAAATACCTTTAGATAGTAAATTGGCTCCAAACACAATGAATAGAGCAGCCATTTAAACACTCTTGAGGAGCAAGCCGATTGTGTTGTAATATATCAAACATTTCAGTGTTTTAATGTGTTTATACCTTTTAAATTAGCTGAAAATGCACAGCTAGCCAGTTGTCTCCTATTATGTACACTCAGCTTTAACCAGCTGCTGAAACAATTTCTGATGATTTAATGTTCTTGGAACTCCATCCTACAAGAAGGTTTGTCTTGGTAACAGTTTCCATGTGAAACCAAACTACTCTTTAAATGTTTCATTTCCTCTAACTGTAGTGCAGTATTTATGGATCAGTGTATAATTTAAGAGGAAATAGGAATATATGCAAACCACGAATGCTCTCACACCTGAACATCATCAGAAGTGCTATAAACGTTTCACATTTCACATTGGTAATTCATCCTGTGCTGCATTAGCAGGTAAATAACAAGATGAAATGAATTTTAATGGCCACTGAGGGTAATTCAAACTAGCGTAAATGTTTCTTATGAGACTTTTAAAATCATTCTGTTAATATTGAGAGCAAAGGGTTTACCACGGACACATACATGTGTATGCTATATATTTATTTAGAGATCTGTAAACTAAAATGTAAATGATACCTTATTATAAAGAGAATAGGATCAGTGGCATACTTGAAATAAACTCCCAGAAGTTCATTACAGTGATCTTTGTAGGAGTTCATTTGTAATGAAGATTCACTTTTAAGTAGTTAGTGGCTACTGTTTCTCAGACACTTTGGATTTCTTGATAAAATATTAATTCACGGAGGTACTAATCTTCATTAAAATTGTTCATCTTTCAGGAGTCCTTCCTTAACTCCATAGCTCTCAGCATTTATATATTTAAAATAAAGATTAAGTTATGCACGGGCTTGACATTTTTCAGTGTGTATTGGATCGATCCCACTAGAATTTAAATAAATCGGCCAAAAGCAAATCCTTGCCTTTGATTTTTATACCTTCCCTGTGTCTCAGTGAAGTAAACAGGAAAGTAATAAAGATAAAGGTATTTTCCTCAAGACACTAATATGGAGTGTTCTAACAGAAAGAACGTGGGTAGGTAAGCCAGAGGTAAAAGCCCAGCGCTCGGAATTTGTGACACTGTCTGGGTTCTTGTAGTGTTACTATAAGGGCTGAATGAGACTTGTGGGAACCAACCGAGTGGTGGAGTCAGGTGTGGCCATAGCCGCAGAAGCAGTGATGCCGTATAGACCCATCCTTGTATTTTGGGGCTGCTTGTGATGCTGTTTTGTTAAGAAATGGAAGTTATTTTGAGGACGCAAATTAGATTTTTTTCCCTTGTCTTTGTATCTGTTTTTGTTGCTGTCATTTTTCAGCAAATCTGTGGCTGTTAGTTGTACATGAGGATGTCAGTGTCAAGCACAGGCCCCACTCCTTCTCACTAGTGCCACCACTCTGGGCAGGTCTGCTCAGAGTAGGCCTCTTTCTATTGGCCTCAGACCCAAAATACAGCCTCTTTCTCTGGGATCCATTTCTGTGGTCTTTCTTATGAACCTGTGAACTCATTGAGGACTGTTTAATTTTTAGTCTGGCCCTGATTTGCAGATTTGTCAATTATAATTTAATCTAAGAAAACTTTTTGTAGTTTTTTTCGTAAGGTATAGATTGATAAAGATGAGAGTTTCATAATTAATTGCTTTCACTGCCTTTTTCAGGGAGTGTGTATCTATTTGTGTACTGTGACTTGTCGAGTACAGGGGATATCTGATGTCATCTGCTAACCCTCACTGGTGGTCTTGCTAATGTGGAGCATGCCAGTCCATGCTGTGTCTAGGGCCTTTGCCTTCTTTCCTTCTACAGTTTGTCTTCCTTTAGATATTTGCATGGCTCACGTTCTGACCACCTTCAAGCTTTCATCTGCTTCAGGTTTTGTTTCTTTAGAAATGGCCACCCTGACTACCCTATAGAGTAGCTTTGACCACCTGAAAATAGCTGCCCTCTCATTCTGTGTCTTTTTTCATGTGTTATTTATTTACTTATTTATTTATTTTTTTGAGATGGGATTCCCACTCTGTCACCCAGCCTGGAGGGCAGTGGCACAATCATGGCTCAGTATAGCCTCAACTGCCCAGGCTCAAGCAATTCTCCCATCTCAGACTCTTGAGTATCTGGGGCCACAGGTGTGTGCCACCATGCCTGGCTAATTTTTAAAATTATTTTTAGAGATGAGGTCTTGCTGTGTTGCCCAGGCTGGCCTTGAATTCTGGGCTCAAGCAACCCTCCTGCCTTGGCCTCCTAAAGTGCTGGGATTACAGGCAAGAGCCACCACACCTGGCCTGTTTTTTGTCTTAACACTTTTCACTACTCTTCATATTACCTGTTACCTCTCTTGCTCATATTTTCCCAATAAAACTAGAATGAAACCTCCATGAAAACAAGGGCTCTTGTGGCAGCATTTGGTTTGCTCACTGCTGCTGCATCCATGATATTCAGGTTAGCTTGGCACATGGTAGACTCAAATATTTCTTTACTGAGTAAATTAGTAAGGGTCTAACCTGTTCACTGTGCTTAAAGCATTTTGTTTGTTTCTCAGCATCTAGTCTATATGGAAACAGTATTGTGCTAAGGCATATTCCACTGCAAGTGTAATGGCTCATTTGTAGTTGGCACATTGTAACAACAGGGTGTCTTACTGACATTGGTAGTAGAAAGGGGCTACTGGAAGCTGAAACACTGAGAAATAACACCTGAGAATGTTTAAGGGACTAGTAGATTAATTAGTTATAAATGCTGAGTATTCTGGGGCCGTTTAGTTTAGGGACGATGGGCTTTATATCTCAGTAGTCCCTAGATTATTCTTAGTATAATAATTTCTTTTTAATTCAGGTCATCCTCAAAAACATATTGTGAATATACTATGTGTGTACAGTGGAGTAGACCCTGAACATAAAAAGGTGTGACTCTTGAAGAGCTTAGAGGTAGATAGACAAAAAGATACCCCGATGAGAAGAACATTGGTAGATGCCACAGTCATTTGGAGTTGAACAGATTAGCACTGGCTAAATCATTAAAGAGGCAGAAAAGAACTGGATAGGGACTTCTTAGGTATGAATAATGTATTTGGAAAATCACAAGCACATTAGGTTGAGCAGAGGGTTTGTGGAATATTAGGGATAAAGAAGCAATGTTGATGTAGCAAAGACTCAAATGTTAGAGGACTAAAGATTTGATTATTTTTAGGGTTCTCTGTTTATTGAGATATAAAAAAGAATATAATTATTAGAAATATTTTTCTAAAATCCATTTTGGAAATATTTGAGTGTGAAACTGAGAATCTTATTTATAAAATTCAGCTTATAGCATTTTAAAAATGTAATAACATTATATAAGATGCACATTTATTGGATCCATAGACTAATAGTACTGGGTTAGATGTTCTACTGTGGAAATTTGAGTACTGAAAACATTTGGTAGTAACAGTGAGTAGATGGTTCAAGAACCTAAAGAGTCATAAATGGTTTCTTTATGGAGTCTCCAAGTCGTTGGAAGAGAGTGAAGGTACAGGAGAGACCCATGGTTGGCAACGAAGGGCCTAGCTATTGGGAAAATGCCTTTCTACAGCCCTGCATGTTGATGCTAAAATACTTCTTTGAATCTAGCCGTAAGGTGGGTGGAGGAGTGAGGGTAGGGTTGGGGGGTGACTACAGCAAGTCAGTATTTTAAGTTTTAGGTGTTGCAAGGCAAACATCCAGTATAGCTTTCTGAATGAATTAGGCATTTAAGGCATCGATTGAATCAAAGAATCAAAGATTGTAGTATTTTCAGATACCAAGACAGTATTACGTATTAAGTTTACAGTAGCTTTTTAGCTTGAAAATTGATGTCTGGTGCCTTCAGAGAATTTTTCCTGGTAAAAAACCAAGATTGTTACTGAATGCTGCTGTTAATTTTGTTTACTGTTATTAATACATGTATAGCAAAATAGGAATAAAGTGATTTGACATTAATAACTGCAAATTTTAATTCTCCCAACAAACAATTGATTTTTTTCTTTTTAATTTTTTCTGACTTATAACTTACTTCTTTACAGAGTAATTTCTTTTCAGACATAATCCAGATTATATTACATTTGAATATTTTCTGGTAGTCATTGATGCTGAATTTTAAGTGGTCATATATGTATGCACATGGTTTGGAGACAAAATCACATTGCACAGAGGCTTATAATGAGAACAAATGTTATTTGTCTCATCCCTTTTTAAATGTTTCCTCCTGAGAGACAAACTTTCTAAATTCTCACCTGTTCTAGTGGTTTATATAAACCTTTACCTTCATTTAACCTTTTATATTTCTAAATAATATACCATTATTTTGAAAAAATAAGTCTTTATATTTATTTTTTTACATTTAGTTTTGAGAGTAATTTTAGGTTCACCACAAAATTGAGCAGAAAGTACAGAATTAAAAAGAAAAAAAATTAGTTGTTTGTTGGGAGAATTAAAATTTGCAGTTATTAATGTCAAGCCACCCCCACACACATATAGCCTTCTGCACCGTCAGTGTCCCTCAGCAGAGGAATACATTTGTTATAATTAATAAACCTGCATTGGCACTGGATTATCACCCAAATATAGTTTACTTCAGTGTTCCCTGTAGGTGTAGGTGTTTATCTTCTATGGGATTAGACAAATGCATGATGAAATGTATCTATCAGTGTATCATATTGATCAATATATCTATTGTATCTGTCAATGTGTTGATCAGTGTATCAATTGTATCTGTCAATTGTATCTATCAGTGTATCAATGTATCATCTATCTATGTATCATCTATCTATCAATGTACCTATCAATTATTGATAGATACATCTGTCTATACATTGATGTCTATCTATGATATCTATGATAGATATCAATGCATATCTATTGATATCTATATCTATTGATATCTATACATTGATAGATACATCTATCAATGTATCTATAAGTTTATTGATCAGTGTATCAATTGTATCTATCAATGTATCAATGTGTTGATCAATGTATCTATCATTGTCATGTACAGAGTAGATCAAAGGATGATGGTTAAAGTATGTTTAATTTTGTAAGAAATTTATATTCTATGGGATTAGACAAATGCATGATGAAATGTATCTATCATTGTCATATCATACAGAGTAGATCAAAGGATGATGGTTAAAATATGTTTAATTTTGTAAGAAATTTATATTCTATGGGATTAGACAAATGCATGATGAAATGTATCTATCATTGTCATATCATACAGAGTAGATGAATGAATGATGGTTAAAGTATGTTTAATTTTGTAAGAAACTGCTTAACTGTCTTCCAAAATGCCTGTACCAGTTTTGCCATTCCCACCAGTAATGAATGAGAGTTCCTATTGCTCCACATCCTTGTCAGCGTTTGGTGGTGTTAGTGTTTTAAATTTTGGCATTTGAATAGATGTGTAGTGGTATCTCATTGTTTTAATTTGCAGTTCCCTAATGACATATGATGTTGAGCATCTCTTCATATGCTTGTGCCATCTGTGTATCTTTTTTGATGATATATCTGTTAGTCTTTGGTCCACTTTTTAATTGGGTTGTGTTCTTGCTGAGTTTTGAGAGTTCTTTGTATATTTTAGATAACAATCCATTATCAGATATGTCTTCTGCAAGTGTTTTCTCCCAGCCTGTGGCATTTATTCTCATTCTCTTCACAGTGTCTTTCACAGAATAGAAATTTTTAATTTTAATGAGGCCCTTGCTCTCAGTTATTTTTTTGATGGATCATGTCTTTCACAGAGTAGGAAACTTTAAATTTTAAAATTTTAATCTTCCTATCAATAATTTCTTTCATGGATTGTGCCTTTGGTGTTGTATCCAAAAAGTCATCACCATACCCAAGGTCATTTGGATTTTCTCCTATTTTATCGTTTTAGAGTTTTATAGTTTTGCATTTCATATTTAGATCTGTCTTTTTTTTGCATGTGGATATCCAGTTGTTTCAGCATCTGGTTGAAGAGACTACCTTTCCCCATTATACTGTCTTTGCTTCTTTGTCAAAGACCAATTAACTATATGTGGGTCTGTTTCTGAGTGCTCAGTTCTGTTCTGTTGATCTATTTATTCTTTTGCCAGTGTCATGCTGTCTTGATTACTGTAGCCTTGTAGTAGGTCTTGAAGGATAATTCCAGTCCTTTTAG
The DNA here is from genome assembly GCF_000001405.40 of Homo sapiens. Taxonomy (NCBI): domain Eukaryota; kingdom Metazoa; phylum Chordata; class Mammalia; order Primates; family Hominidae; genus Homo; species Homo sapiens. The sequence continues at coordinate 49,353,997 of NC_000018.10, read as the reverse complement.
TTTGTTCTGCTGTTTCAATTTTGTGTTGATATTTATAGGCCTTTTGCTTTTCTGTATAACTTTAGAACCAGTTTGTTGTGTTACTACAAGTTACTACCAAGTAACTTGCAGGTGTTGTGATTTGAATTGTGTTGCATCTGTAGATCACATTAAGAGGAATCTTGACAATATTGAGTCTTTCTATCCATGAATATAGAATATCTTTCTATTTATTTAGTTATTTGATTTCTTTCATCAAAGTTTTATGGTTTTGCTCATACAGCTTTTATACATATTTTGTTAGATTTATATCCAAGTGTTTTATTTTCTTGGTTCTTAATGTAAATGTATACCACTTTTTTGATTCATTAAATTATTTATTGACGTCTGCTCAGATGATTATCTCCTTCTACTTGCACCTTTTCCCTTGCTATATTCTATTATATTTAAATTATCATTTTTAGTTTTTCTGTGTAATATATGTCTTTATTCCTTCAAATATAGGCAGTAACACTTGACTTTCCCTTTGTAAATTAAAGATACTACTTCCCACACCCTTCATTCAGTTCTCTTTCTTTTCTCTTCTTACTTGTATTATCTGTACTTTAATATCTACTTATTTTACCCCAGGATGACAAGTTTACTTAAGTATATTCTTTGTAGGAAGTACACAAAAGGAAGCCAAAGAGCAGGGATTAGTTGGGTTCAATAAAAATAATGAGAAGACAGAACTCTCCGTCTCTTAAAGTTTTACGATGTATTTTAATTGTTTTAAAATATTACTAATTTCTAGATCAGAAGACATCTAGGTAAATCTTGTAACATGATTGGAGCTAAGTTAGGGGATAGATAATCTAAATGGGAGAAGTGACTTGGAAATGTGTATATTTTCTTTGAGTATATTTATTGTTTTGAGAATTTACTTTAAATCGGCTAATGAAACTACTCTATGAAGACCTGACTAGGGAGGAATTTGGAAACTTTTTTGTTTCTACATTTTGGACCTATTTTACTCCCTCCCAAAAATCTGTCAGGATGACAGAGTATCAGAATTTACAGAGAAAGCAATATGTGTACTTGTAATTTGCAGTAGATATATTGTATTTCAATAAAGAGTATTGAAAAGCTTTAAAAAAAAATCAGACCCTCCCAGTAATGTACTTAGGCACAGGGAGAGTTTAATAAAGTAAATCACTAGATACTGTCAGTTATTTGGGCATCAAACTTTGCTAAATAATCCATAGTTGATTCCTTAAGAGTCAGCTTCAACTACAAAAATCCACTCCAGTATCACGGGAGGTTTTATTTTATTTTAAAAGTTAGGTTTATTGATGTATAATTTACATTTAGCAAAATTCATCTTTTCTATTGTTCAGTTCTATGAGTTTTGACAAATGCATACAGTTACACACACTGAAATTATAATGTAGAACAATTCAATTACATCCCTCTCAAGTTCCCTAGTTTCCCTTGTAGTCAGTCTGTATCCCAACTCCTCGTCCCTGGCAACCACTTGGCAAGAAGTACAGCGTGATCTACTTTCCCATGTAAGTTTTTGTTTTTCTTGGAATTTAATGGCATTTCTTAGCTTTTTGTGTTTTTTCCTTTATTTTAGCTTCACTTTTAAAAATAAAGCTTTATTGAGATAGCATTCATATGCTACAAAATTCAGCTTTCTAACTTCTACAATTAATTGATTTTAGTATATTCACAAAATTGTACAACCATCACCATTATCTAATACCGGAACATTTTCAGCACCCCAGGCAGAAGCCATGTGCCCATTAGCAGTCACTCTTCATTTCTCAGCCCCTAGCAAAACCGACCTACTTTGTGTTTCTATGGGATTTGGCTATTCTGGACATTTCATACAAATTGTATCGTATCACATATGGTCTTTTGTGTTTGCATTGTTTTACTTAGTATGTTTTCAAGGTTCATTCTAGTTATAGCATGGATCAGTACTTCATTCTTTTTTTATTATTTTAGCCTCATTTTTGAAAGTTCTACGTGTAGTCTTGGGACTACCCTCATTGACACCATCAGTCCTCTAGCTTCAATCTAGACTGGTTGCTTTCTAGGGCTATCACATAGCTGTGTCATCTGGGATTCCTCTTCACTATTTTCTTGGGTGGCCTCCATAGTTGCCTGATATTCTTTAAAGCCATTTTTGGTTTATTTCCTCAGTTTTCATGTAGCACATTCTCATGTAGCTTTTGAAGAAAGTATTAGTCCTTACTTGTCTATATTTGTATGTATTTGTCTTGTATGTCTACCTTTGAATGATAGGTAGGCTAGTTATGAGTTTCTGATAATCAGTATTCCCTAGAGTTTTGAAGATATTCCATTATTGTCTAATAATATTATTAGTGTTGTTAGAGGGAATTCTGATGCCATCTGATTATCATTGCTCTGTATGGTTTTTTTTTTTCTTTTCCTCGGTGGAAGATTTTAGAATCTTGGGTTTGTCTTTAGAATTCTGAAATATGGTGATGTGTTAGTGTGGCTGATATTTTTTCATTGATGGAACTGCTTATTAGTCAGTAAATATTTGTTCTTCAACTATGGGCAGTTTTTTGTGTTATTCAATATTTCTTTGTGCATTTCTTCCCTCTTTTTAAATGTATTTTTATTTGTTTATTTATTTAGAGACAGAGTCTCGCTCTGTTGCCCAGACTGGAGTGCAGTGGCACAATCTTGACTCATTGCAACCTCCACCTCCCGGGTTCAAGCGATTTCCGGCTAATTTTTATATTTTTAGTAGAGCCAGGGTTTCACCATGTTGGCCAGGCTGGTCTTGAGCTCCTGACCTCAAGTGTTCTGCCCTCTTCAGCCTCCCAAAGTGCTAGGATTACAGGCGAGAGCCACCGTACCCGGCCCTTCCCTCTTTTTTTAAGTCTCTCTAAAACTCATGTTCAAGTCAGATACTGGACTTTGTAGATTTAACCTCTCTTATCTCAACTTTTTAAGTCTCTCTAAAACTCATGTTCAAGTCAGATACTGGACTTTGTAGATTTAACCTCTCTTATCTCAACTTTTTACATCTTTTAAAAAAATTCTAACTTGTTGGAAATTTGTTTGATTTTTAGTTTTTGACCTCCCTCATCAAAATTTCTGTACTAAAATACTTATTTTTAATAGGTAATATGTGTGCATGGAAAAAATCAGACGGTATGAAAGGGAATATAATAAGTCATCTTCTCACTTTGGACCCTTACTGTCTAATCTTCTATTCCCTCTCCCATTCATAGCATACCGCATAAAAAGTGTTTCTTGTTTTTTTTTTTTTTTTCTTTTTTTTTCTTTTTTTCTTGAGATGGAGTCTCACCCTGTCACCCAGGGTGGAGTGCAATGGTGAGATCTTGGCTCACTGCAACCTCCGCCTCCCAGGTTTAAATGATTCTCCTGCCTCAGCCTCCCAGGTAGCTGGAATTACAGGCGCCCGCCACCATGCTCAGTTTAGTTTTGTATTTTTAGTAGAGATGGGGTTTCACCAAGTTGGCCAGGCTGGTCTCAAACTCCTGACCTCGTGATCCGCCCACCTTGGCCTCCCAAAGTGCTGGGATTACAGACGTAAGCCACTGCGCTCAGCCAAAAGTGTTTTTAAATAAAAATGATACCAGCCAGACAGACTATTCTGTAAGTTGCTTTTATCACTTTTAACTTGATTTTTCCCAATCAGTAGCTATAGATCAACTTTGATTTTTTATAGCTATGTATGGATTGTCTGAATATATCATAATTTAATCAGTATCTTATGAAAATTTAGTTCATTTCCAGTCTTTTACTATTATAAACAACACTCCAATGAATATTCATGTACATAAATTCACTTCATATATACAGATATAGCCATCATATGTATTTTAGAGTTGGCATTAATTGTGCACATTTTAAGTTTTGATAAAGATGTGATAAATTTGGTAAAAATTTATTCCCTAAAAAGATTATACCAATTATAGTCCCACCAAAAGCCTCTAGTAGAGCCTTGCAAACATTGTACATTATAAAATTTTTTGTAAGTTAAAGATTGAAGTCATACTGTGATCCTTTTTTAAATTTTTTTGAGACAGGGTCTCTGTCACCCAGGTTGGAGTACAGTGGTGCGATCACGGCTCACTGCAAGCTCGAATTCCTGGGCTCAAGCAAGCCTTCCTCCTCCACTTCCCTAGTAGCTGGGACTACAGGTGTGTGCCACCATGCCCAGCTAATTTTTAAAATTTTTAGTAGAGATGAGGTCTTGCTATGTTACCCAGGCTGGTCTCAAACTTCTGGCCTCAAGCAATCTTTCTGCCTTTGCCTCCCAAAGTTTTGGGATGACAGATTGAGTCACGGCGCCTAGTTATATTGTGATTCTTATGTGCATTTGCTCATTGTAAGTGAAGTTGAATATCTCTTAATATTTTTAAAAGCCATTTCTAACATTTGATGAAATTTTACAATTATTTTTAGTTCCGGAGAGTTCTTTTTCTCTGATTATTCCATGTTTTATGAATGCAACATTTTGAGTTGACCTAATTGCACTTTGGACATGTACTTACCCACCATAAATTCTATACTTGTTACAATTTTGGAATATTTGCTTTATCATTATATGTCCATCTTTTCAATCTGTCAGTCTATCTTAATTTTTGTTTTTAAGAATATTTTTAATAACTTTTTTTGTGTTGAACTTTAATTTATTTCAAGAAAATTTATGGCTATATTTTAAATATTTGATGCATTTTTTGCATATACAGTATAGTATTTAAGTTAATAAAAGTTCAGTTTTTAATATTTATGGTTTTATGTTTTGTTTGTTTGTTTGTTTTTTGAGACAGTCTCACTCTGTCACCCAGGCGGGAGTGCACTGGCACGATCTTGGCTCACTGCAACCTCCGCCTCCCAGGTTCAAGCGATTCTCATGCCTCAGCCTCACCAGTAGCTGGGATTACAGGCGCCCACCACCATGCTCGGCTAGTTTTTATATTTTTAGTAGAGACGGGTTTTCACCATGTTGGCCAGCCTGGTCTTGAACTGCTGTGCTCAAGTCATCTGCCCACTTCGGCCTCCCAAAGTGCTGAGATTATAGGCGTGAGCCACTGCATCTGGTGTGGTTTTTTTTTTTTTTTGGTGAGGAGTCTCACTCTGTTACCCGGCTGGAGTGCAATGGCGCGATCATGGCTCACTGCAATCTCCACCTCCCGGGTTCGAGTGATTCTCCTGCCTCAGCCTCCCGAGTAGCTGGGATTACAGGTGTGCACCACCATGCCCAGCTAATTTTTGTATTTTTAGTAGAGACGGGGTTTCACCATGTTGGCCAGGATGGCCTCTATGTCTTGACCTCAGGTAATCCACTCGCCTTGGCCTCCCAAAGTGCTGGGATTACAGGCGTGAGCCACCGCACTCGGCCCATTTTTTTTTTTTTATAAATCATAAAAAAAGTAATGGATATTTTAATTTGTGTGATCCATCCCTTTAGTTTATATATGATGAAGTTGATAGGTAATGTGGTCGATAACGGTACTGAGTGGCAGTTCTGAGACTAAAATCCACATTTCTTGAATCCCAAATGCCAAGCACTGTTTCTTCTAGTGTTAAGACTTTTATAAATGAGGAGTATTACCATGTCTTTGATTTGTTAATTTTTAAAACTGGCCATTATACTAACATACTTTTGTTGATAATATCTGTACTATAGCATATTATTTTTTAGTCTTTCCCCATATTTGACTCCTAGAATCTCCATGTTGGCATGCATTGATATTTCTAAATTTTGGTCTCAATCCTTTGAACTTGTCAGTTGTTTTTATTAAACTTATGTTCCATTTACAGTACCATCAGGTTTCTTATCCAATAGTAAGTAAAAGGAGGATGTTTTTTTCCTCTGTATTCGTTGACTGCTCTTAGCCAACACTAACACCCATTTCATGAAGTCTTTTGTCTTTATCCAAGTGTTCCACTGTGCCCTAGCAGTGCAGTGCAGGGTCATGGCGCCTGTCTCTTTTTCTTCACATGAAATTAATAACTTGCTCCAGCAGTGGTTTGTTCTAGGACATTTCCAGAGCAGATGGTGGAAAGTTCTTGGGATAATATGGCAGCCAAAGCAGTATTTTGGCTTTTTAAGGTTGACTTTGTTTTGGTGATTGTGTAATGAAAATCTTCTGACATTAAAACAAGAAAGATCTGTTGAATTAAAACATTTTTCATCTTCTAAAAACCACCACACTCAGCATGGTAGAATTTTGGTTTCTTTCAAGTATTGGCCTCTCTGGCTCTTTTTCCTGATTATTTGGCACTTAAGATAGCCAAATTAATATATTTTTAATTTTGTCTTCACAGAAATGTAACATTGCTTTTGAATTCCTTTTTAAGAGCATTATAGAAAGTTACGGGAGGAAATGCCATTAGAGGTCCTCTTGCACAGTGTACTTATTTACAAATAAGAAAACTGAGACGCAGAGAAGTTATTTGTTGAGGTTAACAGAGCGAGTTAATAGATGCTTAGAAGCAGGCCCTGACTTTCTTCATTTCGAATCGGCGACTCCTGCAGCATATACTGCTTGTGATTAGGGTAACTTCGTTTTTTTCTTTGCTTTTATTTCAATATGTTATATTTTAATGAATAGAAGTTCAGTTTTTAATATTTATGGCAGTCTTCTGTTTTTAGTTATTAACTTAATTTTTATATAGATGATGCATTTATATTATTCAAAAATCCAACACATAAAAGTATGCATGAACAATCTCCCTCTCATCCTTGTCTCCCATCTCCCTAGTCCTTCCATTGGCCTCCATAGTTAACTGCTATTCTTAGTTTCTTACTTGCCCTTATAATTTTTCACAAATATAGGGATGACCTACAACTTAATGATAATTTGACTTATGATTTTTTGAATTTACGATTATGTGAAAGCGATAGGCATTCAGTAGAAACTGTACTTCAAGTACCTATACAACTATTTTATTTTTCACTTTCAGTACAGTGTTCAATAAATTACATGAAATATTCAACACTTTATTATAAAGTAGGCTTTGTGTTAGATGACTTTGCCCAACTGTAGGCTTATTTAAGTATTCATGCATGTTTAAGGTAAGCTAAGCTAAGTTATAATATAATAGGTTAGGGTATTTAAATGCATTTTTGGCTTTTGATACTTTCAACTTACAGTAGATTTATTGGGACATAACTCCATTATTAGTCAAAGAGCATCTGTATATTCAGTTATGAATATAGATTCTTATTTCACCTTGCTTCCACATAAAAGGCAGGAAATTCTACATATTGTTTTGAACTTTATTCTTTTTCTAGTTAACATTCTATCCTGGCAGTTGTTGTACACTATATAGAACTTTCTCATTTTTATTTTTTAAATAACAACTTCATTGAGGTATATTTTAAATACTAAAATTTTCACCCTTTAAAAATATACAGTTCAGTGGTTTGCAGTATGTTCACAAAGTTGTGAAACCAACACCACTATCTAATTCTAGAACATTTTCATTATCCAAAGAGAAACTGTGCACCCATTTGCTAATGGGCCTGACTACTTCAGGCCTCATTTATCCCTCTCTTCTGCCCCTAGTAACCACTCATCTGCCTTCTGTCTATGCATTTCCCTATTCTGGATATTTTATGCAAGTGAAATCATACAATATATGGCTTTTGTATCTGGCATTTACTTTGTATAATGTGTTCAGAGTTCATTCATGTTATATAATATGTACCAGTATTTCATTCTTTTTTATGCTGAAAAGTATCCCATTGTCTGTATATACCACATTTTGCTTATTCACCAGTTGATATGCATTGGGTTTATTTTTACTTTTTGGCCATTATGAGTAATGCTGCTTTGAGCATCAATGTACAAGATTTTGTGTAGAAACGTTTTCAGTTCTTCTGGCTATGCATCTAGGAATGGAATTGCTAAGTGATATGGTAACTCTGTATTTAACTTTTTGAGTTAACTGCCAAACTTTTCCACAGCAGTTTCACCACTTTACCTTCCTGCCAGCCATGAAAGAGGGTTTCAGTTTCTCCACAGCCTTTCTCACTCTTCTTCAAAAGCTATATAATGTTCTGTTGTAGATCAGTGTCAAAATATATTTAATCATGCCCTTATTGATGGACATTGTTAATTTGTTTTTGCTCATATCCTTTGCTCAGGTTGTATTGCCGCCTCTGTTGTATCTTTCTAAAACCCTTTCTGTGTTAGAATGTAAATATTTTTTTCAGTTTGCCTGTTGACTTACTTGCTTATAGGATATTTTTGTTTTTATCATGATGACTTTTTAACAATTTTGAATAATTTAAATTTATCCATCTTTTATAGCTTTTAGGCTTAAGGATCTATAAGCTGATTTAGTTTTACCTTTTCAAACCTCATCTCTTACTACTCTTCTTCTTGCAGATTCTATTCTAGCCCTACTGGCCTCTTTGTTGTTCCTTAAAGGTACTAGGTGTATTCCTACCTTAGGGACTGCATGTGGTACTAGGTGTATTCCTACCTTAGGGACTGCGTGTGCTGGGCCCTCTACTTGGAAGACACTTCCCTTGCCACCTTGCTTCTTTCAAGTCTTTGCTTAAATGTCAAGTCCTTGTTGAGGTCTTCTTATTTAAAATTGTAACACACCTGTGATAGGTTGTCAGTAGTCCCCCAAATTTATCTTCTTTATTTAGAGTTTAGCTGGACAACGGCTGTCCAGGTAGAGATGCCATTTATCAGGATTCCCTGCAGCTAGATATGGATGTACCAGAAGAAGAGATATATGCTTTTACATTAAAAAAAAAGAAATGACTTGCCTTGGAGTGCATTTTTTCCCCCTTCTCTTTGGTGGGAAATTATAACAACTGGCACAAACTTTGAAGCACATGCAAAGGGTAGTAGAGCTTCCCTCCCAGCATGGGCCTTGTGTATTCTTATCAAGTGGAGCCTACCTGATCTGGATTATTTTCTGGATTATGATATGGCAGAGAAATTAACTTTGATCCTGTTTTAAATACTTGAACTTTAGACCTCTTTGTCACAGCAGCTTAGCCTGTTACTTAACCTTCTACCCTAACCTGGCACTCTTGGTCCTACCTTTATACCCTTACTTTTTTCATAGCACTTATCTTTTAATTTAATGTATAACATATTTATTTATCTGCCCCTCTAGATTTAAGCTCTGTGAAGTTTGTCTTATAGTAGATACCCAATGAATGATTGGAAAGACCTTCACTAAAGCATGTTATAAAGGAATTCTTCCATTTCTTTTTAGATTTAAACCTTTGATATATTTGGGATTTATTTTTGTATAGAGTCTGTGGTATGGATTCAGGTCTTTTTTTTTTTCCCCAAAAGGTTATACAGTTGTCCTACTATATGTATTAATGTCCTTTTAGAATGTTACTAATGAAGTCCTATTACTAACTTACATAAAAATGATTTAAAAATAAGAAATGTCTACTCTTCTTCCTGATAGATTTCTCACGGGAGAGATAACTGCAGACTCAATCATCATCAGATCAAAAGGAGATTTTTTTTAAGGCATTAATTCTTGTTTTCTCTAAATCTTGTATTTTTATTCGTATTAAGTGGTGTGTTGACATGTGACATCTCTTGTTCTTTGGCTTGTAGTTACAGGCTATTTTGTAAACAATCAAGAATAACAAAGTCCAAAGTCTTGAGTTATGAATATGAGTTAGCCAAGCAGTTTGGAGGCAGAAGGGGAAGTTGAAGCCATCACAGAGACTTAGGAGATGTGAGGGAACGTGGTAACGAGGAAGCAGTAGTTGATGGATAGTTGCATTTTGCCCACATGTTTCTTTAAAATGTATTTCTTAAATGGCTGTTCCAGGGTTTTTCTGTTTACATCATTTTTTCCCCAGATATGTAGAACCCAAATTTGGGTTCCTTATTTTTAAACTGACTTTTGAAAAACATCAGTCATCTTCAATACCATTTATTACAGAAAATGGATTAAATGAAGGCATGGGCTACTTTGAGTAAGTCTTGTTTCAAATGAATGTTGAGTAATTATTTTTGTTGTTACTACTAGTTCTGTTACTGTGGCTCCAGGAGTCTAGTGATTTTTTTTTTTTTTTTAATGTGGTGTAGAGGTGGGGTCTTGTATGTTGCCCAAGCCTGTCCTGAACTCCTGGCCTCAAGTGATCCTCCTGCCTCAGTCTCCTAATGTGCTGGGATTACAGGCATGAACCAGTATGCCCAGGCATAAATTTTTCTGCAGAGTGTTAAATCATAAAAAAGTGTTTAGAAGCTGGGAGTTTCAGATATTTTTCATCATTTAAAATTTGTACACGAATGGATGTATTTTTCTTGGTTTTGGTAAAATAGTATTAATTTCTCACTGTGCCTGTGAGCATAGTTGAAGAGACTATTCAAAAATATGTGAGTATTCACTGGTTGTCAGTCCTTGTTTTAGGTGCTAGGGATACAATACTGAATAAGATATAAATTCTAGTTGCGAGTGGGATAGGACAGACAATAAACACATTAATATGTAATGTTAGGATGTGATAAGGGCAATGAAAGAAATAGTAATGTGATGGTATTTTAGCCAAGATCATAAGGGAGGGCTTCTTGTGAAGTGGACCTTATAATAAAGTCAAAGACAGAGTCCTGTTACTGTTTGATGGGAGAGTATTCTAACAGAGGGAACAGCAGCTTCAAGGCCTTGAGGCGGTCACATGCTTGGTATATCCAAGGACACTAAGCAAGCCAGTAGAGCTGAGCAGAATGAGCAAGGATGGGGAGGGTATGTGGTAGAAGATAAGTTAGTATGGATGCAGAAGTCATACAGGGTCTTAGAGGCTGAGTTAAGGACTCCGAGTTTTATTCTTAGTGGGGTGGGCAGCTGTGGGATGGTGATTATCCTTGTCTGAATATTTTTGCCCTGTGTATTTAAATTTTCCCTTGCTTTGTGGTTATAAGAACTATCCTCAGACAACAAAAATTGGAAATTAGGTTCTTGACATCTTTGCCCACCTTCTCCCCACAAAATCATTCTGTTCTCGCTATTTTTAATATTTATACCTTTGCTACCATTTGAAGCTGTGCTTCATTGTGTATACAGTTATGCATTGCTTAATGATGGGGATATTGTGAGAAATACATTGTTGGGTGATTTCATCATTGTGCAAACATCATAGAGTGTACTTACATAAACCTAGATGTTATAGCCTGCTACACACCTACCCTGAATAGTATAACCTGTTGCTCCTAGGCTACAAACCTGTATAGCATGTTACTGCACTAAATACTATAGGCAGTTGTAACACAGTGTAAGTATGTATCTACACATATCTAAACATAGAAAGGGTACATTAAAATATGGCATTATAATATGGAAGCATTATCATATATGTGGTCCATTGTTGACTGACATACTGTTATGGGACCCATGACTATATTTTTATTATCCTCACCTCCCCTCCTAATCTGGCAGATAGTATAACAATGAGTAATATTTTTATGCTGGCTGGTAGGCAAATTTTTGGTTCTTACTGAAATTAGCACATAATCTGATTCTTACTGAGTGCTAGTGATAGGCAGACTAATGCCATTCCAAACCCCAAAGATGTACATGCTCTAATCCCTGGAACCTGTGAGTAACATAACTTATATGTCAAAAGTGATGTTGTAGATGTGTTTAAAGTTAAAGACCTTTTAATGGAGAGACTGTCATTCATTATCCTGTCGGGCCCAGTCTAATCACATGAGTCCTTAAATGAGCAAAGCAGAGTGGGTCAGAGAGATGTGATATAAGGAGTCACTCAAAGTCCTTGCTTCCTTCGAAGATGGAACAAGAGATCCATGGGCCAAGGGATGTGGTGACCCCTAGAAGCCAAGAATTGCCCTCAGTTTACACCCAGCAAGAAAACAGGGACCTGGGTCCTACAACCACGAGGAAATGAGTCCTGCCAAAAACCCAAATGAACAGGAAATGAATTCTTCTTTAGAGCCTCCAGAATGGAATGCAGCTTGCCGACACCTGGATTTTAGGCTCGTGAGACCTGTACTGGACTTCTGACTCCCAGGACTGTATGATAACAAATGGTGCTGTTTAAAGCTGCTACATTTGTGATGATTTGTTAATGGCAGCAATGTAAAACTAATACAGTGCTGATAGAACATATTCAGCTTCTCAAAGCAGACACCTTTAGCAAATTAGATTTAAGTACAGTATTTTCAATGGTTCATTCATTCTAATATTTGTTAAATACCTACTATTTTCTGGGAACTGTGGGAGGAGCTAGGAATAAGAAAGGCTCCTGACTTCCCCAAACTCATGGTCTACAGTCACTTCATAAATAGTCAATTTTTTAATTTATATTTTTGAATTTATGGAAAATTTCAAGCATATAAATATAGAGAGAAGAATGAAACTCCATGTGCTTGTCACTCAGCTTCAGTAACTATCAACTCATGGCCACTCTTCTTTCATGAATACCCCATCCACATCCACCCTCAGTGACACAAAGGAAATACAGACCTTGCTTTTTATTTTATCATTTTATCATTTTTTTTTTTTTTTTTTTTTTTTTTGCGATGGAGTCTCACTCTGTAGCCCAGGCTAGAATGCAGTGGTGCGATCTCAGCTTACTGCAACCTCCACCTCCCAGGTTCAAGCGATTCCCCTGCCTCAGCTTCCTGAGTAGCTGGGACTACAGGTGCCTGCCACCATGCCCGGCTAATTTTTTGTATTTTTAGTAGTTTCACGGGGTTTCACCGTGTTAGCCAGGATGGTCTCGATCTCCTGACCTCGTGATCCACCCGCCTCGGCCTCCCAAAGTGCTGGGATTACAGGCATGAGCCACCACATCCAGCCTTTATCATCTTTGTCATAGTATAATTTATCTGTGAATTCATTTGGAATTTTTTACTTTCTATTTTTTGTCATGAAATTTGGTCTAGGATTTTTTTGGTGCAAGTTAGAAAATTAATGTAGATTAGTTCAGTTAGCAGAAGTGCTGCAATAGTGATTTGGGGGTTACAAATAAATTTTAGTGAATAGGTGATTTTACAAATACAGAATCTGTGAATAATGAGTGTTGACTGTATATATGGCAATTTTCCATTTCCTGTGTCCTTGATTTAGTTAATGGCATCACCATCTCTGGGTGCTACATTTAGAAAGCTTAGTGTTTCTTGATTAATCTGTTTTTCTTACCCATTTTAAGTGTCTGATCTGTCACTGAGTGGTAGTAGTTTTATTTTATTAAATGTTATTCAAATCTGATTGCTTTTTCATTCATGTTGTCACTGTTTTAGTGGATGTCCTCATTATGTCCCCCCAAATGATTTATTGCACATGTCTTTTGTTTCCTGGATTAGTTTAAACATTTTCTCACATCAGTATGTTCCCCAACCTCTTATGTGTCCTTTCATCCCACAAGCCCTGGTTTTAGACTCATCAGACATAGGGTTGAATTTGGCTATGTGTCACATTCTTTAGCACTATTATCATCAGCTCCTGTAAGGCCTGTCCTTTCCTCCATTTAGTATTCATCCATTCATTTATTCTCTTTTATCTCCATTCCCTATTTCCTTTTCTTTCCCATAGATAGCCATTCTGATGTGTTTAATATGTTTACTTCTACATATGTATGTTCAGGTACAAAATGTTATTCGTATGTGTACATGTATTTTTAATGTATGTAAATAGAATTGTGTTATAGAACTCATTCTGTTTTTTTTTACTTTTTTCCTCTCAAAACTGTTTTTAAGAGTTACTTGTGATGCAAAGTGAACATTTAGTCTGTGGCTTTTAAAACTTCTCCACGTGGGCCGGGTGCAGTGGCTCACGCTTGTAATCCCAGCACTTTGGTAGGCCGAGGCGGGCGGATCACGAGATCAGGAGATCGAGACCATCCTGGCTAACACAGTGAAACCCCGTCTCTACTAAAAATACAGAAAAATTAGCTGGGCGTGGTGGCGGGTGCCTGTAGTTCACAGCTACTCGAGAGGCTGAGGCAGGAGAACGGCGTGAATCCAGGAGGCGGAGCTTGCAGTGAGCCGAGATGGCGCCACTGCACTCCAGCCTGGGCGACAGAGCGAGACTCTGTCTCAAAAACAAACAAACAAACAAACAAACAAAAAACCCCAAAAAAACCCAAAACCTGCTCCATGTGTGGCTCCGCCTCATTTTACTTATTTAATTCATCGGTTATACCCGGATTGCCTCCAACTTTGCATGCCCACAAATAATGGATGTTTCGTGTTGTTCATCTATTGCTGCATAAAAATTACCCAAAACTTAGCTGTTTAGAACAACAAATATTATTACATAGTTTTTTAGGGTCAGAGATCTGAGTATACCGTAGCTTTAAGACTCTGACTCAAGGTGTCACATGAAGTTGTAGTCAAGCTGGGGCTCTGGTCTCACTTGAAGCCTCAGCTGGGGGACGCCTTGCTTCCTAGGTCTCTTGGCTATTGGCAAGAGTCAGCTCCTCAAGGGTTGGACTGAGGACCTCAGTTCCTCACTGGCTGTTGATTGGAGGCCTCCCTTAGTTCTTTGCCGTGTAGACCTCTCAGTATGTTAGCCTACAGCAAGGCAACTGGCCGGCAAATGGAAGAGCAAGAGGGGCTACTCAACACACATCGTAGTTATGTTGTAAGCTGATCTCTCAAAAGTGACATAACTCTCACTTTTGTTGTATTCTGTGAGGGGAGGGGATTACACAAGGGCATGAATAGCAGGAAGCAGGCATGATTGGGGTCATTTTAGAGGATGCCTACTATATTTCTCAGACATATCTCTGTGGATTTTTCTTTGGCACGTGCGCATGCACGCGTGTGTGTCTGTGTGTCTGTGTGAATGGACATAGGTTCTCTAAAACTGACTATGCTGGTTAGTATTCCCATCAGCAGAGCATGAGGGTTTTTATATCACCACATGCCTGGCAACACATTACATTCTCTAGGGCATAGGGGCATATCACCTTGTTTCAGATTGCCTGTTTATATCTTTTGATTTTTTTTTTCTAGCAGAGTTCCTGCCTTTTTATTGGTTGTTGGCAGGAGTTATTTGTAATAGCCTTGATATTAGTTTCGTGTTCTTCTTTCAGTCTATTATCTGCCTGTTAACTTTGTCCAGGGATTCATTTGCTGAGCAGTAATCTTTAATTCTGATGTAATTTAATGTGTAATTTTTGCCTTTGTGGTTTGTGTTCTTAGGCTTTTATTTAATAAGTCCTTTCTTGTGCTTATGTTACAAACTTATTGTACTCTTCCTTCTATCAACTTTAGTTTTATTCACATCTAAGTCATTAAGTCTTCTGTAGTAGGTCTTGAGTATGTTGTAAGGTGTAGGGATCTGTCATTATGAAATAAAAGAGGTGTTTCCCATTACCATCTTCTGTACAATGTGTTTTTCTTCATTGATTTGTGGAGTAATCGTAATCTTTATTGTATATTATTTCCATATATACACAGGTCTGTCTTTGAATTATCAATTGGGGTCCTTTGGTTTGTTTACTTTTTATACAAATACCATGCTGTTTTTCTTACTACAGCTGTATAGAGTGGCTTGATATCCAGTAGGGAAAGTGCCCCTCTTCATTCTTTATTGTCAAGGTTGACTTGGCTATTTGTTTATTATTTCATAAAAGTGAGTCAATTTATGCAGTTCCTCAAAAAAGTCGAGTGAGAATTTTGGTTGTGATTCGTTGACTTTCTGTATTAATCTGGGTAGAATTATTATCTTCATAGTATTGTCATTCTGTTCAGATCATCCACTGTGTCCTTTTTAAATGTTTTTCTTCATAGATGTCCTATGAAGGACCAAAACATTTTATTCCAAACATTTTAGTTATTCTGGCAGTCTTGCAAAATGCTGTTTTGTTTTTGATAACCTACTATTGTTGGTTAGTGCTGCTAAGGAGAAATGCTATTTATCTTTCAAAGTTGATCTTGTATCTGGCCTAGTTGGATTTTTAAATTTATTTGAATAGTTTCTTGATTTTTTAATAACTGTTTTAATCTAACTTCTCCAATATATACATACTTTTTCCATTTTATTAATTTCTCAACTCCCAGTTCGAGTCCCTTTGCTCCCACCCCTTTCCCCCACCTTCTTTTAATCTGTTTGATCGATATTGAATTTCTTATTTTCCTTCAAAACTACCAGACCTTTTTGTGGCTGCCTTTGTATGGTTTCTTCACTTTAATGCCCTTCCCCTTCTTCTTGTTCTTCGTCTGCTCAAATATCATCATCTTTGTGAAGAATTTCCCTTCTGACCCAGGCAGAATTGGTTGCTGTTATCTCTGTGTTCCTAATACAGATAGTTCATATTCTTTCATGGGATTTGCCGGATTTCATAGTAATTTCTTTTTCTATGTTTGATTATTCCGCTGACTCTTCACTAGGACTCCTCTCTTTCTTCTCTCCTTTTTGCTCCTTCCCCCTCAATCTCTTGTCACTGCTGTGATGTTCTCAATCTCTTGTCACTGCTGTGATTGGCTATGTTCTCAGGCAGGATCCATCGACAGAGAAAACCAGTAGCAGCTCTATCCATACATAGTTCTTAGCACTCACAATCTCAGAAGGAGAGAGTGCCTCTTTTCTGATAGTTCCAGAAGTGCTGGGAAGGATTTTGACAAAGACCATTTTTATTGGCCAAACGTGGATCACCAGAAGGCAGAGTCGTGCCCCATCCAATCCACATGTATGGAGGGGAGGGAGGTTCTCAGGAGGACAAAAGGGCTGCTTTTGCCAGAAGAACAGGAGGTGGATGTTGGTCAGGCAAAATCAACAGAGGACAGCTGTAAGCCAGTCAACAACATTCTGGATCCTTCTTTCATGAAATTCCCTTTACATTTTTGTTGCAATGAGTATTCCATTTGTGCTTATGAATACATATTACCTGACCTCAGCATTCTTCTTCCTCTTTGCTATCCTAAGTTATATATGCCTTGTACGCTTTGCTGATGGATCTATTAAGGAAGGTATTCAATAAGTTTCCAGTCAAAATGAAAACAGTAAAGATCCCTCCATCTTTCCATTTATTTATCCATTGAGTACCTATTATATACTAGAGTTGAGAATATAAACAACAGCAAAAATGAAAGGTTCTCTAGCTAGAGTCTCATATATTATAGTAAGAAAGATTTGTAAGTAATTGCCACTCATACTCCAGGTTTTAAATGCCACTTTTTAAGAGACGCTTTCTTTTGATCCCATAGTTACTATCAGAGTGTCCTGTAATCCTCTCCTGTTATTACTTGTTTTTTTCCTTTATAGTCCTTTTTGGAGTGATTATTATTTGATTTTTCTTTTTTCCACTAAATTGTAAGCTTCATAAAGGCAGGAGCCTTGTCTATTTGTTGATGGATATGTCCCCAATATGTAGCATAATGCCTGTCTAGAGATAGTAAGAATAAATTTTTAATCAATATTTGTTGAACATCATATGAGCAAAAATACTGTGTGATAAGCAATTTGATATAATTTGTTTCTCTGGGCCTACGGAAGACACACATGGTTCTGTTTAGGAATTTGGGGAAATGGGTTTTTAGCTTGCAGTGACTCTTATTGTCATGTTGTATTGCTTCAGTATTCTTATGTGCTGGAAGCTTTCCTTACCTCCCAGCATCAAACCCTCTACTCTTCATTCTTCTACATTTATAGGATTCCACGGTAAGAGAGGATGATCCAAGGTTAACACTTTTTTTGTTCTCTCACTTCTGATTGTGTTTGGCCCAATTAATTTTGAAGGAGAAGAACACTTTTTTCTAAATACGTATTCTTTCCCTAAGGTTATTAGACCTAGTAATTATTAATAGTCATAGATTTTGGTTTAAGCAAAACTAAAACAATTTAGTAAAACAATTTGTTTCTAGATCTGAGGCATACAGTAAGATGTTAAATTGTAAACCACCACAGCTGATTCTTTATTATTGATGCAATGACAAAATACATTTGCAGTCTGGCACGATGGCTCATGCCTGTAATCCCAGCAGTTTGGGAGCCCCAGGCAGGCAGATCACTTGAGCACAGGAGTTCCAGATCAGCCTGGGCAACATGGTAAAACCCCCTCTTTGTAAAAAAGACAAAAATTAGCTGGGCATGATGGCGTCTGCCTGTAGTCCCAGCTACTTGAGAGGCTAAGGCAGGAGGATCACTTGAGCCTGGGAGGTGGAGGTTGCAGTGAGCCAAGATCGCGCCACTAGGTGTCAGCCTAGGTGACAGACACAGACCCTGTCTCCAAAAAGAAAAAAAAAAAAGACAGAAAACGTTTGCAAATGTATTGGACATAGTCATCCATCTGCCTATCTAAATAGGCTCTAACTCACAGCCAAGTATTTGTTATGTCAGGATTTGGCTTTAAACTCTGACCCAGGTGAAAAGCCTAGCCAGGAGACTATTGTGTATGGATTCCAGACAGGCGTGGGCTATGTTTTGAATGAATGATTATTGTGATACAAAATTTTTGGGGGTTCTGAGCACCCAAATCAAATCATCATTAGTAAATCATAACATGACATGAAACATCAAGTTTGTCTTTCATTCAATTCATGAAAGAAGAACAAATACAAGAATTGCTTTATTTTATTTTTTAAATTTTTTATTTTTATTTTTTGAGACAAGAGTCTCACTCTGTTGCCCAGGCTGGAGTGCAGTGGTGTAATCTCAGCTCACTGCAACCTCCACCTTCTGGGTTCTAGTGCCTCAGCCTCCTGAGTAGCTGGGATTACAGGCATGTGCCACTATGCCCAAGAATTGCTTTTTACAGGTTAATTTTTACAACAGTGATTATGGAAATTTCAGGAAAGAGATTGTTCTACAATACTTTAAAAGTCAGATTTCTGAGTAGAGCTGAGCTTTATTCAACCACGTAATAAGGCTAATTGCGTGGGTCTCTTGTGTTTTTCTTTTTTTATATGTCATTTTTAAATATATTTCTTTTTCTTTCTTTATTTTTTGTTTTTGAGATGGAGTTTCGCTCTTATCGCCAAGGCTGGAGTGCAATGGCACGATCTTGGCTCACTGCAACTTCCGCCTCCCAGGTTCAAGCCATTCTCCTGCCTCAGCCTCCCTAGTAGCTGGCATTACAGGTGCCCGCCACCATGCCCAGCTAATTTTTTGTATTTTTAGCAGAGATGGGGTTTTACCATGTTGGCCAGGCTGGTCTCAAACTCCTGACCTCAGGTGATCCACCCGCTTTGGCCTCCCAAAGTGCTGGGATTACAGGCGTGAGCCACTGAGCCTGGCCTTTTAAACATATTTCTATCAGTAATAACTCCTTAAGATATCTGGTAGAATTTAAATTTTTCTAGTTCTAGAATCAAGTCATCATTAATTTGTTTAATGAGCTTTCATTTAAGTAGGTGTTAAGTATTTTTCTTTGTTTTTCATAATTATTTCATTTTTATAAAAATATTTTAGTATTCTTTTGGTGCTATTGCTCTTTTTACTGCGTTGTTGAGGTTTCTACTTCCTTGGTCTTAACATGTTCCCCATTATAATCCTGTTTAAACTTTTGCAGTAACTGGAAATTTCTGGATGCCTTTATTCCTCTGTGTGCTTTCTGTTCAGCTGAATCTTTTTCTTTTTATTTGATCTAAGACTTGTTTCCCAAAGGGGTTTATGATCTTGAGAGGACAGAGTAACCCTTCATAATCAAAATATGCTTAATAAAACAGGAATAACTTGTTTACTGTTAATATTTTGCTGAACATGCAAAGTTGACCTTGAGAAAGGTAGGCACTAGAGACACAAGATCTAGGGTGTATTATTGTTCTGATTGTAAAGTGATCATCAACATGAAAAGGCATTGTTTTCTTCCCTACACTGTACCTTCTCTTCAGCTTTACAATCTGAGTATTTGTCTCTGTATTATCACTAAACAGAAATGAACATAGATGTCTAGAGTGAATCTTCAAAACAGAACACTGCTAGTAACTATTTCCATTATACATAAATAGACTTGTCATTTAATAGGAGATGGAAACTGGAAAATAGGGAAATAAAGGGATAACTAACCCAAATACACCAGCTAATGACAGGGAAGGAGTTTAATATTTTTGCTTGACTTAATTTTTGTATTAAACGTATTAACATTTTTCAGTAACCTGAAAATACTGAATATTTAGATTTGAGTTTTTAAATGTATAGTTCATTTAGAAAAGAATAGTGTCTTAATCTTCCAAAGTGACTGTTACTCTGTTTTTCTTCCATTTTAGAGATATTACATATGAAATATCAGTAGAAGCTATATCAACAATGGTTGTTTTCCTTTCCTGCCAACTCTTCCACAAAGAAGTTTTGCGACAGAGCATCAGCCACAAGTATTTGATGCGAGGTCCATGGTATGTTTCTACTTTAAGTATGTCTAGTTTTTTCATTGTATAAATCTATATTTCTAGTCTTGTCCTTTTACCTGAGTATCGTCCCATATCTCCAACCAGGTATTTCCTCTAGTTGTTCTATTGTCTCTTTAAACCCAGTGCATAGGGAACCGCATTCTACTTTCCTGTGCCATCTACCCATCCTCCCTGTTCTTCCTGTCCCGTAGCTTCATTACCTTCTCCAGTGGTTGCTTCGTAGAATTGAAACTTTGAAATCATCTTTTTCTTCCATCTCCTTCATTCTGTCTATGTTTAAGCAGTCAAGTCATATTTGTTATTCAGATTATTTTTGTATCTTCCTCTTCTCAGCAGTCCCTTTGAAACACCTGTGATCTATGCCCCCTTACTCTCTTTGGACTTCTCCAGCAGCCTCTTCGCTGACTATTCCTACTTCTTTGAGCCTGCAAATATTTGCTGTGTGCTATCCATGTGCCAGGCATGTTAGACTGTGGGGCTATGCTCTTGAGCAGAAGCTTACGATCTCCTAGAGGGTGTGGATGCAAATGACCAACACATATGCACATACCTGACCTTTTATTAACATAATCTTCACAAAACTTTAAAAATGTAAAACAAATCCAAATAAAGTACCTTTGAGGAAAGTTCTCAGATAGTGGGGAGCTTTGTCTTCTTCATATTCTTTTTGCTACCCTGATTATTCCTGTGGCATGTATGTTCTTTGAACATATTTGAAAATCACTGAGGGAAAGGATCTGGGCTTTGGAGTCAGAGGTTTGCATTGGAACCCTCTCTGACAGAGACACTCAGAATGACACTCAGAATGACCGTGGTTTGAAGTAGTGCTGGCATCGTGGGACTGTGTGCATCTTTGCTGAAACAAGATTGTGAACTTCATCCCTTATAGTGCCAGAGTATTCAAGTTGCTTTTTAAAAATAGACATAGAGGGTGTTAGTGTTCTTATTTTCTAAGTAAGGTTTTTATAGTATCATTATGGTGCCACATATTTAAACCGTAATATGTTCTTTACTTATTTTTGGGGTTCATCTTGGAAACCATATTTAAAAAGCTCAATAGTACATTAAAGAATCTGTTAAAAAGTTTACTCTATATTGCAGGAATTAGTTTAATACCAATTGAATAATTGAATAATTTCATACTTAAAAAGTGTAGTCCTATTGTTATTTTTAAATTCTTGCTTTTTTCTACTGATTCTTTATTACTACTTCCCTTCAATTGCCAGATAATGTGTTATGCACTAAATTTATAATAGCTCACAGTGTTATACCGAATGTAGATAAAGTAACTGGAGTTCAAGAGTTCAAGTGGGCTGGGCACGGTGGCTCACGCCTGTAATCTCAGCACTTTGGGAGGCTGAAGCGGGAGGATCGCTTGAGTTTAGGAGTTTGAGACCAGCCTGGGCAACATAGTGAGACCTTGTCTCTACCAGACCTTGTTTCTCCCCACTGCAGAAAAAAAGTATTTAAGTAATTTGATCAATATCTTATGATGTGATAAGAGGAAAAGCAAGGATTAAGCCTCAAAATTGCTCTCAAAGCCCATGGTCTTCACTGTTGTGTGCAGTGCTCAATTTCTGTGAGTTGTGCCAATAGCCCTTTTGTATTAACAGATAGTGTTAATGGCAGAATTATTTCTGTATTGTTATTCAGAATTAGATGACTCCCATAAATATGAGTTTGATTTTTTTTTCCTTTTTGTATAGTCTTCCATACACCAGCAAACTTGTGAAGACCTTATTATATAACTTTATCAGACAAGAAAAGCCACCTCCTCCAGGGGCCCATGTTTTCCCTCAGCAGTCGGATGGGGGAGGACTGCTTTATGGACTTGCATCAGGAGTAGCAAGTAAGTTTTATCAGATTTTTTCAATTCTTTGGTGCACATAAATTTTATCTATTTAGGCATAAGAAATTCTGTTTGCTTGGCTGCCACCATTAATAGTTACATTGAATTTGTGCAGCTGGTTCAATGTGAAAACAAAGTAATTAAAATATTAATCTTTCTGTTTTGTGCGGTGATTTATGTAAAATGTATGCAAATAATGAATGGATTACCTACAAAACATCGTTTTTCAGGAAGAATGTTTACACATAAATATGCGTATTGCATGAATTGTAGCTGTATAGTAAAAATAAAATTAAGCATTTGAAAACTTATAACACTACTTGTATTATAAGAGGAAATCTATTTTAGGTTATTTTAGGGTATATTTTGGTTAGGATTTCATGTGACTAATTAGGTGCAGTTTTCCTATTACACTAAGTGCTTTCTTCAGTGACAACTGAATATTTTGCAGAATTTTGTAATAAGCTGTGAAATGGCACAAACTTGAGTTTTGTTTGATTGGGTGCAGATTTCTTAAGTGAAGAAAGCTCTTCCCTACCTTACAATAAGTCCTCATTTCTGCTTCACTTCACAGTATTCAGACTACAGACACTAGAAGTAAGAGAGTAGTTCTGGTGGAGGGCCTGGGTCATGTGAAGTTATATAAATGAAACTTCCTAGAGCGACACTTTGGTACTTGTGAGGTCGGCCTGGGAGTTCCTTACTCCTCCCAAACCTGCAGCATGTCCTCTCCTTAATCACGCAGGACAGAGTCAAATGGAACACATTTCCACAGCTGCATTATGGCTGTGGCGTGCTCTACACTCCAGCTGGACATCAGTTTGATATGAAAAGGTAGCACTGTGATAACTTACTAGTGTTGGGAGCTTCTTTGGATTCAGAGACCTCTTCAAAAAGCAGTAGACTTGGTCTGTTAATTGACAGAAATCAGTGAACCAGACTTTCTTAGATTTGCCTTCCTTTGATTTCTTTTAATATTATGAATTGAGTCACACTTGTGATCACTTCTGCCTTTGGTGCTGAGCAGCCTGCCAAGAGTGCCACACCTGCATAGATTCTTTGAGTTACTCCTATCCAGTTTCCTCATTATTTCAGGGGCTTTTTGTGTCCCATTGGAAGGCTTAATTGATCTATTACTGTTTTCTTTTTTAAAAATCATTAAACTGGTATAAGTATTTAAAAGCTGAATATTTCCCAATATTCCAATATGGTTAGAGGTTTTTTTGGGGTGGCAGAGATAGTATAAGCCTGTAAGTGCTTTCTTCAAAACAATGGCAATACTTGGCAGTTTTTTAAAAAAGTAAACATGGATTTGTGTATGGTTTTTGGGTTTTCTTTCAGTTATGTATCATATCAAAGGGAACCCAGTATTGCATGTGGTATCATTAGTGTGCCAGGTGCCAAAAAACATGAATTTAACTTTAGATCTTTTCCTAACTAGATAGCAGGAAGGAAGCCCCTTAATTTTCCTAGCTCTCAGTTTCCTTGTCTATCTAATTAGAAGGTGGGTTGAGATGGTGATTTCTGAGATTATTACTACATAATTTTCTATGGTCTTTTTTTTCTCACGGTTTTAAAATTTAATATTCAGTTAAGTGCATTAAAATAGATTTATGGTTTTTAGTGTGCTATATAGTCACAAGACATTTTACACAGCTTTCTTCCTAAATCTTTATAAAACTATTCATGTAAAAGTATAAATCAAGATGGAGTAATTATGGATTCATTATTTCATGATATGTGTGACTCAAAGGATTATAAAAAAACAACAAAAGGACATTCTCCTAAAAAGCACAGCTACGTTCTCTGGGCAAAATGAAATGTAAAAACGATCACAGTCATGTAATTTTAAGTTAATCCACATTCCAGGAAAGTCAATCAAGTTGCCAGGATTTGACTTAAGTTGTGTGATCACTTCTGATGATCTTTTGGTTGGTAGTTAAAGAATTCTCTTACTTTACTATTGGCTTGAGAAAATATGATTTGGAAGTTCCTCACTGAAAAAAATTATATTCCAAAGCCAAATGTAAATTATAAACTCATTTGGATTATATTCATTTTTGTTGGGATTGAAGTTTTCCTGGATATAGCAAGCATTTCTTTTCATAGCAGTGTGTGCATTGTATGTGTTGCTTACATTATTTCCTTTGAAACAGAGTGCCTTGTTGTAGAAAACCTTACAGTTCCGGAGTGAAATTTGTTGTCACTGACAGGGCAGGAGGAGAATCCTTGTACTGGAACTGCGGCTGGATGAGTAGTGAACCACTTGCTTGGACCCTCCTATGAGTCAGGCAAGGCCTTCTGCAGTTTCTTCTCATTTACTTTTACAGATGTGTTTTTGGTTATCCTTTTGTTTGTTTCTGAGACTCTGTGAAAGAGTCTGTTACTTTGTTGCACCCTGATACTCTCCTTTTGCTTTCTTCTTTTTTTAAATTATACTTTTTCTAGGGTACATGTGCACAACGTGCAGGTTTGTTACATATGTATATATGTGCCATGTTGGTTTGCTGCACCTGTTAACTCGTCATTTACATTAGGTATTTCTCCTAATGCTATCCCTCCCCCCTCCCCCCCACCCCACAACAGGCCCCAGTGTGTGATGTTCCCTGCCCTGTGTCCAAGAGTTCTCATTATTCAGTTCCCAGCTATGAGTGAGAACATGCGGTGTTTGGTTTTCTGTCCTTGCAATAGTTTGCTCAGAATGATGGTTTCCAGCTTCATCCATGTCCCTGCAAAGGACATGAACTCATCCTTTTTTATGGCTGCAGAGTATTCCATGGTGTATATGTGCCACATTTTCTTAATCCAGTCTATCACTGATGGACATTTGGGTTAGTTCCAAGTCTTTGCTATTGTGAATAGTTGCCACAATAAACATATGTGTGTGTGTGTCTTTATAGTAGCATGATTTATAATCCTTTGGGTATATATCCAGTAATGGGATGGCTGGGTCAAATGTTGTTTCTAGTTCTAGAACCCTGAGGAATCGCCACACTGTCTTCCACAATGGTTGAACTAGTTTACAGTCCCACCAACAGTGTAAAAGTGTTCCTATTTCTCCACATCCTCTCCAGCACCTGTTGTTTCCTGACTTTTCAATGATTGCCATTCTAACTGGTATGAGATGGTATCTCATTGTGGTTTTGATTTGCATTTCTCTGCTGACCAGTGATGATAAGCATTTTTTCATGTGTCTGTTGGCTGCATAAATGTCTTTTGAGAAGTGTCTATTCATATCCTTTGCCCACTTTTTGATGGGGTTGTTTGATTTTTTTTCTTGTAAATTTGTTTAAGTTCTTTGTAGATTGTGGATATTAGCCCTTTGTCAGATGAGTAGACTACAAAAATTTTCTCCCATTCTGTAGGTTGTCTGTTCACTTTGATGGTAGTTTCTTTTGCTGTGCAGATGCTCTCTTTTTTCATGCCTTCACTAGGATAGAACAGTTGCTTGGAGTCCTCCTTACTTCTCTCTCTGGCTCTTTATTTTCTGCCCATTCATCCATTAAGGACCGTCTTGAGTTCCACCTTCTCCATGAAGAACTTCCTTTGCTCTCCTGGCTAGATGCGATCTTTTCCTCTAACGCTTTACCACTATACCACTCTGCTTTGTAGTAACTTATGTACATGCATCATTCTCCCTGTGTTGGCTCCACATACAATAAAATGAGAACTAATGTTTATATAATATGAGTTTACAGTGCCACGTTTTGAGCATCTCATTTATTCTCATAATAGGCTCATCTATCAGAAATAGTTGGTTTTAATTTTTTAATGATGGATGAAGAGATTTTCCTGGTTAGTATGTTATTTTGTCTAAGATTACATAGGAAATAGATGATGTTGGCTCGTTAATTTAAGCTCAGTTCATCAGACCCCTGAGCCTTTGCTGTTTCTGCCTTTTGTTCTTGTGATCACCCAAGTCCTGAGGGCATAAGCTCCTTGACTTGTGTGGGTGTCCCCTGCAGTATCCAGCAGAGCGCCATCCAACATCTGTGGACTGTAGTGAATACTGGTGTGCAATTAAATGCCAAAAGCTCATACTCAAGATAGATGTGAACTCAGTTGTAAGAATGATGTCTGTCATTTGCTGAATGCCTTCTGTTTGCCAGGCACTGTGGTAGCTACTTTACATACCTGATTTCATTTATTCTTTATTTTTCTTTTCTAACATTTTATTACAGAAAATTTCAAAGATGTATAGAGTAGATGCCAGGTGCAGTGGCTCATGTCCGTAATCCCAGTGCTTTGGGAGGCTGACGTGGGTGGATCGCTTGAGCTCAGGAGTTTGAGAACAGCCTGGGCAGCATAGTGAGACACCACCTCTATAAAAAACACAAAAATTAGCTGGACGTGGTGGTGCGCGCCTGCAGACCCCGCTACTTAGGAGTCTGAAGTGGGTAGTTCGCTTGAGCCTGGAAGGTCGAGGCTGCAGTGTGCTGTGATCACGCCACCGCACTCCAGCCTGAGTGACAGACTTTGTCTCAACAACAAAAAAACAAAAACAAAACAAAACCCTAAAGATATACACAGTAGAGAGAATGGTAGAATGAACTCCCATCTACCCACAACCCCTGCTCAAGAATGATCAACAATCTTTTTTTCCCATTTATCTGCATTCTCCTACTTAAAAAAAAATTTTATTTTGAAATAAGTTCACACATATAGAAAAGTCCCCAAAATAAAAATATCACAAAAAACTATATGTAACTTTATCCAGATTGATTTATTGTTAACATTTTATCCCATTTGTTGTGTTTTTTCTCCTCTTCTGTCTCATTCTGTACTTTCTTCTCTCTCTCTCCCCCTTTCTCTTTCTCTCCCCCCACCACACACACACACACACACACACACACACACACACACACACACACGGTTTTTTAAAATCATTTGAGGATAAGTTACATGCATCGTAATATCCCTTTACTCCTAAATACTTTAATGTGTATTTCCTGAAAGAGGATATCGCTTATGCTACCACAGTATACTTACCAGCTTCAGTAAATTTAGCATCCAACTGTCCTTAAAAGCCATTTGCTTCTACGTCAATAAAAATAAGAAAATGGATATTTTCCTCTGTATTTTAAAGTCTCCTTTATTGAGTATAGCGTTATTTGTATTTCACTTAAGTTGAATTTTTACAATTAGGTATTCTTGTAACCACTCTGCTATCAATTTATCTATCTTACACTAAAAGCCCCATGAGGCAGGATCCACCTCTCTTCCTTCTGTTTATTATTGGCACTGCAGTACTCAGTGAGTGCTTGGTTGGCATTCAATCAGAATGTAATAAATAACTGGAAGAATTACTAATACCTTTTAATTACCACTAGTAAGTTTTTAAAATTAGTGTAATAGAAATTAACTTATAGATTTTAGGTTTTTTTTTTTTAAGCTTTTCAAATGTGTCAAGTGTGGTTTACTTCAGTCACTGGAAGTGGTTAGAATGAATTATATATTAATATATTTATCTTGTGTTATATCTATGCTAGGTGCAAGCAAAGCTGTATTAGTAATTTTCCAGTACAAGAAAAAATTGTTTCCTTTCTGTTTAGTTTAACTATTCTTCTAATATGCTGACAAAATGGAAAAAGAATTAATTGATATATTACTTTACTAATTAGAAGAGGGTGTTGCAGTTTTAATTAATTTGGTATTTTTAAATGAACTTTTTACTGAATCATAGAATTCCAGAACCACCTGGCATACTTAAAAAAAAATATGTGTTGTAGTTAGAACTTGGAGTTTCTGATTCATTAGACATGAGGTGGGACCTGGTAATTCGCACCTTCAGTAATTATTCTAGGTGATTCTGATGTATCCGAGTCATTTCAGCACCGCTGATGAATGCATCCTCCTTTCCAGTTCCTGAATCTCTTCTGCTGTGGGCCTTTCATGGCATGTGGTTGAGCCAGTACTACTAACTACTGAGGAAATGTGTTGTTTCGAGGCAGCTTATGGTGGATTTAATGGACCCCTCCTCGTGTATTCCCTTGGTTTCTGTTCTTAGTGTGCTCTGTTGCTGATGAGGTCCAGTTTTCAGGATAAATCTGACAATGAGTGCAGTACTCTAACATGGAATAAATAAATTGGAACTCTAACTTCCCTGATTCTGGACTCTACGTTTAAAAAAATAAATCTAAATGCACACTAACTCTTTTGGTGCTAATATCAGTTATTAATAAATTTTTTGCCTATTTTATCATCTAAGCCTTTTCCAGATCTGTAGTTTTTATGTGCTATCTTCCTTTTTCAAACTTTATATATAAAGGTATGGCTCTCTGTGTAGCTCAGTGAGATTCAATTTTGTTAGGTGTGTGGCCCATAATTACAGCCAAGATTTGCTCTTATTTTCAGCTGCAGATGATCATTAAACCTATATTTTGGGGCTTTTTGCTTTTCTTCAGGATTGTGTCCTTGGTACCATATTGAGAGAGGAGTAGCACATTTTAATTCTTGTGTGGAGAGCAGAGTGTTTCTGTAGCTGTCACGTGTAAAATAACAACAAAAGTGAATGTAACTAGGGATTTTTTGACTGTTTTTTATAGAATAGATTTCATTTGCTGGAAGCCTGGTAAGGATTTGCTGTGAGGTCAGTAGCCTGGGTTTTCCAGGCAGCAGACTTTAGAGTTAATAAGGAACAAGGATTCCTATAGTTTCCCCTGTGTTTTAGGACTTACCCACAGGAATCTTTGCAAAACTGGAGCTAGTAGTACACCTGGTGGTGGGAGGTGCCTGGGAGCCTCTTAGGGGTTCAAATCCCCCCAATATCTCACCCTGGATTATTATTATCCCGGGACCTCTCAGATGCCTTTTCTCATCTCCCACTCCTGGACATCCTGGTGGCTAAGGGTGGGTTCTAGAGCCTGATAATCAGAATCAGAAGATTTGGGATAGAGTCATAGCTCAGCATGACCTTACCAAGTTCTCCAGCATTTAAAATCTCATTACCTTATGTGTAATGCTGATAAATATGAGACCATTTGAACAGAGTTATTGTGAGGAATAAGTGAGATATTATATACAAAATAGAAAATTATACAACATCTATTCCCATGTAAATAACTGTTTTTGTTTTCTGCCCTGAAGCTGTGCTGGTGCTTATTAGTTAAAATAGAAAGAAAGAAAATAAATTTAATTAGAACAACAGCTAATGATCAGAAAATCCTGGACAAATTTATATAAGACAATTTAAAAATTTAAGAACTTTGAATCTTTTTGGTCTGCTCAAATTTGAAATTTATGTTAAAAATATTTTTGAAAAACTGACAAAAGTGAATATGCCAGCCATGTTTTCTCCAACTGGCTTTTCATTTTATGTGGTGCAAAATTTGGCCAATAACAGTTAAAAAAGGAAAATTTGATTGTTAAACAGATATTGCCCACAAGAGATTTCTCCTTGCTTCCTAAGTGAACTTGCCTTGACAACAATCACTATGGTACCATTTCTTATTGACTAATTTATCTAAAAGGTTATTATATTTGCCTTGACAGTTTGTTTATAAAATTTGCCAATTAAAGATTTTCATAAAGAAAATATTTGATGCAGACTCAACTGGAATTACAATAAATATTTCAAATGTTTCAAACTAATCAATGATATCAGTATTATGGGTAGCCTTAAGTATAGTCAGTACGGCAGTTAATAGTTAATTCTTTCTTTAATCTACGAGCACATCACCCTGCCGTGTTAAAGATTTTTTTTTTTTTTTTTTTTTTTTTTTTTTTGAGACAGAGCCTATCTGGCTCTGTCACTCAGGCTGGAGTGCAGTGACATGATGTAAGCTCACTGCAACCTCCGCCTCCCAGGCTCAAGCGATTGTCGTGCCTCAGCTGCCTGAGTAGCTGGGATTATAGGCACCTGCCACCATTCCTAATTTTTTATGTTTTTACTTGAGACATGATTTCACCATGTTGGCCAGGCTGGTCTTGAACTCCTGACCTCAAGTGATCTGCCCGCCTTGGAGCTGGAATTACAGGCATCAGCCATCATGCCCATCCGTTAAAGATGTTTTATAAAGCAAATGACTGAAGACCCTTACTTCCATAATTTGTTATGTTATGGGACAGGATGTTAGATGGTAAAGTATTGTCTTAGCTTGGGCTAATGTAACAAAATACCGTAGGCTGGGTGTCTTGAACAACAGAAATGTATTTCTCACAGTTCTGGAGGCTGGGAAGTCAGAGATCCAGGTGCCAGGAGATTCACTTCTTGGTGTAGAACCCTATTCCTGACTTGCAGATGTCCACCTTCTTGCTGTGTCCTCACAGGGCAGAGAAAGGAAGCTCTGGTCTTTTCTTTTGAGGGCACTAAGCCCATCATGGGGGCTCCACTCTCACGATCTCATCTAAGCCTAATCACCTTCCAAAGCTCCACCTTCTAATCCCTTCACATTGAGACCTGTGGCTTCAAGATAGGAATTTTGAGGGTGACACAAAAATTCAGTCCATACCAGGTATTAAGTAGCTTGTGCTGGAATGCTCCTCACTGAAATTCTCAATTTGGAAGGCTACTGATCTCTTCTGCATGTTGGCATCTAAGGTACCTTTCAGCTCTAGTCATTATCTTAAACCACAGCTCTGCTTAGTGGTGTTGGTGAGGACTGTGGCCAAAGTGGATCACTCACTACCCATTCTAACCCTGCTAACTTGTTTTTTTGTTATGTTTTGTTTTTGTTTTTTAAAAAACAAAAAACAAAACAAAACAGGCCAAAATGTGTAAGGAGCCCCTCAGAAAACAATTCTGTGATTGAAACACGTTATTCTCTTTTCTAATTTTGAGGGCCACCACTTACATTGTCCTTTGGAGGATCTAGCTATGGGTTACAATAATTTGGTATTACAGAAGAGGGACGTACTGGACTGTAGATGTTTGTGTTAGGTAGACCTGGAATTGAATGCCAGACCTGCTATTTATTAACTGAGTGTTCTTGGGCTATTAACCTTTCAATAACTTAAATTCCTCACAATAAAATGAGAATAATACCTTCCTTTGTGGGGCTGCTGAGATCAAATGAGCAAATGTGTAGGAAAAAGACTGGTATCTTGGAAGTATACAATAAATGGTCACTATTAGTATCAGATATTATTACCTGGTAATATTTAAAATATAACTTTTGTTTTAAAAATACTGAAAAATAAAGGCCTTATGATTTCCAAGTTTATTCAGATTTTTAATGTAAATAAATTATGAAAATTATCAGATGTTTGGTATATACACTGTTTATATATTGTAATATAACATACATATAATAATGTATACAATAAATATATAATAGAGATTCAGGTAGATGATGAAAGAAATATGTTGAAAATTTGATACCATGAGGTGAAATAAGTTGTAACATTTATTTTATTTTATTTTTTTTCATTTGATTCTGTCCTTACCACTTTGGACTTTTCTTTTAATATATTTTTCTCCAATGTCTAAAAAAGGGGTGAAGCAAGGAAGTGTTGACTTTGAAATTTCTTCTGTGTTTTAAGTTATAAGACAAAGCTGTAATGTCATTATAATTATTTCATATTTTGAAGAGTCAAATCTAATTAAATGTGTTCTGCCAAACTTCACTTTCCACCACAAGTACTGAGGTTTTACACAATAACTTCTGATATATGGTTTTTCCATTTGAATGAGCCATCCAAAAAAATTTTTTTTTTCCTTTGCTTGCAATGGTGGGTGTCCAAGCCAAATTATAAGGCCAAAGGAGTGTTTATTTCTTTAGGCAAATGCTATGATAGAGAAATTCATACAGTAGAACTTGAAGATTAAAACTCATATTCCTAATTTCTGTTTTTGAGAAAGCTGTTGAATTCATTGTGATGGGTATGGTATGCAGTAATTATAATGTATTTTACTTGATTGTTATTTTTCTCTTCAGTTTTGGCTTTTTCTAGGGTGACTCATTGAGAGAGAAAAACTACAGTAAGAGAAAAAGTATGTGGCAATCAGAAACAGGCATAGTTGTGAAAATAACAGATTTCTAATTAAAACACTTCTAACTTTCAAAAAAGAAACTGCTTAATAAACAATAATTATATTCTCATTTCATCTCTATTTGGAATAATTTGAGAGATTTTACGTGCTCACAGAAAGAATGACTTTTTTCCCCCCCTTTTCAGGATTGAACTCATTTTGTGACTTATAAAATATAGTTAATTTCTGTTTACTGTTTCTGTGCAGTGGTTCCTTGCAGGGATACATTGATGATTTGGAATAGTGTTTATGATGCAAAAGAACTATATTTAGTTGTAGAGTAGTAATAAAAATTATTTTATTTTTAATTGCTCTTTGACAAAAGTATGGTTTCAGATTTTAGACTTCTTAAAAGGTGTTTTAAAAATGATATTCATTGGAAATAATCTAATGTCAAAATACAGCTTTGTTATCTTTTTTTCTTGTAATTTGCTGACAACCACTTTTAAACCAGTTCCCAGGATTGGCTTTGGGAATCATTAAGCCCACCTTCTACTCTCATTTTCTTGTTAACAGATTTGAAGGGAAGACTGATGGCCTCTTTCATGCTACAAATAGTTGAAGAATGAATTAGTTTGTATTTACAAGGAGGAATATAGAATAAAGCAATCAATTGCAGATGAAATCCTGGGATAAGTTTCTGAGACTTGCTACAAGTGCCATTTATTTGGTGCTAATGATTTAATCTATTTTTGAGACTGAGTTGTAAATTGTAGAATTTAAAAATATTTAAAAGTGAGAATATTAAAATTGAAATTATGGAATTCTATTTTTTGAGACTATAAATCTTATTCTTTGAAAAATGAAGTGGTTAAAACTTATTTGCTTTGAAACTGTTAAATTATATCCCAGTCAAGTGAGTGTAAACTTTTATTAAGCAGCTGTTTTAATTTATGTTTATTTCAGAATGGATGCTTGGAGTAAATTTAAAGATTAAATTTATTCAAGGTTACTCACTGACAGAATTTGTGTATGGTAGGAAAAATCCTCAAACTATAGCTTGTGTAGTTTTGAGACTACCTTTTACATGAATAATTCTTAATATTTATAATTACATAAATATTTTTTTCGAAGACTAACGGTAAGAGTTATTCAAAACTTTCCCTTTTAAAATAGAATCAGGCCAGCCACGGTGGCTCACACCTGTAATCCCAGCACTTTAGGAGGCCCAGGCAGGCGGATCACCTGAGGTCAGGGGTTCGAGACCAGCCTGGCCAACATGGTGAAACCCCATCTCTACTAAAAATACTAAAATTATCTGGACTTGGTGTTGCACCTGTAATCCCAGCTATTCTGTAGGCTGAGATGAGAGGATTACTTGAACCCGGGAGATGAAAGTTGCAGTGAGCCAAGATTGTGACATTGCACTTCAGCCTGGGTGTCAGCGCGAGACTCTGTCTTGATTAAAAAATAATAATAATAAATAAATAGAATCACTGTGTTTCTGCAACTTAACTTTGACATACATTAATAAAATAAGTTACATTTATGGATGAATAGAGGGATTGATAGATGGATAGAGATATTATCACAAATACAGCAAAATGTTAATGTAAAATCTTGGAGCTGAGTTTATGGGTATTCATTATAGAGTTTTTTGACTTTTCTATATGTTTGACTATTTTCATAATAAGTGTTGGAGGAAAATAGAATCACTGTGAGGATGAATTACTGTTGTAAATTTCAGTTTGTCTATTAAAAATGTATATCTTAATCTTTAGTCCTTCCAGAAGTGCTAGGTAAGACAGTATATGAAGAATGTGGGGTCTGATCAGACCTGACTGCACGCTAATAAGCTCTATACTTGGGAAAGTTATGTAATTTCTCCAAGCTTTTCCCTATCTTTAAAAACGGAATGATGATGCTTTATAGGATTATGGCACATGGCTCTTCATTTTTCCCCTCTTGTACTTGTTCATAATCTTTGTGATACCATGGTCCTTAAAGTCCTGTCAAACACAATTGGACAAGTGGTGGAGAGAGAGCAGAGTGCCATTCATCATGGTGCTTAGCAGCCTTCATCTCACTTCTGCAGGACACAGGGGTCCCATACTTGACAAAAGGAAGAGAGGGAGAGAAGCAGCTGTCCCTCTTCACTAGCAGGGTGGTGGATTGGAAGAGGATACGACTTTTGGCATCAGAAAGGTCTCAGCTGGAAACCAGGCCCTGCCTTTTGCAAGTTGAGTCACCTTGAGCAAGTTATTTAACTTTGCTGAGCCCCAGTTTCCTCATTTAAAAATGGAACTTAGAGTATCTTTGTCTGTGGGCTTTTGTCACATTTAAATAACGTGTGATAAGTGTCCAGAACAAAATGCGAGCTGAAAACAAATACTCGTTTACCATTCACCTACTTCATCTTTTTTTCTCCCTCTCATCTATGTCAATTTCTTTAGTTTTCCAAACAACCTTAAATGTTTTTATCTTTCTTGTTTCATGGTCCTTTAGCCTTTCAGCTTGCAAAATTACCTGCAAAATTAATGTAATTTCCCCTTTTTTAGATTATTAAAAAGGATAATAAGTGCAGATTAACCCCAGTAGCACCCTTCACCATAACTTCATCAAATTGGAAGCCTTGCTAGCTATCAGTATCATTTTTCAGGCCTATTAACATTTTTCAGGACAATTAACTCTAGTCCTTGTGCTGTACTTTAGATCTAGTTTGTTTATTTTAGAAAGTGTAGACTAGCAGATATTAGCTTTAAGAGAGCAGTTGTCTTCAATAGTAACTGTTTGAAAGTGTAAAGCTTTGCAACAATGTTTCTAAAAGTAGAAATAATGTTACCTATTTATGGCCGGTTGCGTGGCTCACGCCTGTAATCCCAGCACTTTGGGAGGCCGAGGTGGGTGGATCACAAGATCAGGAGTTCAAGACCAGCCTGGCCAAGATGGTGAAACCCCGTCTCTACTACAAATACAAAAAAAAAAATTAGTTGGGCGTGGTGGCAGGTGCCTGTAATCCTAGCTACTCGGGAGGCTGAGGCAGGAGAATTGCTTGAACTCAGAGGGCGGAGGTTACAGTGAGCCGAGATCGTGCCACTGCACTCCAGCCTGGGCGACAGAGTGAGACTCTGTCTCAAAAAAAAAAAAAAAAAAAAAGAAAAAGAAATAATGTTACCTGTTCATATACATGTTTATCAAGAGAGATGCTATTTGAGTAACTAAAAAATTGTGGGGTTATCACTTACTTTTCAAGATAATTTCTTAAATAAAAAATTGTGGGACCCTTATTTTTAAAGATAATTTCTTTCTCTCTCTCTCTCTCTTTTTTGTGGGGGGACAGAGTCTTGCTGTGTCACCAGGCTGGAGTGCAGCGGCGCCATCTCGGCTCACTACAACCTCTGACTCCCTGGTTCAAGTGATTCTCCTGCCTCAGCCTCCCAAGTAGCTGGGATTACAGGCACACGCCACCATGCCCAATTAATTTTTGTAATTTTTTTTAGTAGAGATGGTGTTTCATCATTTTGGCCAGGATTATCTTGATCTCCTGACCTCTCGAGCTGCCTGCCTTGGCCTCCCAAAGTGCTGGGATTACAGGCGTGAGCCACCATGCCCAGCTTAAAGATAATTTCTAGACCTGGTTTGTTCTCAAGTCTCCTATTCTTGTCTTCTCTCAGTTTCCCATATTGTTCGGATCCTTCTTCATTGCTCTTGGCTTAATAGCCCCTGCATTTCCTGCCTTAGTTTGCTTCTGTGTATCCTGAACAACTGCTTGCATCTCTGGGTTGCCATGATGCTGTAAGCAATGGTGGCTCCAGGAGAAACATTGTGGTCATGAGTTTGTGGACCTTGGGGCAAGGGTGTGGGGTATCAGGTGTAGGCATGGAGCAGAGTGAAATGGAGTAGAGAATTAGAGTGGAGAGATGGTAGGGTCTATGTAGAATCATCTGTTTTCCTGGGTAGCCATTGGTTCTTAAACTGCCCTAGGCTTCTCTGTTACCTAACTACTATCCCCTCTAGAATATGAAGAATGTGTTATAAGCAGGAGTTGCTTATTGTACCTGCACCCTCAGTGCATTAGCAGAGAGCCTGGGTTATGGAAGATACTAAATATTTGTTAAAAGGATGAATGCCATCAAGCCTTTGTTAGAATGATATGAGCAGTCTTGAAAATCTGGATGGCTTAGCCGGGCATGGTGGCAGGCACCTACAGTCCCAGCTACTTGGGAGGATGAGGCACGAGAATTGCTTGAAAGAAAGAAAGAAAGGAAGGAAGGAAGGAAGGAAGGAAGGAAGGAAGGAAGGAAGGAGAGGAGAGGATAGGAGAGGGAGGGAGGGAGGGAGGGAGGGGGGAGGGGGGAGAGAGAGAGAGAGAGAGAGAGAGAGAGAGAGAGAGAGAGAGAGAAATCTAGATGGCTAAGGACTAGGGCAGTACCATTATATGAGTTGATTGTTTTAGTTAAAGACTTTTGGCAAACCTTCATTTCCAGGCCCACTTCTCACTGTTGCCCCATTTCAGATGCCTTCTCTACTTCTGCACCCCTGCCAAAGATTCTGTCAGGAATTTCTTTCATCCTCTTCTCTGAGAATTTGACTGTGTCTCACCACATTCACTGCTAACTTTCTACCAAAAATTGTTAAAATCCATCAACCACTTAAGGCTCCACTATCATTCTCTTTATGGTTGTATCTTTATCCTTTTAATTCTTTACATTTTACTTTAAAAATTAATAGACTTTATTTTTTGGAGCAGTTCTAGGTTTACAGAAAAATGAGTGGAAAATACATACAGTCCTCATATACAAATTTCCTCTTCAAGTTTCCGCTGTTAGCATCTTCCATTAGTGTACTACATTTGTGACAGTTGACAAGCCAATATTGATACATTATTTTGGACTAAAGTCCATAGTTTAGGGTTTATTCTTTGTGTTGTACAGTACTCAGGGTTTAGACAAATGCATAATTTCCCCAAATTGGAAGCAACCAAGATGTCCTTCTACAGATGAGTCAAACTGTGGTACATTCATAAAGTGGAATTTTATTCAGCAATAAGAAGAAAAGAGCTGTTAAGCCAGGAAAAGACATGGAAGAACCTTAAATGCCTATAGCTAAAGGAAGGAAGCCAGTCTGAAGAGGCTGTCTATACTGTATGATTCAAATTATATGACATTCTGGAAAGTGCAAAAAAAAAAGAGAGATAGTAAAAAGATCAGTGATAGCCAGGGGTTCAGGGGGAGGAGAAGATACATAAGTAGGTAGAGCACAGAGCATTTTGGGGCAGCAACACTATTCTGTATGATGTGATGATATATCCTGCTGTTTAGCTGTAAACTTGATCACATTTCTCCTATTGTTATAAACTTCAGTAAACGTTGTTTTTATTATCTCTTCTGTGTGGATTTACTATCATTTATTTAAATTGCATCTTATGTGCATTTAGATGGTTTATAAATGCTTGCGTAAGTATCATTGCAGTAAAACATCTTTTTACGTGATGTTTTTCTTCTATAATTTGGAAGTTTTTTCAGATATATTAGTTCTGGGGCATTTTGATGGAGGCCTTCAGTTTTACAAAATAAGCCAGTGAAAACTTACATTCCCTTTCTTTTTGATTTTTGTAAAATATTTCTCTATATTTAACTTGAAAAGTATTCATGATTTTTTTTTGTGTGTGTGTGACTGCGTCTCACTCTGTCACCCAGCCTGGAGTATAATGGCGCGATCTTGGCTCACTGCAACCTCCGCCTCCCAGGTTCAAGCGATTCTCCTGTCACAGCCTCCCGAGTAGCTGGGATTACAGGCATGCGCCGCCACGCCCGGCTAATTTTAGTATTTTTAGTAGAGATGGGATTTCACTGTGTTGGCCAGGCTGGTCTTGAACTCCTGACCTCAAGCAATCTGCTCACCTTGGCCTCCCAAAGCACTGGGATTACAGGCGTGAGCCACTGCACACGGCCTATTCATGAATATTTTATTTTATAAAATACATGTATATTTTTAGCAAACTTGGGTATTTTATTGTCCTGGCACTTCCATTATATTTCTAAAAGAAAACACTTGTTTCATATTTTTCTTCAATAGACTGGTTTTCTCTAATTCAGTAACAAAGTGTTGACACAGGGTTCCAATTATATGGTTATCACTGAGATGTTTTCAGATTGTCAATGATTATATGAGTATTTTGGTACAACAAAATGATATACTATGATTCATTTGCTTTTAAGTTATGTTTTTGTGTTTTAAATTTTTATTTGTATGTTTTATTTAAGATTCTGGCAGAATTAGAAAATAATTGTGCTAATTATTTGAAATGTATTTATTTTGAAAGATTTTTTAAAATCACGTCTTTTAGTCTTTCATGTAGTCAGTGCAGAGCAGCGTAATTTAAGTAATCAGACCATAAATGTTGATAGTTTTTTATGATGGGCAAAGATAGGTGGAAAGAGGTGACTTCTCTGGAAAAAACATCTTTGTTCTTGCGTCTGAAGTTTGTAACATCACATACATCTTCATAGTACATAAAACTCAATATTTAAGAAATATATTACATTTTCTTACTACGGATGTTGCCATGCCTATTTTTCCTCCCATACCCGGTAGGCAGGTTAGATGTAGTTCTGATATTGAATGATAAAAATACCATACAATTTTTTGTGCATGGGAATTTAAATTTATGGAACCTAACATGTATGTTAAATGGTTAAAGAAATAAGCAATCTTTCTTTCTTCTTTTTTTTTTTTTAACACAGGGTCTTGCTCTGTCACCCAGGCTGGAGTGCAGTAATGTGATCTCAGTTCACTGCAACCTCCGCCTCTCGGGCTTAAGCGATCCTCCCACCTCAGCCTTCTGAGTAGCTGAGACTACAGGCATATGCCACTATACCCAGCTAATTTTTGTATCTGTTGTAGAGACTGGGTTTTGCCATGTTGCCCAGGCTGGTCTCGAACTCCTGAGCTCAAGCCATCCACCTGCCTCGGCCTCCCAAAGTTCTGAGATTATAGGCCTGAGCCACCACCCCTCAGACACCGGCCTGGCCTTTAAGCAATCTTAGTAAACATGATTGCAACACACAAAAAGAGTGAGCCAAACAGAAAAGAGAATGAAGAGCTCTAATGACCTTGGGATTCTTGGTATAACTTCCAGAGATGTACAGAAGCCAATCATACGATATGAATGTCTGAATTCCCCCTGCTGGTTCTGTGTGGAGCTAGATGTTGCTTATTGGACTGGAGATGTAATTTTACTCTTATTTTGCATAAAGCGAAAATGAATTAAATCTCTTTCAAAATTAGGCAAATATTGTAAACAGTACAATTGCCAAACTGGAAATGAATGTTACATTTAAATTATGAAAGAAGGCAGTGTGCCAATAGGAAATATTACTTTGTTAAGAATGTAGTTAGGTTCAGCTGCTTTGGTCTTTATTTAGTAAAACTGAATATGTATCTACTCTTTAACACACTGTCTCCATTCTTAGATGTACTCCATAGGAATTCGCACGTGTGTACCAGGAAGCCCATATAGAAACATTCCTAGCAGCATTCTTTGTAATGGTCTCAGGCTTGAAGCAAGTCAGAAGACCATCAACAGTGGCATGGATAAAAAGTATTATGTTCAATGTACACAGCTGAAGGACCTACAGCTACTCATATAAACCTGGATGACTCTTACAGCACAATGTTGAGTGAAAAGCAGCTTGAAAAAGAACACATATAGTGTGAAAGTTCAATAGGCAAAACTGTATTTTTTGAAAACTGGCAAAATTAAACTATGTCATTTAGGGTTTTATTTACAGGTGGTTCTGTGTGTAAAGAAAAGGGAGGGAATGATTATCATAAACTTGTAAAATAATATTTGATAGGGAAGAAACTACCTATCCCTAGTTGGCCTGGCTGGTCTTGAACTCCTGACCTCAGGTGATCTGCATGCCTTGGCCTCCCAAAATGCTGGGATTACGGGTGTGAGCCACCGCGCCTGGCCACTTGTGTTTTTTTCATGTGATGTTTACAATAGCCCTTGGAGGTAAGTGGTGCAAGACAAATGTCATCTTTATTGGTAATTTTATTTATACCAGTGGCTTTGTTACCAGACCCCACCACTTACCCAAAGTTAGCCCTGGGTCAGGGGTTTCCTCATCATTGTCTCTTCTGTGGGTCACCAAAAAGATGTTACCAGAAAGGGGTCCCGATCCAGATCCCAAGAGAGGGTTCTTGGATTTTGCACAAGAAAGAATTCTAGGTGAATCCATACAGTAAAGTGAAAGCAAGTTTATTAAGAAAGTAAATGAATAAAAGAATGGCGACTCCGTAGACAGAGCAGTCCTGAGGGCTGCCGGTTGCCCATTTTTATGGTTATTTCTTGATGATATGCTAAACAAGGGGTGGATTATTCATGCCTCTTTTTAGACCATATAGGGTGATGTCTTGACAGGTTTTGGCCAGGTTTTTTACTGCAGCCCTTTTTTTTTTTTTTTTTTTTTTTTTTTTTTTTTTTGTGACAGAGTCTTGCTCTGTTGCCGAGACTGGAGTTCAGTGGTGCGACCTTGGCTAACTGGAACCTCCGCCCCCCTGGTTCAAGTGATTCTTCTGCCTCAACCTCCTGAGTAACTGGGATTACAGGTGTGCGCCACCACGCCCAGTTAATTTTGTATTTTTAGTAGAGATGGGGTTTCACCATGTTGGTCAGGCTGGTCTTGAACTCCTGATCTCGTGATCCGCCTGCCTCGGCCTCCCAAAGTGCTGGGATTACAGGCATGAGCCACCATGCCCGGCCTACTGCAACCTGTTTTATCAGCAAGGTCTTTATGACCTGTATCCTGTGTTGACCTCCGGTCTCATCCTGTGACTCAGAATGCCTTAACCTCCTAGGAATGCAGTCCAGCAGGTCTCGGACTTATTTAACCTAGCTCCTATTCAAGATGGAGTTGCTATGGTTTAAATGCTTCTGATAGCTTCAAGGATTAATTACAAGTGCATGTACATAACGCCTTATCTCTGGCACCCACCTCTCTTCTAACTTTGTGGCACATGTGATTAGGACTCTGTTAGTCTTAGAGGTACCTAAATCTGTGCTTCTATTCTACCTTTGCTGTCTCAGAAAACCTACCTTCCATTTAGCTCTCAAAGCCAAGAGCTAACCCAACTGATGCAGGATTTTTCTTCTTAGTCACTCTGCAAGTTGGGGACCCCTGGTGGTGATGCCCCGCCTGGGTCTTGCTTGGCCATGCTGACATGCCCCCGGTCACCTGTGTTATAGCTTGTACCCATGTTCAGCGGTTCCCAAGTTCTCGTACCATGCCCAAGAAGAATGAGGATATGCAGGACATTGAAGGGTGCGGAGGGCAGAGAAGAATTTTATTGAGCTATGAAAATGGCTTTCAGCAGAGAGGGGATGCATAGGGGATGCTTCCTTTACCTGAAGGTGGGAAAGTTCTCCCTGTGTGGCTGGGTCCAGGGTCTCTTATGGACTCAGACTGGGGAGTGTGTGCTGATTGGTTTGTGAGTATGCAAAAAAGGTTAAAGTGAAGACACCACTCAAAGGTGGACACGACAGTGTAGAAAACCAATTAGGAAAGGGTCAGTATATGTAAAATAGGTGAAGGGTGGGGACCAGTCAGGGGAAAGCACGCCAAACAGGAAGACAAGTTCTCAATCCGGTCTGAGGATTTAACTTGCAGCTTGGCTTTCAGGCTTTAAACTCTCTTTGGCTTAGAGGTGAAGTTTCACTGGGGACCTGCCCCTGTCTGCCTAGACATTTGGCTGCCTCCTGCTGCTCTCACAGCCTCTGTTCTTGATTTCATCCTTTACGTCCCCCAATCCCAATATACCCTCAGTTATACAGTCACACACAGTGCATCAACATAAGCAATAGTGAAGTTTATCAGCTATACCAGTGTCTGTAGCTTTCCTAGAGATAAAGATGGCCAGTGTATGAGAAAAGAAAAAAAGTTACCAGGAAAATATAAATGTCTTAAGTTTGTAGGTACTTCTCAATTTTACCTCCAGATCATCTGTCTGCCCCTTCCTCTCATAACCTTAAACTTCATCATCTCTCATGTGAATTCTTTTTTTTTTTTTAATTATTATACTTTAAGTTCTAGGGTACATGTGCATAACGTGAAGGTTTGTTACATATGTATACATGTGCCATGTTGGTGTGCTGCACCCGTTAACCCATCATTTACATTAGGTATATCTCCTAATGCTATACCTCCCCCTCCCCCCACCCCACAACAGGCCCTGGTGTGTGATGTTCCCCACCCTGTGTCCAAGTGTTCTCCTTGTTCAGTTCCCACCTATGAGTGAGAACATGTGGTGTTTGGTTTTCTGTCCTTGTGATGGTTTGTTCAGAATGATGGTTTCCAGCTTCATCGATGTCCCTACAAAGGACATGAACTCATCCTTTTTTATGGCTGCATAGTATTCCATAGTGTATATGTGCCACATTTTCTTAATTCAGCCTATCATTGATGGACATTTAGGTTGGTTCCAAGTCTTTGCTATTGTGAATAATGCTGCAATAAACATCTTTTATGTGAATTCTTACAGACCTACCTTTTGTTACAGTTTTTTCCACACTTTTCTTTTGGAGAGAACTTTCTAAAACAGCTAAAACTTTATTGTGTTGGCTCTCTTATTTATACTCTTGGTGTGGATCTCACTGATAATAAGATTGTAAAGCCCTCAGTGGCACACAGTGACCATCGTAACTGGCAGTTTGCCTGCCTGTTGATCCTCAGTTCCACTTACATGATCCTTCCCTTCTCCAGCTGTGCCTTGTGCTTCTCTGCCTCTGTGGCTTCGGTCCTGTTGTCCCTCTGCTTAGACCTGTGCTGTCTCTAAGGAAGCCTCTAGCCACATGTGACTTTTGAGCATTGAAATGCAGCTGCTTGAATTTATGTGTTCCAAGTGGAAAATACACAACAAATTCCAAAGATTCTTAAAAAATGCAAAATACTTAATTCATCATTTTTATATTGATTGCATTGAAATGCTAATATTTTGCCTATATTGGATTAAATAAAATATATTAATGTAATTATTTTTACCCATTTCTTTGTAATTTTTTAGTTGGCTACTAGAAAATTTAACATTATAAATGTGGCCCTTATTGTTTCAATTGAACAACATTTGGCTAGAATGCTTTACCTTCTTTTTGGCTTACCAAGCTCAACTGTAATCCTCTTAAGCATATATGTTTTTTAATGTAAAGGCAACATTTTCTATAGTGTATTGAATTAACAAGGTACTAATATAGAGGAACATTTTAGCAACAAAGTGAAATGGCCTGGAAAATACAGATATGAGTATATACTCTGTATTTGGAAAATATAGAGAACTGTAAAGAAAACTTAAAATATCTAATAATTCTTTTGGCCACACATAATTATGGTTAATAGTTTGATATATCTTCTATGTATGTGTGGCAAATATACATACATATACACTCTTTCACATGTATATGCATAACTGAGGTCATACTTCAGGTATGTAATTTTACACATGCGGGGGCATCTTTTGTGCTCAGAAAGTAATACTGGCAGTTACTCATGTTTTATACCAAGATTTTTATACTTTATTAAAGTAACATTTTCAAGTTTACCCTTTCCTTCAGCTTTTAAGTTCAGGGTAACTTAAATTGAATAAATTTTAGCAGTAGCTTTCAAAAAGACCTTTGATTAATATTCACTGAACTCAGGTTAAACAGACTGAATCCCATGTAATTAATGTCATTTATAAACTTAGCTAATTAAATCCATTAAAATAATAAAACTGCCATTACAAATTTGATACATTAGATTTTCTTTTTAATCACTTGACGTGTCTACCCAAAGCACTTCCTATTCTTAAACAATCATAGTATATCCAATATAGTGAATTTCTAATTCTTTTAAATATTTTGGTATTATTTACAAGCTTTGAGTTTTGTATGTCTTGGTGCTGCACGCGTCCATGCTGTTTTACCTTAACACAGGGATGGCTGGCTATACACTGAACCATTATGTTGTCCCTGTGATAGCTAAGAATTCTGGGTCCATGCCGTCTGGATAGGGTTGATTTCGACCCTTCTGTGCACCCATGGGTTCAAGTTACATTAGCACTTTATCCTTCAGGGAGATTTATGTTGGCCAGTGTTTCTTAACCTTTTTTTCCATTATTATTCCCCTAAGGATCCTTTTTGGGTCATTTTTTCCTAATTGTCATTTCTCCTGCAATGGCAGGAAATTTTAAGACCACAGATATACTATGTATTGATTATGTACTTTATATATCTATGGTTTATACATTACAAAGTTAGATTTAAAAACATTTGTTTTTTTTAGAGACAGGATCTTGCTTTGTCGCCCAGGCTGGAGCACAGTGGTGCGATCATGGCTCACTGCAGCCTCAGCTTCCTGGGCTCAAGCTATCTTCTTGCTTCAGCCTGCTGAGTAGCTGGAACTACAAACATACACCACAACACCCAACTGATTATTTATTTATTTATAGAGACTGCATCTTGCTGTGTTGCCCAGGCTGGTCTCAAACTCCTGGCCTCTAGTCAGCCTCCTGCCTCAGCCTC
The DNA here is from genome assembly GCF_000001405.40 of Homo sapiens. Taxonomy (NCBI): domain Eukaryota; kingdom Metazoa; phylum Chordata; class Mammalia; order Primates; family Hominidae; genus Homo; species Homo sapiens. The sequence goes on along the minus strand of NC_000018.10, from coordinate 49,309,394 downwards.
TCAAAATGCTGGGATTATGGACATGAGCCACTGCATCCAGCCTGAAAAGTTAGTTAAAAAAACAAACAAACAAAAAACCTTTCAATCAAACTTTCAAGTTTGCCACCTTTGAGAGAAAATCCATAGCGTAAGCATAAATCTGCAGCCTTCTACTTAGGTTGACCCAGTTTTCTCTAAGTATGCTTTTTACTGCTGGATTGCATTTTCTGTTCTTTTCATATCTGTCTGTCAGGCTTGGAGATAACTTTCATAGATATTTAAATTATACTGGATTTGAATCTGAATTTTTTTATGCTCTTGTCTAGCTCTGCGATAACAATACTAACGTAATGCTAATGACAATATAGCTTTTAAAATCCTATCTTGTTTATGTACCGTTGTGGTGTGTTTTCTATGCCATTAATATTTCTTCATGAATGTAATTTTAATGGTGTATTATATGGATCTACCCAAGTTTATTTAGCCTTCAGCCTATGGTTGGTCATTTTGGTGGTTTTCAGTATTTTGCCATTCCAGATAACACTTTAATGAACATCTTTCTACATTACACTGCAGTAGAACCTCAGGAAGCCTTACTACCTGAGCAGGAAGCCATTGGACCCATAGTTGCATCTGCCAGAGACCCCACAGTGAGCAAAAAGAAAAATGGTTCCCCTGTTCTTTTCCCCTTCCCGTCTCCCGCCAGTGTCTCCCATTGTCAGACCCTAACCTGAAGCCAGCAGGCAAAGTAGTTTTGGGAATATAGCTTGCAAGTTTGTAGCTCCCTGCAGTACAGATCATAGATGGGAGGGGTGGAAATGAAAGCAACAGACATGAAATAGCTGATAATGTGGTCTTTATTGTAGAGAAATTATATAATTCTCACGAAGGTGCACAACTAGTAGACGGTAGGACTGGACTTTAAAATCATGTGTGGCTTCAAAGCCGGGATGTTTTCATGATACCATCTGTCTCTATCTTTTCTTTTGTTGATTCACTGTGGATTGTCTCCATTCTTAAGGTTACCCATGGTCCAGGATGGCTAAACCAGCTCCAGCCATCACATCTTCATTCAAGTCAGCAGGACTTGAATGTGTAAGATATACATATATATATATATATATACACACACAAGTGTGTATGAAATGTCTGTTTATAAAATTTTAAAATGTTGCATAAAGAGCATTCAGAGTTCTGAAAATTAAAAAGTAAGTTTAGCTATAATTCTGTCTCTGTAAAAAAAATAGCTGTTTTTGGTCTTTCTCATTCTTTTTCAGTTTTTGTTCCTAGATATATGTATAGATTATATTTCAGCAAATTAAGTATTATAGTATTTATTGTTTAAAATGTTAAGTAATGTCATTTTATTTTGTCATTAGAGAATATTAAGGGTACATTATGAAAGCAAAATTGCATATTGCAGTATTTTTGAAAAGCTGGAGTCTACTAGAGAAAGGTGCAGTTTGAATCCAAGCTGTCACTTTTATTAATTTCAGTTCCTGACTTGGTCACATCAAGAAAGCAGGCAAATTCTTGCTGTCAAGCAGCTGAAGTCATTTTCCTCCTTCTTTTGGTTCCATGATTCATAGCACATGTTTTGAGGCACCTTGTTGCTTTTATTCAAAGGAAGGATGTTAGGGTACTTCTGCCAGTTTTCATGTTGTTAATGAAGCTCACTGGTTTATCTGGGCACAGTTGTTTGTTCTGATCTAAGTTAAAGAAAGGACATGAAGGACAGGGTATGGAAGGTAAACTATCTTTTCTGCCATATCAAGTGAAAAGGAGTATTCTTGGGGCACTGCAAAGGTTTTACTCAGATGAGGTGTGGCAGTGACTGCTAGTTGTACCCCTTCCTCATTTTAGCTGACCACATGCACACCAAGAATAGACCATATTTCTCATTCTTCTTTGTAACCAGGTATGGTCCATATTTTAGCCAATGGAATGTAAGTAGAAATAGTATGGGCAAATTTGCAGGTAGAATTCTTAAAGGGAGTACATATGCTCATCTTTTTCCTGCTGACTTGAATGAAGATGTGATGGCTGGAGCTGGTTTAGCCATCCTGGACCATGGGTAACCTTAAGAATGGAGACAATCCACAGTGAAGCAACAAAAGAAAAGGATCCTGGCTTTTGACCATGATGAGGCAATGTGCAAGCTCTGCTGCCTTTACTTTTGGACTTTTGTTGAAGCCATTATTATACAGTTCTGTTGTAACTCTCCTTAATCCTGACTCATACTACGATATAACATATAGTAGATGAAGGCAAGACCATGACATAATAAACTAGCTTTCTAGATTGAATTATTTGCAGAAGTGATTATCAGAACTTCATAACAAGCAGAAGAGAGTGGGATAAGAGAGAACCATATATTATACTTCTCCCTTTCTGCGTACCAGTGATTATCAGAACTTCATAACAAGCAGATGAGAGTGGGGTGAGAGAGAACCATGTATTATACTTCTCCCTTTCTGGGTACCAGTTTGTGTCCTCAGTCTCCAGATATTTTCGTCATACTCTTCACAAAATAAAACATTTAAATCCAGAGTAGAAGAAACAAAAACACAGTGAATTACACGAAGAATCTTCTTTGTTAAATAGACCTTGAATCCTGAAAATCATAGTAATTCACAGGTTGTTGAGAAAGCCATTAGAGTGCTCTTTAAGCTTAGTCTTTAGAGTGGAAGAAAATAAATGCATAACTCACTTATGAATCGAGAAGTTAGAAGCCTGTTACCACATGCTCAGGTTTCATAGTTTATCTTATAAATATATGCACATTTGAAGTTCTACTTTGGTAAATATATCCATGTTTATTACTGAAAAGGTGTAATCACATGCCTGTTCAATTACTTAATTAACTTCCTTGAATTCCTTTTAGAAAATTAATGTTCCAGGAAAATGTCATTCTGTGGTTTTGCTTATTCCTAGTGCACCATGGGCTGTCTCCAAGAATTCACACATCCCAGTTCAAGAAGCGGGATAATATGTGATTTGTGCCTAAAGGAGTTTCTGAGCCAACTGGATTTTTCTGTCTTTCTTTTCTGAGTGATGTGGTATATTACAAAAAACATAAAACCTAGACTTAAGCCTGCTAGTTTTCTGACCTTAGAAGGGGAAAAAATAATTAACTCTCTACTTCTGGGTAACCTTTGTGATCTGAAGTTTTAATTTGTTGTGTTATGTCTCTGCTATTCACCTTTCTTCTTAAAATGACCTGTCAGGCTTGTTGGACCTTCTTATTCTATTCTTCATGTATCTTGGTCTCCTAGAATTTCCATTTCTCTTCCATCTGCATTTTGGGTAATTTCCTTGGATTTATCTTTCAGTCCACTAATCTTCTTTTCAGCTGTATCTGATCTACTATGAAATACTTTCAGTGACATTTTCTAATGTGTGAGTTATAATGTGTGTGCAATGAAGTACACATCTTAATTGTACAACTTGTTGCAGATCTAAGTAAGTGATTAAGTAAGGTGAGGACTTAGAATGGACTGTTGGTAAATGAATGGAGCTGGTACAATGGAGCTTGGTGGTTACTTTGTCATGAATCATTTATTTGGAATGGTGTTTAGGAAGCTAATTAGGATGGGTTTAAGGGAGAAAGGAAGTCAGAGTATAGGCAGAAAAATAAGGCAACAAATGGAAGGGTGCATGGATTCTAGGGAGGTTTTTTATTTTTGTTTTTGATCGGAAATTTTTACATATTTGTACACTGTGATAGGAATAATTCAGCTTATTTCCACAAATATTTATTAAATGCCTACATTTCATTGAGCTTACATTTTATTCAAAACAGAGAGATTGATATTCCTAAATATAGGAGGAAGTATATTTCATCTGAAGGCAGAATGTACATGTTGATACAGGTGAATGTGTAGATTTTAAGGTGGAAAGACAAGGTAGTTCTCTTCTGATAGATTCTGTCTTTCAGTTACAAAGAGGTAAGAGTCAGCTAAGCATGAAGATTAGGGATTGTTGTTAGAAGTTTAAAGAGAACAATAGGTTTCCCCAGGGACTAGGTCAATGTAGTAGGATTGCTGGGCAGAGCTGGGGGTGCACTTGAGATTTGTGGTGATGAACTTAAAGTAAGAGCAAGTGGAATGGTTATATTGTTCTTCAGCTATATGTAACTGCCCTGGGACATGGAGTAGGTGGAGAGTTGGATTTAATCAAGATTAGGGTTTTGCCAGGCAAATATGGAGGAAAAGAGAAGTGAGGGAATTGGGAAGGCATCAGCAAGAAAGTGATTTCAGTACTGAACTTCAGAATCCTAGTTGGGTGAGGAGGGAAGTGAGGACATGGAGATGGCGATGGACAATGAGAAAAGTAGTAGAGATAACAGAGCGGGTCAAAAACTATTTGAGTCAGGACTAGAGGAAGTGACCTGAATGCTGGGAAGTGGTAGTCAGGGAGTGGAATGCATGAATTCAGAATTGTAGTGGCAGTGCAGTCACCAGTGGAGAGAATGTCTAGGCAGGATGAGACTAAGGGGCTGGGTAGCTGAGGTAGAATAGAGGAAGTGCAAGCAGATCAAGGACTTAGAGGCTGTGTTGTTGGGTGCCTTGTCTGCAGGGACGTAGAAATTTACAAAATGAGCACGGGAGTAGTGTGGAGGGAAAGACAGTGAGCTAGGTGCTCAGATTATCAGAAAATGAGCAGGAGTGATGGTGATGTCTGCAGATGACTCGAGCAAGAAACGTTGATGGATGGAGTAGTCTGATGGGCTATTTCAAGGTAGCTGGGATGTTTGAGGAGAAATGACTTGGAAGCAGTAATGAAGAGTCATCTCCATGGTACGTGGCTTGTGGAGAGAGAACTAAGAGGTCACCATTTGAAAAGCCTTCTGAGAAAGAGCTGTCCTCAGGGGACACCCAGGTTTCTGTTAGATCAAGGGTATTCAAGGAGGCTGAGGTTGACAATATAGAAGGTTTTTTCCTAATGAAAATGTGTGCTCCAGAAGGCTCAGTGGAAGGGCTGGGATGAAGAGAGCTGTGGGCAATGAACAGGGATATAAAGCATAATATGATAATGTTGGTGTTTTAGGGGAAGGTAGGTAATGAGTTCTGATTCTAGCCGTTGACAATTTGTTGGGTTAAGGCTGTTGGCCTCCTGGCCAGGGAAGTGGGTGTCCTACTTGAAGGGTTGAGAGCTGTGGGAGCCTCTTTTATATCCTGCTGGTTCCTTATATCCTGGCAGGGGAAGGATGTTGGCAGACTATGGTCTTAACAGTCCATGCATCTCTGTATTGTGTAGGGTTAACCAGGGAACCTAAAACCATCTTTGACCATTTTGAAGTTAATAGAAACTTATAATTGAAAAAGCTAGCGTGCATCAGTTGAAGACTATGACCAATATAAAGCCAAATGCATCAGTAACAGAACATCTTTCTTCCAAACTGCAGGAATTCCAGACACCTGTGGTGTGTCTGTGTGTGCATGTATGTGCATGAGGAGCTCTGCAGCACAAACAAGCACTGCATGCATAGCAGCCAGACTGTTTTGTAGGAGACTTAGTTAGGATGTCCTGTAAATGCTAGTAATTTTCCCCCCATGTATATGAAAACCAAATGCAATATCCCATAATTCATTTAGTAAATTAATATTAAGTTGGTATTAATCATAGTAGTAAAAATGAAAATGAAAGATACATACTTTATGCCATTCATTTGTATGAATATAGGAAAGCACTTGAACTTTTGGCCTGTCTGTGGTCCTTCAGAATTGGGCAGTGGAACATCCTGTGGGAAGCACTGTCATGTGGGTACCTCAGAGCCTGCCCTCTCTTTTCAGCCTTACCTCACTGCACAGCTCCAGCCAAAGGGCCACGTGCACCAAAGGGTCACACCTGACCAGCTTTTAATCATTCCATACACTGAAATGCCTTCCTCCTCTCCACTTGCAGATCTGTCTCTCTCCAGCACACTCCAGGTCATAGGCAGCCTTCTTTTGAAAGCTCTCCTGGAGTTCCCTAGCAGACTTCATCATCTGTGTTCCCACAGGACTTTGTAAACCTCTCATTATACAGTATTAGAATGACATTCCTGCTCGTTTTCTTCTTTAAAATCATGGGCACCTTAAATGTAGTGACAACAATTTATTCTTTGAGGAATTTGAGCAGGCCTGCAAAGAGACAGTTTAGTGAATGCTTGTTGAAGGAATGAACCATAAAGAAAGGGGCAAAATGCCTAAGAGAGATTGTCCCTCAGGAGAAATCAGGAAATGCAGATGTGATACCAAGATGAACAGATGGCAGAAGAGGCAACAAATCAAAACAAGCAAACACAAAAACCACAGAATTGCATCTTTTTGGACTAGCAACTGTTTCCTTTTGGATATGGGGTTCTGTGGATGAGGATGAAGGAGTGGGAGAGAAGTCTGGGAAGATAATTTGGAGCTAGACTCACTGAAAACCACAAAATGCTATTCTCTAGAACAAATAGATTGAATTTAGGCCTGTTAAATCCCAGGTGCTGAAGTTCTGTTCTATGGCAGATTCTAAACTTGTATTATTTTCAGCCAGGATGAGGGGCTCCCTTTATGGTTTTGGAGTAGGAGAGGCATGGCCTGGTGGTTGAGAGCATCAGTTTTAGAGTTGGAACAGCATGGATGCAAATCTGCGTAGCATTCTGTTATGTGAGTAAGGGACTTAACTCCTTTGAGCTTTAATTCTTTATGGGTAAAATTGGGTGAATAAAAATGCTAGTGAGATTTCAATGTAGTAATTTGTGTGGATCATCATTAAATAGCAGAAGCTACTGTTTTCCTTCCCCCTTACTTCTCTTCTTTCACTCGTCCCCCCACCTCCGCCTTCAACAGTTCCTTGAGTATGATGGACTTTAAACTTTATGGATCACATATCTCATCAATATAACCTTTTAAAGCAGCACCCCTGATTTAGGTTAATTGATTTAGAAATTATATAATGCATAGTTATATTAATTATGACATCTACAGATTGACATTTTTCCAAGGATAAAATTAAGTAAAATTTTTAAAGCATTTTAAAATTGTGTTTTCACAGTAAGAAAATCTTTTATATTGGAAAAATATTAATAATCATCTGAATAAGTTTTATAAAATGCTTTGCTAATCATGATGGCTTAATGGTATCATTGTTTAATGTTGCAAGGAACAGTATCTATTTAGAGCCATGTTCATTGTTAATAATGGTGGATGTAAATCTGTATTTCAGAGAGTCTTGGTAATGGATAGAAGAGCAGTTTTCTTCAGAGATCTGATTAATATTGTCTTTGTTCTTAGCTCACAAAAAATGGCTAACAGAGCTTTTTTTGTATCATTGTCATTGGCTTGTACTCGGATCATTAATGATTTCATCTGGAATTTCTTTGCACGCAAGTTTTAAAATAGTTTTATGATTCCATTATTTTTAAATGGAATTTTATGAGAATCAGTTTAGTTAAACCTAAGTGGTAGGATTATGCACACTGAACCACCATGTGTCTTATTTTGTGAGAGAGAAGGAAGGAGAGGGTGCCTGTCACTCCTGTTGCATGGCAGGGCTGCACTCTTCTCTCAGAATACCTAGGGCACCACACATGACTGTGACTTCCTGACAGATAGACCAAGTGCAGGTGCCACTATCAGGCTGGATTATGCATACTGCTGAAGCTTAGCTGCTGCATATTTCTGAGATGAAAAACAAAGCTCTAATATTTTCTTTCCTCACCAGCTTTGGAGACTACTAGTGTTAGTGTATGCTTATTAACTGCTTGTTGAAATGAATTGAATGCTTTGGGGATAGTTTTTCAATTTCATAAATACTTTCAGATCATTCCTATCACTCCTATTTGCATATTTCACATTTACTACATGTAACTTTCTTTTCTGGATTACTTATGTCTTGGGAACCTTTTTTTTTTTTTTTTTTCTGAGACGGAGTCTCACTCTGTCACCCAGGCTGGAGCGCAGTGGTGCAATCTCAGCTTGCTGCTAGCTCCGCCTCCCGGGTTCATGCCATTCTCCTGTCTCAGCCTCCCGAGTAGCTGGGACTGTAGGCGCCCACCACCATCCCTGGCTAATTTTTTTGTATTTTTAGTAGAGACGGGGTTTCACCATGTTGGCCAGGATGGTCTCGATCTCCTGAGCTCGTGATCTGCCAGCCTCGGCCTCCCAAAATGCTGGGATTACAGGCGTGAGCCACCACGCCCGGCCCAGGAACCTTCTTAATTCTTTTTAAGGAGTAAAGGCATACACATTTATTTAACATGCATACATGGAAACCCCCATAATAAAGACCCCATATTAGAATGAAGACCCCTTGATTTATTAATTTGAAATCTTCTTTTTCAAATACTTACATGTGTCCCTTTCTTTCAAAGATTTTAGTTTTCCAGTGCTTCCAGAACTCCCATCTTATTCCTCTCCTTAGGTTGATGACTTTACTATTGCTAACTTTAAGGTTTGAGGCACCGTGCTCCATAACTCAGGCTTTCTTCTTGGTATTATCAGTAAAATCAAAATAAGAGTTTGGGGAAGAAACTCTTTCTATCTTTCCTTGAATATTACTTTCAACTAGGGAGTAGTAGTTACTCAAGGATTCCTTTACTTTTGGCCCATGATGATATTGCACAGAACCAATCCTTAATTCCCAGAAAAACTAACAGCCAGAGACCTATATGGAAAACATGACTCACCACAGGTAGGAATATATCTATACAATGTACTTTATTACATCTGCTGTAATTCGGTTTATATTTACTGCTTCACAAGTAGAACTCAAGTTCACTTGAGTTTTTGCAATATAAGCAGTTAGCCTAAGATTTTACTATGTAGAAACCTTTTTTTTTTTGGAGACTGAGTCTTGCTCTATTGTCCAGGCTTGAGTGCAGTGGCACGAACATCAACTTACTCTAATTTCCGCTTCCCAGGTTCAAGCAGTTCTCCTGTGTCAGCCTCTCAAGTAGCTGGGACTACAGGCATGCGCCACCATGCCTGGCTAATTTTTAGTGTTTTAGTAGAGATGAGGTTTCACTATGTTGCCCAGGCTGGTCTCAAACTCCTGAGCTCAGGGAACCGGCCCACCTCAGCCTCCCAGAGTGCTAGGATTACAGGAGTGAGCCATGGCACCCGGCCTACTATGTAAAAACTTTTATTTGTAGTTTCCAAATTGATTCTTTTTGGTTACTATATTGTTAACGTTAAGTTTATTATTTATGTTTTTGAGTATGTCAAAATATATATTATTGTTGATTGTTTCTGATAAAATCTCATACATAATTCAGGCTTCAATCTTGATTTTTATATGGAGAAAGAATTTCATACAAATATGTATATATTTATGTATTTATATATTTATATATATATTTATATATATATATATTTATATATATAGCTTTTTTTTTTTTTCTCGAGACGGAGTCTCACTCTATCACCAGGCTGGAGTGCAGTGGCACGATCTCGGCTCACTGCAAGCTCCATCTCCCGGGTTTATGCCATTCTCCTGCTTCAGCCTCCCGAGTAGCTGGGACTACAGGTGCCTGCCACCACGCCCAGCTAATTTTTTGTATTTTCAGTAGAGACGGGGTTTCACCGTGTTAGCCAGGATGGTGTTGATCTCCTGACCTCATGACCTGCCCTCCTCAGCCTCCCAAAGTGCTGGGATTACAGGCGTGAGCCACCGTGTCCGGACCATATGAATATTTTTATATAAAATGTAAAAAATCATCTGTAAAAATGCAAAATTTAAATAATTCTCATTGTTTTCCTATTTAATGTAATACAAAAGATTGTGCTAGATCCTAGGAGTACAAAGGAATCAAACCATGGTGAAGGAGGGAAGGCCCTCTCTCAGGGAACCCACAGTTTAGCAGGAAAGATGGGTATGCATGTCAGGGTTGTTTAGTAGTGGAGGGTGGACAGGGTGTTGCAAGGTTAAAGTCTGTATATCGTAAAGGAACTGTTTTAGGAACAGGGCTTGTTTTGTTTGAAGAAGGAGTCTCTGGTGGTGGTATACACTATCAGATGCTTAAAGACTTGTCTGTTTTCCTAAAGGGTAATATTTCCAAAACTTTAGCCACATCCATGCCACTGCCACGATTTTGTCTTATATGAGTACAACTTGAATTCCAGTTTACTTAGTTCACTTTAGAATGACTTACTTTTTCAAAATTGTAAGCTTATTATTTACTTTATTCTTGTACTATGTGGGAAAGTCCTTGATCTTCTGAGATTGATGTGCTAGTTATATATGTCTAATATACATAACTATTAAAGATTTTTTTAAAAAGTTTTCCTCTGCTTACACCATCATCATTGATCCGTGTACCATTTTGGGAAACACTGCTTTAGGGGATGACATTGGGACATATGGAATGAAGTTTCTGGGAACCGGACTCAGACTTGTTTAAAGGAAGGGTTGTCTGCCCCTCTGAGCTCACAGCACCCTTTCCTGTTTCATGGATCATAGTTAATTTGTTTATTCTTTTTGCATATGTGGGTGAGATAGGATTTATCTCTGAGGGCACAAGGCTTTTACATTTATTTTGTTTCCTTTTATGCTTCACATTTTAAAATACTACCTGCGTCATCTAAGTTTCTCATAAATGTTTATTGTAGGGATATGTGAACCAAGAGTTTTACTGAGACAGTTGAATTCTAGTACCTTTCATGGTTGTTCATTTTAGAAAACAAGTAAACAGGAATCGATCTTCATAATTACTGAAATATTTCAGTGGATTTTTTTCAACTTTTTGGAAACAGTTCTATTTTCTATTCTTCAAGGAATTAAACTTAAAAAAAACTTCCATATGACATATATTATGCCAGATTATAAGTCAGAGAGATTCTGACAGAATTTTTTTTTTTTTTTTGAGACGGAGTTTCGCTCTTGTCACCCAGGCTGGAGTGCAATGGTGCAATCTCAGCTTACTGCAACCTTTGCCTCCCAGGTTCAAGCAATTCTCCTGTCTCAGCCTCCTGAGTAGCTGGGATTACAGGTGCCCGCCACCAGGCCTGGCTAATTTTTGTATTTTTTAGTAGAGACGGGGTTTCACCATGTTGGCCAGGCTGGTCCTGAACTCCTGACCTCAGGTAATCCACCTGCCTTGGCCTCCCAAGGTACTGGGATTACAAGTATGAGCCACCGCACCCAGCCACTTCTGACAAATTTGAAACTACAAAGGTGGATAAAAAGTTTTACTGTGCTATGAGTTTTAAAAAACATTTTTCTTTGTTCGCCCATGTGTTTTTTTTCTTTCTTGAGATGGTCAAAGCATTCCTTTTGGGAGACAGGATGGGTTAGTAATATCGTGTTTTGTGTTAGGAAAATTGAATTTGACTCAAATCTGTTTTAGGAACTAGCAGTCACCAGATATTTCAAGAGTGCTTTAAGTGTAAATACATGTAAAAAGGTGAAACTATTAGTGACCCTTTTTTCCCCTTTCCTAGCATTATAACATGATTGGCTGTCATTCAAGGTTGTGTATGTTACTGTTTTACATGCATTTTTAGGCTGGCAAAAATAGGTGTTGGAGACTGTGTTTTCTTAATATATATGTTGATTAAATAGAAAAAGTGATACTTGAGGATTATGCCCTTTAATAAAGATGCAACATCAAGTATGCTTTTTTTTTTCTGATTACACCAACACTGTTTGTTTTAGGAAACATTGTTGTTCTAAGGCTATTCTATTAATTTTTTTCTAATTAAATTTTATTGTTTCTTTTGTTGTGTGTTCATTTTAGAAATCAAAGTATTTTGATGAGGAAAAAAAATCACCCAACATAAAAACATAAGCACTTGAAGCATGATATATACCCATTATCATTATTATCATAATCATTTTACAAAAAGGGATACATACAGTGTTTTTCTTTTTCTTAATGGTAAACTTTTTATTTAAGTGTAACATATAGAAAAGTGCATAATTAGCATGTGGCTCAAGTAATTATTATAAAGTGAATGTGTTCAGTCAGGTGAAATAATTCCAGCACTCCAGAACCCTCTCTCCAATACTCTCATCTTCACTCTGCCTTCCCAACCACTGAGGATATCACTATCCCAACTTCTAATACGCTAGGTTAGTCTTGCATGGTTTTGAACTTTATATTGATGTATTCTTTTGTGTTTTACTTCGTTTATTTGTGAAATTCATCCACATTTCTGCATGAAGCATAGTTTGTTCATTTTTATGACAACTAATTTCATTCTATTAAATAATTTAAGTACAGTATATATTTATACTTCATCCTACCACTAGTGTCTGAAAGTACCCATCTCCTAGTGCCCTCATCAGTGTTAAAGTATTACAACTTAAAATATAGGATTAAAGCCAATTGACACCTATATTTAGAACTTTGAAGATAACATCCTTTTCCTTTAAATAGCAAATATAAAATTCTTATTACTTGTACACTTTAAAAACATCCTTCAGTAAGTACTTTGTGAAGGAATAAATTAAGTTTATAAGTTGGAGCCCTCCAAGATTTATAGAATGTGAAAAAGAGACAGCTCTTTCTCTTCAAGGAGTCTACAGGAAGACTTGTGTATATATAATACACATAAGTATAATCCAAGTCAGACAGTGGTGCAGATGATCATAGGAGATATAGCCAGTGTGCTATGAGAGAAGAGAGGAAAGAATAGTTATTTTTTGCTTTGTATTAGAACAAATGACTGTGACTTGGACCTTGAAGAATTTTCTAAGCAAGGAAAAAAGAGAGAAATGAGAGAAAATTTTAAAAAGGTAGGAAATAGAATGGCATTCTTGGTTGAATCTAAACATTTAGTAAAAAGTCCATCAACCAATGGTCAGTTCTAGTCATTGATAGATCTCTGAACTATTTCCCCCCACCAATAGTCATGACATTTAGGTAACTTTTCTTATTCCCCCCGACAAACTGACTGCAGTTTATTTATCTGTCTCTGTTTCATGTTAGTTTCTCCTTTAGACTGAAGCTGCGTGGGTAGGGCATTAGTGTCTTTTTGGTACATCATGTCTAATCCAGTTTTTTGTACTTTGCTCAATCCATAGCAGGCCCTTAATAAATGATGAAATGAATGTATACAAGTACATAGGCAGCAAATACACATTTGGGCACAGCAAGCTTCCTCTGTGGTAAAGTATAGATTGGTCAGGACCCTTGAAAGAAATCAACTTTGAAGAAATTAACTGATCATCAGACAAATATTTTTTTCCATATGAATGCTTCTAGCTAGAAATAGTATGGTTTTGGGTGGCTCGTGCCTGTAATCCTAGCACGTTGGGAGGCTGAGGTGGGCAGATCACCTGAGGCCAGGAGTTTGAGACCATCCTGGCCACCATGGCAAAACCCTGTCTCTACTAAAAATACAAAAATTAGCTGGGTGTGGTGGCACCTGCCACCCACTACTAATCCCAGCTACTCAGAAGGCTGAGGCAGGAGAATTGCTTGAATCCAGGAGGTGGAAGTTGCAGTTAGCGAGATCACGCCACTGCACTCCAGCCTGGGAAACAGAGTGAAACTCTGTCTCAAAATAAATAAATAAATAAATAAATAAGAACGGTTTTGGTTTTAAAAGATACTACCATTAGAGGAAGCTGGGTAAAGTGCACATGGAATACCTGTGTATTTTTTTTTTTAGCAAAGCATGTAAATCTACAATTATCTTGAAATAACAAGCTTAAAAAATTGTGATGAGCCAAGAATTTTTTTAAAAAGCAATAATATTCTGGAATTTTATAATACATACCTGCATTAGTTAGGATATCGGTTTGGCTTTTAGTAGAGACCAGACACCAGTAGTTTAAACAAGAGAGAAGGCTTATATTTCTCTCACATGGAAGTCTAAACTAGTCTAGAGGCAGGCTTGCTTTCTGAGGTTATCCAGGGACCAAAGTTCCTCCAATCTTGTTTTACCATTCCTCCTGCAGTGTCCTCATACATGGTTTGGCTCCCAACACTATGCCTGGGTTCTAGCCAATGGCAAGGATAAGGATGTGAGGAGAAAATAGCTTCCTTTTAAGGATATGACCTGAAAGTTGCATGTGCTGCTCCCGTTCATATCCCATTTGTTGGAATTTAGTCATGCAGACATATTTTGTTGCTTCAAGAAAGACTGGGAAATGTAGTCCTACCCAGCTAAATCTAAAGTTTTAAAATTTTATTTTTATCAAAAAGAAGAAAGGGAGCATGGTATGGAGGTCAAGTAGCTCTGCCACAGTGTTTGTCCTGAAATGCATGTTCAATAACTTTTTTGGTGAAACTTTCTTTCCTTATTATTTTACTATACTTATGTAGGAAAAGCATGGGTGTTTTAAGATTTAGATGTATTTGTTGGGTCATGATGGAAGTAAAAATCAGTTTATATGCAGTCGTTTTAATGCTTGTATCCTCATTACTTTCCCCAAAGGAAGAGTGTTTCTTCTTTGTATTTTTGGTTCCTAGCATGGGACCTGACCCTAACAGGAACTCATTACGTGTCTATTGACCGTTAGCCTTTTATAGATGTTGACTGAACATCTCTAGCAGAATTTTTATACATCTCTGCTATCTGACCTGCCTTCTCCTTAATTCTTTCATGGTATATGGTTTGTATCAGTATTACAGTTTTAAAATATATGATATGCCCCTTTTAGGAGATTTTTGTAACTGTGGCTGACAGTGCATAGTATCTTTTTTTTTGGTATAGTTCTGATTGAATAGTGTTTTGTAATATGTTTGTTAGATGTAAGAAATCATTTATAGTTTAGCAAGTAGCATGTTTAATATGAAAAAGCAGTAACTTACCTCTATTTCATTCAATCTTGATAAATTTATCAAGCATTTGAGTTCATTTTTTAAAAATGAGGTTTATTTTTTCCTTGATTATTATTTTTATTGATGTTTCATACTTTATGTCCTCTTCACATTTTGAATGTTAAGGATAAGTAGTCTTCAGTCAGTACTTCTTTAAAAAACTTGAATTGTCAACCACTGATCAAGGAAATAAGAGAAGACATGAACAAATGGAAAAACATTCCATGCTCATGGATAGAAAGAATCAATATTGTGAAAATGGCTGTACTGCCCAAAGTAATTTATAGTTTCAATGCCATCCCCATCAAGCTACCATTGACTTTCTTCACAGAATTAGAAAAAACTGCTTTAAATTTCATATGGAACCAAAAAAGAGCCTGTATAGCCAAGACAATCCTGAGCAAAAAGAACAAAGCTGGAGGCATCATGCTACCTGACTTCAAACTATACTATAAGACTACAGTAACCAAAACAGCATGGTACTGGTACCAAAACAGATACATGGACCAATGGAACAGAACAGAGGCCTCAGAAATAACACCACACATTTACAGCCATCTGATCTTTGACAAACCTGACACAAACAAGCAACAGGGAAAGGATTCCCTATTTAATCAGTGGTGTTGGGAAAACTGGCTAACCATGTGCAGAAAACTGAAACTGGACCCCTTCCTTACACCTTATACAAAAATTAACTCAAGATGGATTAAAGAGCTAAATGTAAGACCTAAAATCATAAAAACCCTAGAAGAAAACCTAGGCAATACCATTCAGGACATAGGCATGGGCAAAGATTCCATGACTAAAACATCAAAAGCAATGACAACAAAAGCCAAAATTGACAAATGGGATCTAATTACACTAAAGAGCTTCTGCACAGCAAAAGAAACTATCATCAAAGTGAACAGGCAACCTACAGAATGGGAGAAAATTTTTGCAATCTATCCACTGACAGAAGGCTAATATCCAGAATCTACAAGAACTTAAATTTACAAGAAAAAAAGCAAACAACCCCATCAAAAAGTGGGAGGATATGAACAGACACTTCTCAAAAGAAGATATTTATGCAGCCAACAAACATATGAAAGCTCATCATCACTGGTCATTAGAGAAATGCAAATCAAAACCACAATGAGATACCATCTCATGCCACTTAGAATGGTGATCATTAAAAAGTCAGGAAACAACAGATGCTGGAGAGGATGTGGAGAAATAGGAATGCTTTTATACTGTTGGTGGGAGTGTAAATTAGTTCAGCCATTGTGGAAGACAGTGTGGTGATTCCTCAAGGATCTAGAACCAGAAATACCATTTGACGCAGCAATCCCATTACTGGGTATACACACCCAAAGGATTATAAATTATTCTACTATAAAGACACATGCACACATATGTTTACTGCAGCACTATTCACATAGAAAAGACTTGGAACCAACCCAAATGCCCATCAGTGATAGACTGGATAAACAAATTGTGGCACATATATACCATGGAATACTATGCAGCCATAAAAAAGATGAATTCATGTCCTTTGCAGGGACATGGATGAAGCTGGAAACCATCATTCTCAGCAAATTAACACAGGAACAGAAAACCAAACACTTCATGATCTCACTAATAAGTGGGAGCTGAGCAATGAGAACACATGGACACAGGGCAGGGAACATCACACATTAGGGCCTGTCGGTGGGTAAGGGGCTAGAGGAGGGGATAGCATTAGGAGAAATACCTAATGTAGATGGCAGGTTGATGGGTGCAGCAAACCACCATGGCACGTGTATACCTATGTAACAAACCTGTACCTTCTGTACATGTATCCCATAACTTAAAGTATAATAATAATAAGACAAAAAACTTGTCAACACCAGATTTGTTCTTTTAGTTAATTTTAGTTTTTAGTTTTTAGTTAGATGGATTTTAGGAGTTAGTTTGGAAGACCCAAGGGATACAATTAAGAAACTTTGGGAACCATCCTGAATTTGGTTTTTGGAACACAAGGAAATATTTTGTAACTTTCCTTATTTTTCTGGTGGACAGGTTTTTGTGGGGGTTTTTTTTTTTTTTTTTTTTTTTTTTTTTTTTTCCAACAGGAAAATGCAATTCCACTAAGATTCTTAGGTCATAGATCAGAGGCTTGGACCAGCAAAGAGAAAGGAACTTTTGGAAGAATCTTTGTCCAGTATTATGGGCCAGTTTAAACTGTAATGTAGGCAGTGACAGGCTGCTTCATCTCTCCCTGCAGTACTGTTTACCAGAAAAAGGAAGGAGGGCTCTGTGTGTGTGTGTGTGTGTGTGTGTGTGTGTGTGTGTGTGTGTGTGTCTGTCTGTCTGTCTGTCTGCCTGCCTGCCTGCCTGCCTGCCTGTCTGTCTGTCTGTCTGTGTTGGTGGATTCAGGGAAAGATGGAGAAGCTTCCCAATAAAATGTTAGTTTATCTGACATTAGAAGCAGCTTCTCAGCCCTCTTGGAAAATCTTGAAGAAAGGAGAGTGAATCTGTGTTGAAAGGGAATCAGAATTTTGTTTGTGCAATTTATTCAGTAGTAGTCAACTCATTTCTACTAGCAATAAAGATGAGCAACTGTGAAGAGGATCCAAAAAACACTTCTATTTGACCTTGGGGACCATGTTGTGATTATTTTTGTTGCAGATTGAACTTTGTAATTGTGTTTCTCATTGCTCTGAATCCTGGAACACACAGTGATGGATATTGGAGCTGACTGTCATGGAGCATACTCTGAGTGGAAGAAAATGGCTTTAAATGTTTTAAAATGATACAAATAAACAACACAAATCAATCCCAAAGCAAATAATTAATACTTGGCTACTGGCTGTACCTTCTTAATAATTTTGATTTTCTTATTAAATGTCTCAAGTTCTTCAACTATGTCATGAGGATTGTTTTGAATAAACTTAAATTTGTGGTCTATAATTACCAATTATTGACAATTTTAATTCAGATTTTCCTTATGAAATGGAGGGAGCACATTATTTAACAGAAACTTTCCTGTGTTCCCCAGTCATCTTAAAATCCTTCCTGTATTAAAAAACAAAACAGAAAAACCTCTTCTTGCTGATCCTCGAGTTTGCTTATACCTATACTGAAAATTTATACCAGATTTGCAGTTTGAGGTTCCCAGTATACTCTTTTTTGAGGACCTCGAAATTTAGGGATGGGGACTATTTCCCCCCTTCCCCCATAACAGCTCCTTAAAAGTTAGTAGTAAAACCATTTCAGTAATCATTTAAAAAGCTTGATATTTGTAGGCTCACAATTGTGTAGGAAATTACATATTTAGGCTATTCATAAGATACTTTATTTTGTGTGTTCAGTAAAAAGTACAAAATATTAGAAATGAACAGATGTTCACACTGAACTGTTTACAATGTAAAGTAGAAATAAAAAGTATCTGCCTGTGTTAGTTCGGCAGAAACAAAACGTTTCAGTTGCTTGTTTTGTTATACATTGCTTATAATTTATTTACAGAAGCACTTAATTCATTTAATAAGTGTTTTTGTAAAAAGGACACCTGCCCATTATAATAAGTAATAAAAAATATGTATATGCAAAGATTAAAGTTAAATATCACATCTATTGCCATGGTCCTCGATATAATCAGAGCTAACATGTTGATGATTTTTCCCTCCAAAATTATCAGGAGGTTTTCTGTTTTGTTGTTAAAGTAAAAATTACAGGGCTTTGTCCTAGTTCCAAAGTATTTGCATCACATTTTTGGGGGAGTTGGTGACCAGGAATTTTCCTCCTTCCCTTCCTTATTATTTTTAATTGCTTATTATGCTTGAATACGTCTCTGTTGTAGAAGAGTCAAGCAATAGAGTAATACTACACTGAACAAAGTCTGAGACTCTCCTGAAGCCACCTTCACTCCCACTCTGCTCCATGACGAATGACCACTGTCTACAGTGGACCCTGCCAGGGACCTGTAGATGGACTTACATGCATAGATATGTGTATTTGCAAGTTCTTAAAACAAATGGAGCATGCATATATATACATATATATCTATATATATGTAGTTTGTGAATGGCCTTTTTCACTTAGTGATTTCTGATGAGATTTTCCCATATTCTACATACTAATGGGATCTATATTTTTCTGTTATTTTAATTTTATTCTTTTACATTTATTTTTAAAGAAATAAATATATTATTACTGGGGAAAAATTAAACTATACAAGTAAAACAAAAGTCTTCCTTGAATTCCTTGAATTCCATGCAATCCCACTTCATCCTCTAGAGATAATCTCTGTTTGCAGTGTGATGTATACTTTGTCCTTCTTGTTTTTTTTTTAAATATGTACATATGGATACATATATGGTTTGGTAAGTGATTTTTTAAATTGTTACATCAGTTTTTCTGCAACTTGTTTTTTTCACTTAACGGTATTTCCTTGTTGGTACATAGACATCTACATCCTTATATTGTATTCCATGGTATAGTTTAACCATAGTTTATGTCACCATTGTTACTGGTGAGCATTTATATGTTGTTTACATTATTGGACCATTATAAACAATATTACAGTAAACATTCCTATACATGCTCTTTTGTGTGCCTATTCAAGTATTCCTTGGTATAGAAAAAAAAAAAGAATTGCTGGGCTCATGAGTATGTGCATTTTATTTTCAATGAAAACTGCCAAATGTACTTTAAAAAGTCCTGTAACACTTGGATCTCTTACTACTGATAATTTCCTATACCTTTACTGATACTACTGAGTCTTATCAGTGTTATCAGTCTTTTAAAAATGTTCTAGTCTCATGGGTCATCTCATCATCATTACATTTTTAAAAATTATTGTTTAGACTTCCGTTGTCCGTTTAAAATATATAAATAAATATATATGTGTATATATATATATATGTGTGTATATATATATATGTGTATATATATATATATATATATATATATATATATATATATATATATACACATATATATATATTTGAGATAGGGGCTTATTCTGTTGCCTGGGTTGGAGTGCAGTGGCACAGTCACAGCTTACTGTAGCCTCAACCTCCTGGGCTCAAGTGATCCTCCTGCTTCAGCCTCATGAGTAGCTGGGACTACAAGCATGAACCACCATGCCCGGCTATTTCTTTTTTAATTATTATTATTTGTAGAGACAAGGTCTCACTGTGTTGCCCAGGCTGGTCTTCAACTTCTGGGCTGAAGCAGTCCTCCTGCCTCAGCCTCCTTTATTGCCCATTTTAATTTTGGATTACTTTTTTTTTTTTTTTTTTTTTTTTTTTTACTGATTTGTAGATTTTTAAAAAAATCCTTTTGTTATGCATGTTACGAATGTTGCTTCTTCATATGTTACTTGTCTTTGTGATGTGTTTTATCATGTAAAAGTATTTAATTTTTAAATGGTCAAATGAATATTCTTCATGTATTCTTGAATGTTGTTTCTTACATAAGAAAAGGGCTTCCCTGACTCAAGGTTTATACATATGCTTCTATAATTAAATACTAACAAAATTTCACTGTCCCAAGAACACTTAACAGAATTTTATCCTTTTCTTACTGATCTGGCACACTACCTTTATCATAATCTTAATTATCAAATACATGTAGCTCTGTGCTGACCTAATTTCTCTTCTGTTGACCTATTTGTCTCCTCTGCTGCCAAATCACACTTTTACATGACTATAGCTTTATACAAATTGTACTATGTGAATGGTTGTATACTTCCCTAGGTCGGTCTCAGAATTGTTTTCTTATGTATTTTTTTCATGTAGAAATGTTTTATTTACACTGTATTACAAAATATCACATAAAGTCTTGTTGGTATTTTGATGGTTATTATACTGAATTTTAGATTTACTTAGAGACATTTGACTTTTTTTTGTTTTTGTTTTGTTTTTTGTTTTTTTTTGAGACAGAGTCTTACTCTGTCGCCCAGGCTGGAGTGCAGTGGCATGATCTCGGCTCACTGCAACCTCTGCCTCTCGGGTTCAAGAGATTCTCCCGCCTCAGCCTCCCAAGTAGCTGGGAGTATCAGGCATGTACCACCACACCTGGCTAATTTTTGTATTTTTAGTAGAGACGGGGTTTCACCATGTTGTCCAGGCTGGTCTCGAACTCCTGACCTCAGTTGATCCATCTGCCTTAGCCTCCCAAAGTGCTGGGATTACAGGCATGAGCCCCTATACCCAGCCTAGATTTGACATTTTATAGTATTGACTCTTTTTGTCCAGAAACATGTTATGCCTTTACATTAATTCAGATCTCATATGGTCTTCAAATTCTATGGTTGTCAGCCTAAAGATCATCTCTATTTTAGGTTTATTCCTGAATATTTTATTGGATTTGTTGCTATTTTGATTGGAATTAAATATATTTTCTAATTATTTATTGATTGTATGTAAAGCTTTTAATTTTTATTGTTGTTGGTGGTGTTGACCATATAGCCATAGTACTGCACCAAAATCTTCTATTAGTTATAGTGTGTCAGTAATGGAGTATCAGGTGGCTCTCTTTGATATTCTAGAACAATTAACTCTGTCCAATAGAAATATAATAGAAGCCATGTATGTAATTTTAAATTTTCTAGTGGTCATGTTCAAAAAGTAAAAAGAAACAGGTGAAAGTAATTTTAATACTAGTGTATCTAAAATATTATTTCAACATGTATTTAGCATAAAATATTAGTGAGATAATTTACATTCTTTTTTTGGTATTAAGTCTTCAAATTTTCATGTGTATTTTACACTTATAGCACAGTGTAATTTGAGCTACAGTAGACTCACTTTAAATGCTCAGTAACCACAAGTGGCTAGTGGCCACTGTACTGGACAGTGCATTTTTTTTTTTTTTTTTTTTTTTTGAGACGGAGTTTCGCTCTTGTTGTGGCGCGATCTCAGCTCACCGCAACCTCTGCTTCCTGGGTTCAAGCAATTCTCCTGCCTCAGCCTCCCGAGTAGCTGGGATTACAGGTGCCCGCCACCACGCCTGGCTAATTTTTTTGTATTTTTAGTAGAGACAGGGTTTCTCCATGTTGGTCAGGCCTCCCAAAGTGTTGGGATTACAGGCGTGAGCCACCGTGCCAGGCCTGGACAGCGCATTTCTAAGTGGACCAGAATATTGCTTGCAAATAATGAAATTTTTTCTCTAAAATTTTTTTGGTCTTTTTTTCTTTTGTCTTAATGTTTTTGCTTGGGCATTAGTAGTACCATGCTGATGTTGATGATATTAATGGGAATACTTACAATGTTTGACCACTATGAATTTTTGGCTAGAGGTTTCCTTCCCTTTCTAGTTTGTAAGAATTTTTCTTTAAATCAGAAACTAATTTTAAGTTTAAAATATATATATATTTAAATATATATATGAAAATGTGGAAACTCTCGAGATGACCATATTTTTTATTTTAAAAAATAGAAATAATACTTTTAAAATGGTGAACAATTCTTGTACTTTAGAAACAAAGCCTCTTGATCATAATGCATTTATTATTATTATTATTTTTTGAGATGAGTCTCACTCTGTTGCCCAGCCTGGAGTGGAGTGGCATGATCTCAGCTCACTGCAACCTCTGCTTCCCAGGTTCAAGCTATTCTTTTGCCTCAGCCAAGTAGCTGGGACTACAGGCGCCTGCCATCACACCTGGCTATTTTTTATATTTTTAGTAGAGATGGGGTTTCACCATGTTGGTTAGGCTGGTCTCGAAGTCCTGACCTCTTGGTCCACCTGCCTTGGCCTCTCAAAGTGCTGGGATTA
Source organism: Homo sapiens (assembly GCF_000001405.40). Lineage (NCBI taxonomy): Eukaryota > Metazoa > Chordata > Mammalia > Primates > Hominidae > Homo > Homo sapiens. The sequence continues at coordinate 49,286,935 of NC_000018.10, read as the reverse complement.
CAGGTGTGTGCCACTGCACCCGGCTTGCATTAATTTTTTTTAGCAAATTTTTCTACTAAATTTCATTCACTTTTTTACAAAATTTAGGTTACCTAATCATAAAAATCTCTATTTCTCTATTTTGTTGTAAATACAGTCAATCTTTGTCCAGTTTTTATAGCAAGGATTTTCTGGCCTTGTGAAATGTATAGACATGATTCTTGTTCTACACTTTGGAACTGCTCATTACCATATTGTATTATATTACACAGAATACTTTACAGAAATACATTCATCTCATTGGTGGCAGCACATCCTAACAGGGTGTTTTCCTCCCCAGCAGGACTCTGGACTGTCTTCACACTAGGTGGTGTGGGCAGCAAAGCGGCTGCCTCTCCAGAGCTTTCTTCCCCTCTGGCCAACCAGAGTCTCCTGCTTCTGCTGGTGTTGGCCAATCTGACAGATGCCTCAGATGCGCCAAACCCCTACAGACAAGCCATTATGTCCTTCAAGAACACACAAGGTTTGTGGTATTTTTTCTCTAATATTCTTTGTAATGGGGAGAGTATTGCTTGTTCTATATTGTTTATTGTCTTATAGTTTTGGAGATGAGTGTCCATTGTATGTTTTCATATTGGTCAAACATGAGAAAAACTTTAGCTTTTCCTGTCAATATTATCAGGAAGGTCAAGCATCCTTTATATCTGATCCTTTATATCTGTTTAAATCCATATTTCTTTCATGGACAACCAACCAGCATGTGTTTAATTTGGGTCAGTCTGTACTACCTGTTAGGGATAGGAATTAACCTGGAAAACCCAAATGCTAGGTTGTTTTAAATTTTCAGTTAAAGTCTGTGTTCTAGAGTTTTATAGAACTAAAAATTAGGTCTCAAAAACAAAAAAAAAAGATTAGAACACAAATCAGAAAACCTTTTTCTGTAGAGGGTAGTGGCTTTGTGGAGTCACATGGTCTCTCCTGCAGTCTGTTAGCCTTGCCGTTTTTCCATCAAAGCAGCCATAGGTACTATGTAAACAAGTTAGATGGCTGTGCTCCAGTAAATCTTTACTTCCAGACAAGGGGCAGGCTGCCCATGAGCTGTGTAACTTGGTATTAATAACTCCTAAAGTAGAAGGTGAGCATATGGCTTCATGTTGAACCAGTATTATCTCTTCTCAAAAGGTTACATTCTAAAAGCAAGATTCCTGTAGTATAGTCAAGTGCTGCTCAACAGCAGGGCTGTGTTCCATTAGGCAATTTTGTCGCTGTGTGAATATCATAGTGTACTTAGACAAACCTAGATGGCGTAGCTACTACACAACTAGGCTATGTGGTGTAGCCTATTGCTCCTAGCCAACAGACCTATTCAACATGATGATGTACTGAATGCTGTAGTCAGTTGTAACACAGTGGTAAGTATTTGTGTATCTAAGCAGTCTAAACCTAGAAAAGGTACAATAAAAACGTGGTATTATAATCACATGGAATCACTTTGAATATGTGGTTTATCACTGACTGAAACGTTATTATGCAGTGCATGACCAGATGCTCAAGACATTTTGAACACTAATGTAATGAAGATGGGTGGGAAGTACAGTGATTGGATGGGAGCATTTGTAAGCCTTCTGATGGGCTGTGCCATGATTCTTCCGGGTTATTCTGATACACATTTCTTATAGACGTGGCTAAATGTGCCCATTAATTGCGCCTCTGCCAATTCTGGTATTATTTGCAGTGTGTCTTTGTCCATTTGTGCTGCTCTAACAAAATACCTGAGACTCAATAACTTATAAAGAACAGAAATCTATTTCTCACAGTTCTGAAGGCTGGGAAGTCAATCTAAGATGCAGGCACCGGCAGGTTTGGTGTCTGGTGAGGGCTCAGTCTCTGCTTCCAAGATGGATCCTTCTAGCTGTGTCTTCACATGGCAGAAGGGAGTCAAGGGCTAAAAGGGCTGAATGCTATGTGGGCCCTCTTTTATGAAGGCCTTCATCCTATTGATGAGAGATGGGCCCTTAGGACCTAATCACACTGTAAAGGCCCTACCTCTCAACTTTATTTCATTGGAGATTAAATTTCAACATGAATTTTGGAGAGGATACAGGCAAACTATAACACAGGACAATAGGGAATTAATAACAATTTTACAAATTAAAAAACGAAAACTGGTGTATCTGTTAGTATTTTTCTGTTCCCATTACTTACTCTTCTTGGTGACAGTATGGCTTAATGGTTAAGAAAGCAAGTTTCAGAGTCAAGCATACCTGGCTTCACACCATACCTCTATCGCTTCAGAGTGTGAGACCTTTGACAGTTTGCTTAATCTCAATTAGCTTCAAAAGCTTGGCCTATAAAATAGAGATAATATCACCTAATAGTATTTGTATAAAGACCAAGCAAGGTAAGTCTTTAAAATGATTAGCCCAGATTTTGCAACAAAGCAGGTATTCAGTATATGGTATCTACTATGTTACTCTTGTTGCTCAGGCCAAATGTTGGTATTTAGGGCTGAACTTTGCTTGGGATGGTCATGGTTTGGGAGACCATGTAGTACAATGAAGCAAAATGTTGGCTTAAGGGTATTCATATCCATCAGGGCTGATCTTGGCAAAGTTACTTAATCCCTTTAAACATTTATTACATTCCATGTAAAGCTGATCAGAATAATGACATGTTTGATGTATGGGTTAAATAAGGGATAACACAAACAAAGTGTTTAGTATAACAGCTGGTTCATAGCATTTATTAGCTAGTAATGTATATATGTTGTGGATACATATACACAACCCACATATTCCCTTTGCAGTCAGGTATAATACAGGTTGGTGAATTTGTTACTTTCCTTCAATTTTAAAGAAGTGTAGTGTGTCTAGAATCTTCCTCCAGTGAACATTCTGTAGATTCCATAATATCTGCATACTCACAGCACATGGCAACACTTCCTTTTGCCATCCCTTGCAAAAATATAAAGCCAACCACAAAAAAAAGGAATTATTTTTGTAAGTGTCAAAAATACAGTGTTAGTATTGAAAAAATAGTCTATATTTCAAATGTGGAAGGAAAAGTGAGGGCACTGGATAGTAAACCTGAAGGCATTTTGGTGCATTCCCCTCACAAATGTAAAGCTTAGGAAGGAGAATCTGAGAGGCAAGGATTGTGTTGGAACACATCTCTTTTTCCATAAGAGCACAGCTTTTAGAAATGTTAAAGCAAGTTGTTTTGTTTTGGTAGTGCTTCTGTGTTTTAAAGGCTTAAAAATAATTTGGTGCTTTTTAGAACGTAAAAATATTAGCTCTTTGTGCTACCATGTTCAGAGTTTTATTTGATTGGATGATGACTTTCTCTGAGTCCATTGAACTTATCTTTATCTTCTTTGTTGCTTCCTAACCTTGGTTGCTTCAGTTTCTCAGCAAATCCAGTTAACTGTTGGAAAGGGGCTGTGTCAGATTGGAATATCAAGAACTTTTCCTAATACAGGCTGTGATTTGTTCTTTTCATTGTTCCAGTGACTGTACTTTAAAAAAAAAAAAAGTTTCTTAACAGTTATAGTCAATTAGGTTTGCATTGGAGATTATATTTTATTTTATTTTAAAAAAAGTTATAGAAGTTTTCTGGTAGTTGTCTCAAGCTTGGTGTGCTCTTTTGATTATAGAACCTAATGTTGAATATACGCAGATGGCCCCCAACCTGCAATGGCTGGACTTAGGATTTTTTGACTTTATGATGTGCAAAAACAATATAAATTCAGTACTGTATTTGATAAATTACATGAGATATTCAACACTTTGTTGTAAAATAGGCCTACTGTTACAGTTGGATTGATACAATTTAGAACTGTACACAAATATAATAGCTTAGGCTAGGCTAGACTACACTATGTTGTTTGGTAAGTTAGGTGTATTAAATGCATTTTCAACTTAGAATATTTTCAACTTATGATTAATTTATGGGAATATGACTCCATTGTTAAGTTGAGGAACGTCTATACTGATTTTGATATAAGTGGATGCTTCAGCCACAATTTATTTAAAGGCAGTTTTTTTCTTTTTAATTCTATCTTAAAAGAGAATTTTCTATTTTGTGTAGAAATTATATCTTTTTCTGTAGATATTTTTTATTTAGGACTCATGGTTATTTAGTTTTGGTAACAAAGTATTTTATCTCAACGTCCTGGTTAAGTTGTATTGATTGGTGGGCCTTTTGCCTAGCTCATAATTCTGTTTATTTAAGTTCATGTTCTTATAGCTGATTTATTTCAGCTATGTTAATGGGAAAATAGTAACAAAGTCAAAGTATATGACTTTGTTTAGTTCTTTTTAAAGTAAAATTTTTGTTTTGTTTTGTTTTAGACAGAGTCTCACTCTCGCCCAGGCTGAAGTGCAGTGGCGTGAGCTCGGCTCACTGCAACCTCCACCTCCCAGGTTCAAGCGATTCTCCTGCTATAGCCTCCTGAGTAGCTGGGATTACAGGCCCACGCCACCATGCCTGGCTAATTTCTGTATTTTTAGTAGAGATGGGGTTTCACCATGTTGGTCAGCCTGGTCTCAAACTTCTGACCTCATGATCCACCTGTCTCGGCCTCCCAAAGTGCTGGGATTACAGGCGTGAGCCGCCATGCCTGGCCCTAAAGTAAATTTTACATAAATTAAAATTTTGAATCTGAAATGTAGTGACTTTCCATAAAATTAATGGGAATTGAGTTGTACACATTACTTTAACAATATTTTTATTTATATAAAGCACAGCTAGAAATTACTGATGTGCTGTTTTCTGTATTCCAGATAGCAGTCCTTTCCCCTCATCAATTCCACATGCCTTCCAGATCAACTTTAATAGTTTGTACACAGCTCTTTGTGAACAGCAGACATCTGATCAAGCAACTCTCCTCTTGTATACCTTGCTCCATCAAAATAGTAATATTAGAACATACATGTTGGCTCGCACAGATATGGAAAATCTTGTAAGTATCATACTAAACATTCCATGCGTTTGTATTTTTTTTTAATTATACTTTAAGTTTTAGGGTACATGGCACAGCGTGCAGGTTAGTTACATATGTATACATGTGCCATGTTGGTGTGCTGCACCCAGGAACTCGTCATTTAACATTAGGTATATCGCCAAATGCTATCCCTTCCCCCTGCCCCCACTCCACAACAGGCCCCAGTGTGTGATGTTCCCCTTCCTGTGTCCATGTATTCTCATTGTTCAGTTCCCACCTATGAGTGAGAACATGCAGTGTCTGGTTTTTTGTCCTTGGGATAGTTCGCTGAGAATGATGGTTTCCAGCTTCATCCATGTCCCTACAAAGGACACGAACCCATCCTTTTTTATGGCTGCATAGTATTCCATGGTGTATATGTGCCACATTTTCTTAATCCAGTCTATCATTGTTGGACATTTGGCTTGGTTCCAAGTCTTTGCTGTTGTGAATAGTACTGCCATAAACATGCGTGTGCATGTGTCTTTATAGCAGCATGATTTATAATCCTTTGGGTCTATACCCAGTAATGGGATGGCTGGGTCAAATGGTATTTCTAGTTCTAGATCCCTGAGGAATTGCCACACTGACTTCCACAATGGTTGAACTAGTTTACAGTCCCACCAACAGTGTAAAAGTGTTCCTATTTCTCCACATCCTCTCCAGCACCTGTTGTTTCCTGACTGTTTAATGATCACCACTCTAACTGGTGTGAGATGGTATCTCATTGAGGTTTTGATTTGCATTTCTCTGATGGCCAGTGATGATGAGCATTTTTTCATGTGTCTTTTGGCTGCATAAATGTCTTCTTTTGAGAAGTGTCTGTTCATATCCTTCTCCCACTTTTTGATGGGGTTGTTTGTTTTTTTCTTGTAACTTTGTTGGAGTTCATTGCAGATTCTGGATATTAGCCCTTTGTCAGATGAGTAGATTGCAAAAATTTTCTCCCATTCTGTAGGTTGCCTGTTCACTCCGATGGTAGTTTCTTTTGCTGTGCAGAAGCTCTTTAGTTTAATTAGATCCCATTTGTCAATTTTGGCTTTTGTTGCCATTGCTTTTGGTGTTTTAGACATGAAGTCCTTGCCTATGCCTATGTCCTGAATGGTATTGCCTAGGTTTTCTTCTAGGGTTTTTATGGTTTTAGGTCTAACATTCCATGTGTTTGTATTTTATAATATTTTGGAGAAAAACTTCTTTTCCCAAGAGGGCAAATTTATTTGCCTGGTTGCCACAAAGGTGATGGTCAAGAATTGATAGGGAGATGTCACCAGACACAGACGGAGGGTAGGAGCTTCTCCAGCATAAGACACAGCTCATGTGGAGGTGGCCTCCCAGAGCAGGACACCGCAGCGTCCCTGGCTGGCTTGACAGCATCCCTCCCTGTCCTTATAGTCTTTAACAGCCACACGTTGCCCAGGATTCAGCCTGTTCAGGTCTTCCAAAAATCTCAAGGAGATTTTTAAATCATCTCGGTCGCTGCCATCTGCTAAGTACCCGCCCACCAAGTTCATGTTACTCGTCACAGTTGCAGAATATTCCTGATGAGAATGCTGAAAGGAAAATGATGTTTCAACTCAGCTGCCCAAATATCCCACCCACTCTGGCAGGCTTAGGCTTTAGGACTGTCTGAACTCACTCCCTGGAGTCTCATAGTCATTTTAAGGTACCTTTGTCAGATATCACTTAAATTACACTATCCATCACTACATGAGTGAAATTAGTTCTCAAATTTTTGTTCATAGACAAAAACTCCTGTAAGCAATAATTGATTTCCTTTATGACTAATGTGCAAACATCAGTGTTTCTATAAGGGGCAAAGTAAGCTACCTCACCAAGGTGTTAATGTTGTTTGAAATACATAGTATGTAGATAACTATGGACCCTTAATACATTCATAAAAATGTGAACATTCCCGAAATAGCCAGTAGCTGGCTGACAGCAATGAAATGTTCCCTCTGTACCAGTTTTTACAGGTTGATAGCAGGATTCTCCCAGTATTTGGTTACCATTTTTTCAGTGTTAAATATAAAATACTGCATAAATAGTGAAGAAACATGGAATACTAGAATTCATTGAATGTATTCTACATCAGATTGACACTAAGAACAAAAAGTGTGGTGAAAGTGTCTCCACATCAGGTCTAGGTGGGAAACACTGCTTAAATAGCAAATTGAGTATGAAAGTATGCTGCTTATATGAGTAAAATCCTATAAAGAGAAGGCTTGTTTCCTGATGGGTGTGGATAGGCATAGAGACAATTCTGAGTATGTTGTATTCTAAGGGAAACGTTGGCAATAAGCAGGAAACCTGTGACATCACCTGTTTCAGAAAGTTGTATGGTAAGGATGCAGGTATATAAGATGGTGCAGAGAGCAGCTGTCTGCGTTTGATGACATACCCGGTGAAAGGTTAAAAGGTTTTGTGTTGTAGTTTTTTTGGAGGGTGGTGTTTGTTTATTTGTTCTGGTTTTGTTGGATAATTTCTTAATTTATGCTCCATCTGTCCTTTTACCTTTCTTCTATAATAAATATGTTGAGGCTCTGATTAGAAAATATGTTATCAGTAGGAAATTTACTGTGCTGATCTGATTTTGTTGTAGTTATCAATTCTTTTATTCTGCAGTCTTTGACATTAAGAAGGTAATGTTTAACAGATTACAGTGTTTCTAAGAAATACCTTATTGTGTGTAAATCCCATAAGGCTGGAGGCAGACCTGCCTGTATTCAGCGACAGGTGTTGGCTAACTTGGATTCTTTCTATTGATGGTCTGACTCACTACTGTTTGACTTGTTTTAACTCAAAACAAGTTAATTAATCTGGTATAACTTCTTATAGTACATTTTTAGTTGGTATCTATTAGAATAACAATACAGTGACTCTTACATTTTCTTTTTGTGTCTCTGAATAGTGTCTAGGGCGAATCCAAGTGCCTAAATATTAAGAACAGGGCATAAGAGGGCATACTTTTTAGAAAAACCCATTAGGGACATGAACACAATTTTTATATTTTATCACAATTAAATGTTTACCAAGAAAAGCAGCTAGACATTTGAGATGGTCATGATTCTTTTAGTTGTAACAGACCCATTGCTTATGCCTAGCATAAGAGAAAAGAAATATATCTGTACAAATGAAAAATTTGTGCTTTTTTTTTGGCTTCAGTCATAGCTGGTTCTAGGGGCTGAATGATGTTATCCAGGCTTGGCCTCTCCATCTTTTGCCTCTGCCTTTTATAGCTTTGGCCTTATTCTCAGGCACACACTTTCCAAGTGGGGAGGCAGGTGGCCACCAGCAGCTCTCAACATATCATAAGCTAAAAGGAGGAAACACAGCTACTTCAGAAATATTTCATGAAGGGCTCCAATAGTCTCTTCTTGGGTTGTGTATCCACTTATTTGACCAATGACTATGGGAGGAGGCACACTTAATGCTAAGCCACCATAGCCACAAAGGTAAAGGGAAGTTCCTTAAGGAAGGGATCTTGGACAAATAATATATAGTCACTTCAACACTATATTGCTTGTAACTTTCTTAATCAGGGCATTGTGAGTTAGTCACTCTTTTAATTTCTGTTTGTATTAGTCCAACAGAGATTCGGCTGGTATTTCCCTTAGGCCTCCAGCAGTCTTCTGCTTTTGGGTCAAGCCTTGAGCCTGCACAATATCGCAGATATGCAACCCCTGTCATTTTGATATCGTACTCATTTGAAACTTCACTGAAGAGACACTTAGAAAATGAGATTAATATTTACAGTGATATGCAGTCTATGATTTATCATTAATTATAAAAGAAATGACATAGGATCTTTATATCTTGTTTTAGATGGACTAATAGTCCTTTATTTTCTGAATGTGGTTTTTATATAAACATCAAAAAGGAAAATTTTTTTTTAGCTCTTTTGTTTTCATGCTAAGTTTCTTGAAAGCTACATTCTTTGCCTTTACTTCTTATGCACTTTTCTACCTGTTGTGATCTAACATCTGTTCCTACAACTTCCTCATCAGCAGCTCCTGATTATTAGTAAATCTCTGGGCATGTTTCATAATTTTCTTATTTGACTGCATTGCTGCATGACACTGTTCATCTCTTTATTCTTTAAACCGCCAAATACCTATGTCTTAGTCAGTTCTGGCTTAGTCAGTTCAGAATTTAGTCTGGCCTGACTGCTTTAACAAACATACCATAGACTGGTGCTTAAACAACAGAAAGTTATTTCTCGTAGTTCTGTAGGCTGGGATTTCTAAGATAGAGATGTCAGCCCCCTTGGAGTCTGGTGCAGACCTGCTTACTGGTTTGTCAATAGTCATATACTTGCTGTGTTCTCACATGGCAGTGAGCAGAGGCAGAGAAGAAGCAAGCTGTCTCCTATCTCTTATAAGGGTACTAATCCCGTCATGAGGGCTCCACCCCTGTTACCTAATCTCCTCCCAAGGGCCCCACCTCTTAATAGTGTCCCATTGTGGGTTAGGGTTTTAACATACTAATTTTGGGGGCCCAAACGTGCAGTTCGTATATCTACAAACATATACCTTGGCTTTCCAATCATTGTACTCTGCTGGTTTTTCCACCTCTATGCCTACTGCTTTTCTCTCTCTTTTATGTGTTATTTTTCCTTGTCCTTAAATGTGTCCTGCTGCAGGATTCTGTCCTTTTTGTTTTTTCCCTGTACTTCTCCCTAAAACATCTAAGCAAATTCAGTTGCCATTTATATGTTGCCAGTGTATATGTTCCCATTTATATGTGCCATATATGTTCAGTTCTGTATTTGCAGTCCTGATTACCTGTATCTCATATCCATGTATCCAGCTGCCCCAGACATTTCCCAGTGGCCGTCTCATAGACACCTTAAACCAAACATGTAAAAATTGGGTTCATTATTTTCCCTGCTCTTCCTTCTCTTACTCCTGTATTCTCTGTCACAGGGAGCCATCCATAGAGTTGGCAAAAGCTTTGACTCCTCTGTCTCATTCCCCCATATCCAACCAAATATTTTTTATTTTCTCTCCTTATTATCTTTGGAATGTATTAGTGTTCTTTTTCCTCATTGCGATTCCTTTGGTCTAAGCTGCCTTCATCTCTTACTAAAATTATTGCAACATCTTTAACTGGTTTTCCTGCTTTCTGACTTGCTATTCTTTAATATTTTTTATCCTGTTTCCAGAGTGAGTATATTAGAGTCAAATCTGATCATGTCACTTCCCTACTTTTAAAGCCCTTTCATGTCTCCACAGTGCCCTCAGGTTAAAGCTCTTACTCTTAACGTGGCTAACAAGACACTTTATAATTTTGCCACAGCTTCCATTTTGGGTCTCATCTCTTTGCCATTATGTTCTTTTTATTCTTTATTTAATCATAATGAATTAATTTAATGTCTCTCAATCTGACCTATCTCCTAACTTTAGACTTGGTTTTTCTCTCTAGAATACTTCTCCTTGAAATTTTCTCCTTTTTCCTCTTCTCAGATAACTCCTAGTAGTTTTTCAGATCTCAGTTTAGATAGTTCTTTCAGAATTAAAGTGCTATTATAAAAGTAATTATATACCATATCCAAGTGGGATTTATCCCAGAAATGTAAGCTTGATTGGACATCTGAAAGTCAGTTATTGTGATACATCATATCAACAGAGCAAAAAACAAAAATCATATGATTATTTAAATAGATACAGAAAAAAGCATTTGACAAAGTAATCACTTTTTTATGAAATAAAAATATTTAACAAACTAGGAATAGAAGGGAACTTCCTTAGATGAGTAAAGGGCTTCTATGAAAACCCCACAGCTCACATCATATTTAATGGTAAAACACTGTTTTCTTTCTCCCCGAGATCAGCCACAAAACAAGGATGTCTGCTTTTGCCATTTCATTCAACATTTTACTGGAGATTCTAGCCTGGGCATTTGATTAAGAGAAAGAAATTAAACATATCTAGATTGGAAAGCAAGGTGTAAAATTATCTGTATTTGCAGATGACATTATCTTATATATAGATAATCCTAAGGAATCCACTAAAAAACTCTTAGAATTAATAGATGAGTTCAGCAAAGTTGCAGGATACTGGATCAGTATAAAAAGTCAATATGCAAAAAATAGTATTTTTATATATGAGAAATCCCAAAATGAAGTTAAGAAAATAGTTCTGTTCATAATAGCATCAGAAATTTAACAAAAGAAGTACAAAACTTACACTGTGAAAACTACAAAATATTATTGAAAGAAATGGGGAAACACATATTCATTGATTGCAACATAAAAAAAATAGAGATAGAGATAGGGTCTTGCTATGTTGCCCAGGCTGGTCTTAAACTTCTGGCCTCAAGCAATCCTCCCACATTGGCCTCCTAAAGTGCTGGGATTACAGGCATGAGCCACCATACCCAGCCCTGATCACAGTACTTCACATTGTTAAGATGGCAGTATTCCCCAGACTGACATACACATTGAGCACAATACCTATTAGAATCCTAGTTGACTTCTTTATAGAGATTGACAAGATGATTAAAAAATTCATGTAAAATTACAAAGGTCCAAGAATAGCCAAAACAATCCTGAAAAAGAACAAATTTGGAGGACTCATACTTTCTAATTTCAAAACTTACTATAAAGCAACACTAATCAATACAGTGTGGTACTGGCACAAGGATAGACATAATACATCAATGGAGTTGAATTGAGAGTCTAGAAATAAACCCATATACCTATCATCAACTGATTTTTAGCCAGGGTGCCAAGACCAATGTGGAAAGAATAGGTTTTTTCAACAAATGGTACTGGTGCCACTGTGTAGTCACTTGCAAAGGAATAAAGTTGGGCTTTTGCTTCACCCCATATACAAAGTTAATTCAAAATGGGTCAAAGACCTAAAAAGAGCTAAAACTATAAACCTCTTAGAAGAAATGGGGGTAAATCTTCATGACCTTGAATTTGGCAAATGACTGTTAGATATAACAACAAAAGCATGAGCAATGAAAGAAAAAACAGGTAAATTGAACTGCATCAAAATAAAAACGTTTGTGCTTCAAAGGACCATCAAGAAAGTGAAAAAACAGCCCACAAAATGTGAGAAGATATTTGCAAATCACTTTTCTGGTAAGGAACTGTATCTATAGTATGTAAAGAACTTTTTAAACCCAATAGTAGAAGGACAACCCAATTAAAAAATGGATGAAAGATCTGAGTAAACATTTCTGCAAGGAAGATATACAAATAGCTAGTAATACACCCATGAAAAAAACAACTTGACATTATTAGTCATCAGGTAAGTGTAAATCAAAATCACAGCGAAATACCACTTTACTCCCACTGTGATGCCTAGAATAAAATGTTAGATAATAAGAAGTGAGGATGTGGAGAAATCTAATCTCTCATACACTGTTGGTGGAAATGTAATATGATGCAATGGCTTTGAAACAGTCTGGTAGTTCCTGAAACAATGAAACAGTTACCATATGATCCAGCAATTCCAAGGCTAGATATATACCCAAGAGAAATGAGTATATGTCTGCAGGAAAACTTGTAAATGAATGTTTATAGAAGCATTGTTCATAATAGCAAAAAAGTGGAAACAGTTCAAATGCTAGTCAACAGAAGAATGGATAAATGAAATGTGGTATGTTTATGCAATGAGATATTATTTGACATAAAAAGGAATGAGATCCTGATACATACTGCAGCATGGATGAACTTTGGTAACATGTTCAGTGAAAGAAAGTCACAAAAATCTACGTAGTGTATGATTCTATTCATACGGAAGTCCAGAATAGGGAAATTATAGAGACAGAAAGTGGTTCCTTTGGGCAGGGTAGATAGGGGTCTGGGGGAGGTGATAGTTAAAGGGTATGGGGTTTGTTTTTGAGATAATGAAATTTTTCAAGTTGCCTGTGGTGATGGTTACACATATTTCTGAGTATATGGTAAACCATTGAATTGTGCACTTTGAATGGATTGTATGGTCTGTAAATTGTATCTGAATACAAATATTTAAAAGAATGAAGTACTATTCTGACATAGTCTCATTGGACCCGTTACTTACTCTTACATTATTATTTCTTTGAATATACCATTTGCTTGTGTGTCTTGTCAATATTTTCAGTACTCTATTGGTATTATGTACTATAGGTAAGATGTGCTTTCTACAGGCGTAGCCAAAAAAAAAAAAAAAGGCATAAAATATACAGTCACATGTTGCTTAATGTGGGGAGGCGTTCTGAGAAATGTTTTATTAGGTGATTTTGTCATTGTGCAAATATCATAGCATGTACTTACACAAACCTAGATCGTAGAGCCTAACTACACACCTAAGCTTTATGGTGTAGCCTATGGCTCCTAGGCCATAAACCTGTACATCATGTTACCGTACTAAATACTGCAGGCACTTGTAACACAATGGCGTTTGTGTATCTAAACATAGAAAGGGTACAGTAAAAATATGATGTTGTAATCTTATGAGACAATACAACCACAGACTGTTATATATGTGGTCTGTTGTTAATGGAAATGTTATGTGGCATATTGAAAACTCCAGAATCAGAATTAACAAATGTTGAGTTAAATGACTAAAAAATGTAACTATGCTTACTAGGTAATGTGGAATGTGAGTACAATGTATTATGTTTGACAAAATGTCAGAAGGAACTCCGAAGACAAGAATGCCTGGGAAAAGAGACAGAGCAATGACTGCTTGGTAACTGGTATACTTCGTTCCTGGAAGTTAATAGTGCTCATGCACTGAACTTCATAATTTAGAGGAAGTTTTAGCTACAACTTGTAAAAGAACAAAACATACCAGTGCCACATTTTAAAAGCTTCCTGCAATAGGTGTGCCTGTCAAAACACGTATGCCCCAGGCATACCAGCTTGTTTTGGTGGGCTTTGCATACCAGCCTGTGCTTTAAGGACTTGTATGTGTAAACAATTTGCTCATTACATGTGTTGTCTGATTTAGATGATAGATTTTTTTTTTTGCCTGTTTTCTAGCATTCAGTGGATAGTGTTCATGGTTGTTTCCAACAAGACATGCTATGTAGATAGTCTGCCCATCTTTAATAAATAATTTCAGTAACCTCCTTACTTTAGTGAAGAAGGAACAAATTGAAGGTGTCAATGATTTGAAATAAGCACAATGGTAAACAGCATTATGAAATGAAATGTTTGATAGATATACTGAAGAGCAGATCTTAATACACATGTTGAGAAAATGCACCTTGGGTTCCAAGAGTCTAATTACATATTTATTTAAAATATATTTCTTGAAATATATTTTTTACTTACTAGCTTTAAAAAGGTGGTGCTAAGCACATAAATTAAAAAGTTAACTTCTGAGCAGCTGTGCTCTCCCCGCTACTCCCACTTTTTGGTTAAGTTGGGAGAAGGCAATGTGACTTCTTAAAATCTTCAAAACAAACAACGAGCCTAAATGGTCCTTGCAGATCCAACCTTTATGTTGGTTAGACCTTAAGAGACCTTCACAGAGTTAGTGGTGATTTTCTCCACTGGCATCTTAGCTATACATTTGGAAAATACATTCAGTCAGAAGTGGGTTTATATGGTTTTTTCTCTAATGAAAAATATAACTGATATTAAAGCAAAGAGCACAAAATGAAAGTGTAAAGATTTAAAACATTTGGATTTATAATGAAGTATTGAAATAGTCAATTATAATTTTTATTCTCTAGGTTTTACCAATTCTTGAGATTCTGTATCATGTTGAAGAAAGGAATTCACACCATGTGTATATGGCCCTTATAATATTGTTGATCCTTACGGAAGATGATGGCTTCAACAGATCCATTCATGAAGTGGTAAGTTACCATTACTTGGATTAGAGTTAGAGTTAACAGAACAGACATGTCCCTACGTAAGATTTACTAGTCTTTACATTTCTTTCTGGTAGATGTTCCTGTGAGAACCTGTATTAGAAATGTTATGTCTTTCTTCAGATTTATGAAGCGGTGCTTTTTTTTTTTTTTTTTCCAGAATGACTATTAACCACTATTAAAAACTCTCTCAAAATGGTTCTTTGGTAATTGATACAAATGCTTTTGCTGCTACTGGGTTCATTTTTCTTCAGCATTTCATTTCCACTTTTTCATTGTGGCAGAAATTGTCAAACAGGTTTGCTTCATGCATACAGAATTAGAGAAGAAAAAGGGACCAAAATGGAAGAAGTTTGAGAAATCCATTGTTTTATATATATATTTTTAAAGAACATAACATAATTTAACTTTTTAAATTTTGGTCCTGTTGGAGAGTTTTATTCCCAAACTGGTCTTATGTTTCTCTTTGGCATTTTTTTATTTTATTTTTTGCATCAAAGTAATACACATATGTAGTTTTAAAACTTGTATAGAAGTACAAGGTTTTAATGAAAAATAACAGACCCATGTTCACCCTATTTCTGATTCCCACTCCTGTAAGGCAAATGCTTTCAGTTCTGTCCATGTTTCGAAGTAACATACTTATATTGTGATTTCTTGATTTTTCAGTTGCAGACATTAACTATTATCGCCCTAAGATGGAAGATAGTCATTGGTTCTTCCTGCATTCCACAAGTGTTCCCTCTGGGTTCCCAGCACGCTTGTCGGCACACAGACTTTTTCCTTTTTCCATCTTATTACCATTTTTGGTTAACTCAGCTTTTACATTATTATTTTTGATGTTATTTTTAGTTCAGCTGTGTACTGTAGGATAATTGCGTTTCCTTTCTTGAACATGTTTTACCATTTCTGTAGCACATCATTGCCCTGTTTTTTATTTGTGTACTAATACACTGATTCTACCCCCAATACTTCAACAGAACTGAAAATTTGCTCAAAATATATTCAAACTTACCGAATTTTCTTTTTGGACTCCTGTCTTTCCTGGAGCATCTGGTGGCCCTGGTTGATCTGTTCATCTGTAGGAGTAAGCACTAAGAAGTCGATTGGAAGTCCTGTGTGTGGGCAGGTCTTACTTACTGTACCTTGTTGTACATAGTCTCTTTCTCTGGGACTGTGTCCCTGCAGGCCATTTTTTGGGTGGATTGTTTTTGATTCTTCCAGTCTCCTTGCTAGGGGTTCTATAGGAGAAGGGGGCAGGGCTTTCACTCTTTATAAGGGTACAGACACTTTGTTTTCTCCTCATTTTCAGTAGGGCTTTTATATTATATTTACTCCTCTCTAATGTTCCCTTAAGTCATGTTTTTGCCTCTTACATAGTATGACCATAATTTCAACTAAGATTTAAGGAATCTTGACCATTGTGGAAGGAGTATAAAACATACAAATTTATTTTTTGTGTGTATATTTAAGTTATACAACTTGATGTTTTGATATATTAATACATGTACATAGAGAAATGGCTACTATAGTCAGGTAAATTAGCATATCCATCATCTCACATAGTTACCTCCTTTATTTTTTGTGGCAAGAGCAATGATACTCTCCTTTGGCAAAAATCCTGAATACAATACAGTATCATTAACTATAGTCCTCATATTATACATTAGATCTCTAGACTTCATGCCATATACCTGTAACTTTGACCTATATCTCCTCATTTTCTCACATCCACCCCCTGGTACCCATTGTAATATCCTCTATCTGTGTATTTGACTTTTTAAAAAGATAATCCACATATATGTGAGATCATGAAGTATTTTTCTTTCTCTGGTTTATTTCACTTAGAATAATCTCCTCTAGGTTTACCTATGTTGTGCCAAATGTCAGGGTCTTCTTTTTTAAGGCTGAATAATATTCCTTTGTTTATACAACCATGCACTACTTAACAATTGGGAAGCATTGTGAGAAATGTGTCCTTAGGCGATTTTATCATTCTGTGAACATCGTAGAGTGTGCTTACACAGCCAAGATAGTGTAGCCTACTACACGCCTAGGCTGTGAGGTATAGCCTGTTGCTGCTGGCCACAAACCAGTACAGCGTTGTTACTGTATACTGTAAGCAGTTGTAACACAATGGTAAGTATTTGTTTATCTAAACATAGAAAAGCTACCATAAAAATACAGTATAAAAGATTTTAAAAGGCACACCTGTATAGGGTACCATGAATGGAACTTGCAGGACTGGAAGTGGCACTGACTGAATCAATGAGTGAGTGGTGAGTAAATGTGAAGGACCAAGACATTACTGTATGCTATCGTAGACTTTATAAACACTAGACACTTAGGCTACACTAAATTTATAAAAATATTTTTCTTTAATAATCAATTACCCTTAGCTTACTGGAACTTTTTTACTTTATAAAGTCACCACAAACACATGAATAATGTGTTGTGCTACAATGGCTACAACATCTAGGTGATAGGAATTTTGTAATAATCATCTGGGACCTTCTTTGTATATGCTGTCTGGCATTGACCAAAACATTGTTATGTGGCAAATGACTGTATGTATTACATTTTCTTTATCCATTTGTCTGTCGACGGACTCTCTGGCTGTGTCTGTCTTGGCTATTCTGAATAGTGCTGCAGTGAATGTGGGAGTGCAGCTATCTTTATAGGTGGTGATTTCATTTTCCTTATGCCCAGAAGAGGAATTGTGAGATGATACACTAGTTCTATTTTTAATTTCTTTAAGAATCTATATACTGTTTCTCACCTTGGTGGCTCCAATCTACATTTCCACCAACAGTGTGTAAGGGTTCTGTTTCCTGCATCCCCTCCCGTACTTGTTATCTCTTGTCTTTTTCATAATGACTATCCACACTGGTGTGATGGTTTTGATTTGCATTTCCCTGATTAATTATCAGGGAAATTTTGAGCTCAAAATGTGATTTTGAGCACATTTTCATATACTTGTTGACCATATTTATGTCTCTTTTGGAGAAATGTCTATTCAGGTCCTTTGCCCATTTTTTAATGGGATTGTTTTTCTGTTATTGAGTTGTGTGAGTTCTTTATATATTTTAGATACTAGCCCTTTATCAGATATATGGTTTGAAAATATTTTATATCAATTCAGAGGCTGCTTTTTCATTTTGTTGATTATTTCCTTTGGTGTGTAGAAGCTTTTTAGTTTAATATAGCCCCATTAATTTATTTTTGCTTTTGTAGCTTGACCTTTTGATGTGAACATAGAAATTTCTTGGTTCTTGTTTTCAGTAAAATACTATGAGAAGTAATATTTTCACTGATGTAATCAACTTTTTAAACATGACTTTTCTTTTAATAAGGAATTAAAAACAAATATGATTTTTAAAAACATCTTAAAATTGAAGTATAACATGCATATAAAACACACAAATTTTAAAGGAAAACTAATGAAAATTACATTCTATATTTGTGTCATTACCACCCAGATAATTATTTGCTTCAGCAGCAGCAATAACAAAATAATCAGAACAAGAAAAAGTAACTGTAACCACACAAAAAACTTTGAAGCAAACATGACAAAATGTTAGTTTTTGGCATAATTCATATGTGGTTATACTTTTTATTGTGCTATTTTCTATACTTTTCTGTATCCTCATTCTATAATTAAAACACTTTCAAGTTAGCAGAGAATTTTGCATTAAAATTAAACTTCGCTGACTGCCAAAACAGGGTTGGTAAGATAGGGAAAGTTCAGTTCACATTGAGTTCAGTTCCATTGGATTTCAGGATATTTTAGATGACATTTCAAATTCAAATATTGAAACACTTGTTCTTTTTCTCTAGAATCTGACTTTCTTGTTGATCTCGATTTATTTTGGTCCCTTCCCTTTCCATATGTAATAGTAGAAAAGAGTAAATTCAAATGTTTTACCAAGTTTCTCTACATGGAATCATTAGTGTGAACCTAATTGCCTATGATATATATATTGTTATCTCATTTTGATTTGAATTTGCATTTCTTAATACCCAATGATACAGAGAATTTATTTTTAATGTGCTTTTTGTGTGCATATATATCTTTTTGCCATTTTTTAAATTATCTTTTTTATTTTGAAATAATTGTAGATTCACATGCAGTTTTAAGAAAAGTAAGAGAGACCTCATATACCCTTAATACAGTTTTCCCCAATGGCAACTGTAGTTGTAAAACTGTAGTTCAATATCACAGTCAAGATATTTGATACTTTTGTTTGTTTGTTTGTTTGTTTGTTTGAGACACAGTCTCGCTTTGTCTCCCAGGCCAGAGTGCAGTGGCAGGATCCAGCTCACTGCAACCTCCGCCTCGTGGGTTCAAGTGATTCTCATGCCTCAGCCTCCCGAGTAGCTGGGACTACAGGCACACGCCACCAGGCCTGGCTAATTTTTGTATTTTTTATTAGAGATAGGAATGTTTCACCATGTTGGCCAGGCTGGTCTTGAACTCCTGACCTCGAGTGATCCAGCCGCCTTGGCCTCCCAAAGTGCCAAGATTACAGGTGTGAGCCACCATGCACAGCCTGACATTGATACTTTTTAAGGTATAGAATATTTCTATCACCACAGAATTATATCGCTCATCTTGCTCTTGAATAGCCATACCCCCTTTTAAAAACTTGGCTTATCTTATTATTGAGATGTAAGAATTTTTTATTCTGGATCTTTTGCTTTTTTATATTCTAGTTTGTTAATGTGAATTATACTGGTTATTGAGAATTATAGTGATTATTTATTGAATATTAAATCAACTTTGCATCCTGGGGTAAAGTGCACTTGGACATGATATGTTTTTAAATGTATTTTCATATACAGTATGGTTGAGTTTTGAACTTTGTGTTTTCTGAGGAATTTGTACATTTCTTTTAAGGTAAAGAATCTATTACAATAAAATTGTTCATAATATACTCTTATTACCTCTTCTTTTTTTTTTTTAAAAAGTTACCTTTTAATGTCTGTACTAGCCATAGAGAGATTACCCTTCATTCTTCATGCTGATAATGTGTCTATTCTCTTCTTTATCTTTCTAACTTTTTAAAAAAGTTAAAACTTTAAAGAACTAGCTTTTGAGTCTATTGATTGTTTTTCCTCCATTTTTTGTTTTCTATTTTAATTATTTGTGCTCTTTATTATTTCTTTTCTCCTGCTTACTTGAGCCTCAATTTGCCTTTTTTTTCCCCAACGTTTCTTAAGGTAGAAGCTTAGACCTTTGATTTTACATCCTTCTGCTTTTCCACTGTAAGCAAAATATATGAAAATGGTTTTCAGACTTTGGACAATAGGCAGCACAGGAGAGTAATGCTAGAAAGAAAAAAATGTATTTAACAGTAATTATTTTTAAGAATTTGAAAATACATTAAAGTCAAACTTTATCACTACCACCTAAGATGTGAATACCTTGACGTAAGACAAATTATTCTACTGTTTTAGTGTAAATGATCATACTCATTCATTAACTAGAATTAGAACTATTAACATTAGGTGAACATCATTTTCAGAAAATTTTCTTCTTTTTATTTAAGTTGAGACAGGGTCTCACTCTTGCCACCCATGCTGGAGTGCAGTGGCACAATCGCTGCTCACTGTAGCCTTGACTTCCTGGTCTCAGGTGATCCTCCTACCTCAGCTTCCTGAGTAGCTGGGACTGCAGGTGCATGCCACCATGCCCAGCTAATTTTTGTTCTGTGGAGATGGGTTTCGCCATGTTGCCCAGGCTGGTCTCAAACTCCTGGTCTCAAATGATTTGCCTATCTCAGCCTCCCAAAGTGCTGTGATTACAGGTGTGAGCCACCATACCAGACCTTCATTATGCAATATATTTTTTAATATTATTATATGGTGAAGAAAAGAGATTTTGGAAAGCTAAGATGTTAGAATCATTGTTTAGTTATTTTAAATCCATGTTGCAGCTGTAGAGAGAACCAGTGTATTTCTTAGTGAGAAGCATGAGAACATTATTAATTCCACACTTCTTTTCATCTCTTTCTTCCAATTTTTTGTTAGTTTAATTATTTAATTTTGTAAAAATTTTTTTGAGACAGAGTCTCACTCTGTTTTACGCAATTCTCGTGCCTCAGCCTCCCAAGTAGCTGGGATTACAAGCAAGTACCACCACACCTGGCTAATTATTTTTTTTAGATTATTCAAAACTTATAACATTTCCATTCTGTTTTGTAACTCAAATTGCCAAAATTGCCTAATACTGGTTTCATTGGATGTGTTGTCTACCATCAGCCCTTTTACCATAGTTTAGTTTCTGTATCCCTGAGTTTGTTATTTTTATTCATCATCTTCTATATATCTGGCTTTTGTTTTCAGTATTTTCTTCACAGAATATTTCTTTTTTTTTTTTTTTTTGAGATGGAGTTTTGCTCCTGTTGCCCAGGCTGGAGTGCAATGGCGCAATCTCGGCTCACCACAACCTCTGCCTCCCAAGTTCAAGCGATTCTCCTGCCTCAGCCTCCCGAGTAGCTGGGATTACAGGCGCCCGCCACCACACCCGGCTAATTTTGTATTTTAAGTAGAGACAGGGTTTCTCCATGTTGGTCAGGCTAGTCTCGAACTCGCGACCTCAGGTGATTCACTGGCCTCAGCCTCCCAAAGTGCTGGGATTACAGGCGTGAGCCACTGTGCCTGGCCTTCTTCACAGAATATTTCTGTGGCATATTTTATTCACCTTCTCATATTTGAAACTGTCTGAAGGTTCTCATTTTCTCTCCCACACCTCCTTCCACTATTTAGTCAGAAGAAGAAACAAATAAATAAACCTACCAAACTTGTTTCTCTCTCTAGATTTGGGGATTTTCATCAGAATTTTCAGGATTTTGTCAATTTTTCCAAGGGGCTGCTGCCAGGTAAGGCAGGATTCAGTCACACATGTACTTCTTGAGCCTGCTCTCGGGTTTTCTCCTTTATCATCCATCATTGACCCCAGTACACCTATGACTGTGGGCTTGGGCTCATAGAAGCATTTTTTTTACCACATGTTACCATGGGACAGCCTGCGATTTATAGCACATATATTGTTTAGTGAGATTGTTTAAAGGACTGTATATACTTTGTCCACTCCCACATAGGCTTGAGACTAGTATATTTGGTATTACTAATTTGGTAAGCATTTAATGAGCATGAACCACCTCTCATACCTGTGGTAACGGTTAAATGAATTTTAAGACACAGTCACTTTTGTAGTATAGCTCCTAGTTTTAACTTGCCAGGTAAGTCATGTGCTTTTATTCTGTTCTCCAGATTATAGAGGTATGGTAGACTTTGAGGATATTAAGTTTGGGCTCTAGTCTATTTGTTCAATGTACTACTCTTCTAAGGCAAAACTTTAAAATTGTGATTTCACAATTTCTACCTATTACCATGTCTAGAGATGTGACACATTTATTCCTTTTGATATTTCTTTCTCTTTCCTAGCCCTCTTCTTGTCAGATGTAGATGTGCTTATACGTAACACAAAGTATTCGATAGAAAAATGGGCAAAGTAATAGAAAAACAGAATAGAGACCCGGAACAGTAATCATCGTTCAACCCGATGCTTCATCAGGATCATGCCAATTAAAGCAACTGAAATATTCTGTGCCTATCAGAGTAGCAAAAGTGACAAAATCTGATATATCAAGAGTTGGTGATGTTTTTATTACTATGGGGTTGATGAAAGAAAAAAGAATTGGTGAGGATATAGAGAAAAAGGACTCTCATATGCTGGTAGTGGGAGTATAAATTGGTAGAACCACTTTAGAGAGGAATTTGTCCTCTCAAATTCCTCAAATTGTATACAGAAATAAATACTCCACCTCTCAGAAGTTCCATTTCAGGGTTTACGTTTTAGGGAGAACTTCTTCAAATATGTTCTCATGAGAACATATTTGAAAGAATTTTCACTGTAGCATTGTTAGTTGTATTCAGAAATTGAATACAGCTCCATTAATGGGAGAGCAGATTACGTAAATGAAATATTGTAAAGCAGCTAGAATGAATGCGTAGAGCTACGTGTATTGATAATAAAACTCAAAAAAAAAAAAAAAACAACGCCCATCCAATTTCAGGATAGTGGCTGCCTCTGGGGAGGCAGGTTATCAGTGTAGAACAATGAGGAGGCTTCAGGTACTTTAGAAGCAAGAATACTAACATTTAATAAATCTAGGTGATGGATACAGTGGTGGTCTCTATACCAGGCTAATCAATCAAACTTTCTATCCTCATAGAAGTCTTCTATGACTGCACTGTAAGTATGCTCACACCTGAAATGTAGCTAGTATGGCTGAGGAATCTATTTTACTTTTATTAAATTTTAATTTAAATATCCACTTGTGGCTAGTGCCACTGTGTTGGACACTGCTGCTCTGTGCTTTTTAGTGTGTTAACACAGTTAATAGTAACTACTTTTTTTTTCTTTTTTGAGACAGAATCTCACTCTGTTGCCCACGCTGGAGTGCAGTGGCACGATCTTGGCTTGGTGCAACCTCCACCTCCCAGGTTCAAGCAATTCTCTGCCTCTGCCTCTGGAGTAGCTGGGATTACAAGTGCCTGCCACCAAGCCTGGTTAGTTTTTTTTATTTTTAGTAGAGACAGGGTTTCACCATCTTGGCCAGGCTGGTCTTGAACTCCTGACCTCGTGATCCACCCACCTCAGCCTCCCAAAGTGCTGGGATTACAGGCATGAGCCACCACGCCCAGCCTATACATTTATTTTTAAAAGAAGATATTCAAGCCAGGCGTGGTGGCTCACGCCTGTAATCCCAGCACTTTGGGAGGCTGAGGTGGGCAGATCACGTGAGGTCAGGAGTTTGAGACTAGCCTGGCGAACATGGGGAAACCCCATCTCTACTAAAAATACAAAAATTAGCCGAGTGTGCTGGTGGGTGCCTGTAATCCCAGCTACTCAGGAGGCCGAGGCAGGAGAATTACTTGAACCCAGGAGGCGGAGGTTGCAGTGAGCCGAGATCGTGCCATTGCACTCCAGCCTGGATGATAAGAGTGAGGCTCCAACTCAAAAAAAAAAAAGAAGATATTCAATGATTTGGCAATTCTGCTTCCTAGTAAATTCTCGCAGATGTACTTATGAAGTCATGTGCAGGTATTTTTGTTTTCAAAATCTGTGTGATTCCTGAACTGAGGTAAAAGTCTGGATAGTAAGAATATGGAGAGTCAGGAATTCTTTCTTTTTTTCTGACTTTCATGTAGTGAGATTTAGGATAGTGATCTGAATTGTAACATTGTTTTAAATAGGAAAACAACTGTAAATAGCCTAAATTTCCATTAATAGAGGAATGGATTTTTTTTAAAATGTAGCCTGCTAATATAGTACTCTAGAGTGGTTACAAGGAATGAAGTAGACTTGGATATAGAGGTGACATTCAAATGACTTAAGTAGTATGTATGGCACCAACACCAGCCAGTAAGAATGGATGTGGACCACAGTTCTTTGTTCTCTGCTGTATATTACCTGGGGGAGTGGCTTACAACAAAAGCTATTTACTAACTAGTATTGAGTATTCCATTTTAAAAAAAGAACTAGTACTATCAGACAGGCATACCTGGTGAATATTCTTCTTATATGTATCAATATAGGAGGGTTACAGAAACATGCTGAGTGAAAAAAGTAAGATGCGAACAAACCAGATGTGTGTTAGTTTCTTAGAGCTACTGTAACTGACCACCACAGTTACTGAGTACTGCTGATATAAATGAAAGATACTTAGTGTCTTCTAGAGTTGTCTGAGTACCACAGCTAGGTGACTCCTAACAATAGAAATTTATTGTCTTCTGTAGCCTGAAAGTCCAAAGTCAAGGTGTCAGCGGGGCCATGCTCTCTCTGAAGGCTCTAGGGGAAGACCCTTTCTTGTGTCATCCTAGCTTCTGGTGGTCGCAGGCAATACTTGGTGTCCCTTGGCTTGCCATCTATCTACATCACTCCAGTCTCTGCTACTGTCATCACATCCTTCTCTCAGGAGGTGTCTGTCTCTGTGTCTGTCTTCCTCATCTTACAGTCACCAGCAGTCATACTGACCTAGAGTCCACATTAATCTAATGCAGTCTCATCTTGATTATATTTCAAAGACCCTCTATCCATGTAAGGTCACATTCACAAGTTTTGAATGACATAGATTTGGGGGGAAACCATTCATTCTAATACATTATGTATGGTACTATTTATGTGTACTAGAAAACACACAAAGGAATGCTGGTTTTTGGTTTTTTACATATATATGTAGGTACATATATGTATATATGCAGATAAAGTAATTGAAATGGTCTAGAGTATACACACTAAACTCAAGATAGTGTTTGTTCCTCCATGGGGGAATAAAGTGAGATATATATATTAAAAAATATTAACAGTTGGTAATGTGAATTGTGGGCATATAGATGTCAATTGTTTTTTGTACTTTCCCAAACATATTTAATTTTTTTAAAAGAGTTGATATTATATAATGTTACTGTATAATACTCTATCATATATAACTTATGGAATTTATTTTTGAGAGAGTCTTCTCTGTCGTCCAGGCTGGAGTGCAGTCACTGCAACCTCTGCCTCCCTAGTTCAAGCGATTCTCCTGCCTCAGCCTCCCAAGTAGCTGGGATTACAGGTGCACGCCACCTCGCCTGGCTAATTTTTAGTAGAGACGGGGTTTCACCATGTTGGCCAGGCTGGTCTCAAACTCCTGACCTCAGGTGATCCATCCACCTTGGCCTCCCAAAGTGCTGGGATTACAGGCGTGAGCCTCCATGCCCAGCCAAACTTTTATATTTTTTACTTTTCAATTCTAAATAATATTTAACCACCATGTAGTGAGTATTTGTTATATGCCAGCCTCTGAGTGGAGAATGCAGTCAGGGTGGGCTTATTTGTAATGGGGGATGCTGGGTGATGTGGGGCCAGAGAGTTAAACGAGTGAAAATATGTGTACGGAAGCCACCTGTATATACTTGTACTTTCAAACATATTGACATGAAATTGAGTGTGGTATTCCTTTGTGTTTTTATTCTTTTAATCTGTTTCTGTACTCCCTTCTCATTCCTAATATTGTTTGGAATTTTTTTGCTGTTGTTAGACTTGCTAGAGAATGATCTATTTTAATCCTCTTTTAGTATATTATTTAGATTTAATTCTGTTTTCCTGATTTCATGGATGACTGTTGTGTTTGTTGTTGTTTGTATTCCATATTCTCCTTCTCTTGAATTCTTCTGGATTTGTCCTGCTGTTACTGTGTTGAGGAGGGGCAGCTAAATACTTACATGTGTTGTGGTGTTTTGTTTTTTTTTTTTCTCCCGGAGATGGTACATGGGTGGTTCATGCTGAGTTTATTTTGCATCATGCTTATGTGGTAGTTTCTCAAGATGCAGAATTCTAGAATCATAATGCCTTCCCTCAAAAATCTTGAGACATTGTTCTGCTGTCCTTCAGATGTGTAGTGTTCAAGATGGGAACTCTAACATTAGTCTGCTTCTTTTTCCGTTGGTGGTAACATGTTCTTCTGTCTGGAAGCCAATGGAACTTTCTCATATACTGCAAATTCATTAATCTTGCGAGAATGTTTTGATTGTTTTTCATGATTTTTTTCTTGGAATGTTGAATGTTTTTCTTTTCCTCTCAAAGAAATTTTCTCATATTACTAATTGTTCT
Organism: Homo sapiens; assembly: GCF_000001405.40. Taxonomy (NCBI): domain Eukaryota; kingdom Metazoa; phylum Chordata; class Mammalia; order Primates; family Hominidae; genus Homo; species Homo sapiens. The sequence goes on along the minus strand of NC_000018.10, from coordinate 49,260,500 downwards.
GTTTTTCTTCTAGTTTATTTCTTCTGGAATTTTTAAGTGGCTATGACGTCTGCACTTTTCTCTTATAGTTTCTGTGGAGAACTTCTCAGTTTGGTCCTTCACATCACAAATTTAATTTTCCATAGTGCTCACTCTGCTACGCCCAGGCTGGAGTGCAGTGGCAACATCTCGTTTCACTACAACCTTCGCCTCCTGGCTTCAAGCGATTCTCATGCCTCTGCCTCCAGAGTAGCTGGGACTATATAGGCGTACACTACTACACCCGGCTAATTTTTTGTATTCTTAGAGAGTCATCATTGGGCCAGGCTGGTCTTGAACTCCTGGCCTTGGACTCCCAAAGTGCTGGGAATACAGACATCAGCCACTGTGCCCAGCTGCCATGATACTTTTATAATCTTAAGCGACTTTGCTTTTGTTCTGTGATTTTCCCTTTTCATAGCAGTCTCTTCTTATTTTATGGATGCAATATTCTGTCAAATCTCACTAGATATACTAATCAGAATTTTTTTAAAAAATTCCAGCTTCCTAAATCCTCTCTCTTTAATTAGAGGTCTGTTTGCTCTCCCTGTTCAGTTTCACAGTTTATTATTTATTTATTTACTTTATAAAGTTTTTATTATGAACACTATGAAACTTAAACATAATTGGAGAAAATAGTAGCATGGATCTTCATGTAGTCGTTATTAACACTGTGCTGTTCTTATTTCATCTACCCACTTTACCCTCAGCACCTTTTACGTTTTGATTTCTATTTTTTAAAACAAATCTTCCGTATAATTTCATGTGTAAACATTTTAGTGTGTTCTTTCAGTGAGTATGGACTTTAAAAAATATATCATACCATTAGTACATTCAATAAAATCAACAATAATGTTTAAATTCTTCCTAACAATTTATTATTTCCAGTTATCTTTAAAATATCTTCTAGAGTTGATTTGTTTGAATCAGATTCCAACGTCTACTGCATTTAGTTCTTAAGACTCACAAATCTATAGCACTCTCTCCCTATCCCAGCTTATTTTACCCCTTATTTGTTGAAGAAACTGGGTTATCTGTTTAGTAGGATTCCCCGAATTTGTCTTTAGCTGATTATGTATCATCACGGTATTTAACGTGTTCTGTCCTCTGTATTTCATGTGCACTGGTAATTAGAAGAGAGTCTTGATTTGGTTCAGCATTATCACTTTCTTAGGTTGAATGTCTTCACTTGGTGGTTTTGTTATTCATCTGTAGTTATAAACACAAGTCTAACTAACTTGTTTTGCAAGGTGGTGGGTTCCCCCCTCTGCATTTGTGAGTGGTGGGGAGTCTGCTGTACTCTGTGGATGTGTGCCTCTTCTTAAGAGAGAGGGCAAGAATCAGCCCAGCAGTCTCTTCCTTTTTCATGCATAGGTAGAGAATAATGTGGCACAGTGACTCTCCTTGAGTCACGGAGAAAGGTTGCAGGAGTAACCTTAACGAAAGAGAACATTAGGGAGTTCTAGTGCTCGGCTGAGCCTGTTGGTTTGTTTTTTTTTTTGTTTTTTCCCCCATTTTACCTCTTTCTTTGGGGCAGCCCAGATTTGGCTGCTATGCTGCCCAGTATTCGCACCTGTCTGCCGGCCTGCCTGCCTATCTCTCTCTCTCTCTCTCTCTCTCTCTCTCTCTCTCTCTCTCTCTCTGTGTGTGTGTGTGTCTCTGTGTGTGTGTGTGTGTGTGTGTGTGTGTGTGTGTGTGTGTCTATGATCCCTAGGTTACAAATCTACAGTGGAAATGTCTTAACTTAGAAAACAGTTCTTGCTTACTTAGGCCCGGAGGTGTGCGCCAGAGCTGCCTACTCTCCACAGCCATGGCAGAGCACTGGAGCATCTCTCCTTGAAGATCTGGACTCATTTGCGTGGCCTCTGTCTGTGCTGCTTAACTCACCTTCAGAGCAAAGTCATCGTTTATCAAAAATTGTGGACATGGAGTAATTCTTTTGTCTGTAAAGCAATCATTTTTTACTTAAACTTTTCTTCCCCATTACAGATACTAAAAAATATTACTTGGTATTCAGAACGAGTTTTAACTGAAATCTCCTTGGGGAGTCTCCTGATCCTGGTGGTAATAAGAACCATTCAATACAACATGACTAGGACACGAGTAAGTATTCCAGCTGCTATTCTATCTTTTTTGCATACAGTACAATTAAGACGATAGTTTAAAGCAATCCCAATTTTTAGGATGCTAAAATTCTCGTGACATATGGTAGAAAATACCGGTCACTGTATAGTCACTGTATTACATGATCCTAATGTAACATAAGGTCTTAATATTTAATGGCTTGTATGATTGGAGATATTTTACATGAAATAGAAAACAAGCAATGCAAAACATTTAGATAAAAGCTATTGTATGTCTTTATTTGGCCAGTAACACTGATTTGCCTTTTTTAATAGCAGCAAATAACAAAGTACAAGAGGATATGAGCACAAGAAAATATGAATTAAAATGAAAAAGAAAGGTAGAAGAGAGAATATTTTAAAGAGTAAAAGAAAAATTTCTGCTGGATTCTCTTCACAGTACCTGGGAGCAAATTTCAGTTCTGGTTAATAGAAATGTATTATTAAAGAGAAGCAGTGTACAGAATTCATAGCTAAGAGAAATGGCATTTTTTTTTTTTTGAGCTACGATTGTGCCACTGCCCTTCAGCCTAGGCTGCACAGGAGTGCAGTGGCACAATCATAGCTCACTGTAACCTCCAACCCCTGGGCTTAAGTGATCCTCTTGCCTCAGTCTCCTGAGCAGCTAGGACCACAGGCATGTGCCACTACACCTGACTAATTTTTTTTTTTTTTTAAATAGCCAAAGTCTCGCTATGTTGCCCAGGCTGGTCTTGAATTGGTTTTGAACTCTTGTCCTGAAGTGATCCTCCCACTTTGGCCTCCCAAAGTGTTGGGATTACAGGCGTGAGCCCCTACTCCCAGCCCATTTTCAGTTATTTTCCTCCGTGGGGCTATTGCAGATACACATTCATGTTTTTTATCTGAAACCCTAGGAGCCAGCTATGTTTTAGAAAGCAGAAGTTTTTGGATTTTAGAAAGATAATTATAGTTTATATACTCTACTATGTGTAACCATTAGGGCCTTAAGTAGCATGCTGTAATTAAACGTTATATTTCTGTAGCAAAATATTTCAATATTCACCATGGAGGGAATAATGAAGACTGTCAGGAACATCATCATTTTTTGTGTTGTGGAAAAAACTTTGAATTTTCAGTGCTTTATGGATTTAGGAATTAGAAAAAAGAGATAGTGGATCTGAACTTTCTAAAATCAGTGACAACTGAGTTTACATTTGCTTCTATTAATAGTTAACCTTGGTTAAAATATAGAGAAGACTTGATTGTATGTTTTACACCCGCTGTTTCCTCACAGGACAAGTACCTTCACACAAATTGTTTGGCAGCTTTAGCAAATATGTCGGCACAGTTTCGTTCTCTCCATCAGTATGCTGCCCAGAGGATCATCAGGTAAATATGAACTTTAAAAGAAATACTGATTTGCCTCTGGCTGAGCTATTAAGATGGATACTATGGTGGTTCCTTTTTAAATGTTACCTGTGAGGACTATCAAATTTTCCTACTTAATTTTTATCACCTTCTTGTTTGGTTGAAAATAGCTCGTTCCATTTTGTTTTCTAACCTAACTTTTTGATCAAAGTTAATTGTATTTACATTCAATCTTTTTATAAAATGTAATTTTAAGTGTAATGTTAGTTTTTTAGAGGAGCAGGTATATTTCTTAGTAATGCAAATTAAATATGAATGTATTTGATGCGCATTTTATAGAGCATCACACTACACTTTTAAGGATTTATCTGTGTGCGTTTTAGAGAATTTTTATAGCAGTTCACCCGTGTATTAGTTTCCTATTGTTGCCATAACAAATTACCAAAAATTAGTGGCTGAAAGCGCAAACTGGTCATTTTAAAATTCTCTAGTTTAGAAGTCCACTGTGGGTCTCACTAGGCTAAAATTGAAACAGAGCTGCATTTCTGTCTGGAGGCTGTAAAGGAGAATCTGTTTCCATGCCTCTTCTAGGTGTTGGAGGCTGCCTGCATTCCTTGGCTCATGGCCCCTTCCTCTGTTATCAAAGCCAGCAACAGTAGATTGTTGAGTCCTTCTCATACCTCATCACTCTGACCTCCTCTTGTGGTTCCCTCTTCCATGTTGAGGACTCTTGTGATTTCCTGGACCCTTCCTGATCCAGGATTATCTTCCATCTCAAAGTCAGAATCATAATCACAAGGTCGCTTTTGCCATGTAAGGTAACATTCATAAGTCCAGGGGATTAGGACATGGACATTTTTGAGGGAGCCATTATTCTGTCTGCCAGAAACCCTTGTCTCTTCCCCACCCATTGCCAAAGACATGACTTTTTTTTTTTTTTTTTTTTTGAGATGGAGTCTCGCTCTGTCACCCAGGATGGAGTGCCGTGGTGCGATCTCAGCTCACTGCAAGCTCCACCTCCTGGGTTCACGTCATTCTCCTGCCTCAGCCTCCCGAGTAGCTGGGACTACAGGTGCCCGCCACCACACCCGGCTAATTTTTTTTTGTATTTTTAGTAGAGATGGGGTTTCACCCTGTAAAGACATGACTTTGAAGGATAGGAAAGCTAACTAACCAGTCATAAGTGAATATCATTGCAGGGCTTTTTAGCATATGGGGGTACTTTTTTGACTTCCTGTAGGATGTTCAGTGTTGTCCAAGTAGGTCTCAAATAGAACCCCAGTGAAGTCATATTGTTTCCTTTAATTCTTACTTTTGGGGCAATGCAGGGTTTCTCTTCTTCTTTTTTTTTTTTTTTTGAGACAGAGTCTCACTCTGTCACCCAGGCTGGAGTGCAGTGGTGTGATCTTGGCTCGCTGCAACCTCCACCTCCTGGGTTCAAGTGATTCTCCTGCCTCAGCCTCCTGGGTAACTGGAATTACAGGCACACGCCACCACGCCTGGCTAATTTTTGTATTTTTAGTAGAGACAGGGTTTCACCATGTTGGTCAGGTTGGTCTCAAACTCCTAACCTCATGATCCGCCCACCTTGCCTCCCAAAGTGCTGGGATTACAGGCATGAGCCACTGCGCCCAGGCTTTTCTTGTTTTTTTAAAGACAGGGTTTCACTCTGTCAACCAGGCTGGAGTGCAGTGGAGCAACCACAGCTCACTGAAAGCTCAAACTCCTGGGCTCAAGGGATCCTCCTGCCTCAGTCTGGGCATGTGGTTTTGACCATTCAGTTTTGTTTAGCAGTCATTGGTGGTGATAACAACTCCGTATCACTTTTAAATGCTGATCTCACATTCTCTTCATTGGTTAGCCATTGATTGACCTGGGCTCATTTTTAACTTACTCAAAATTAAGTTGTCTGTTTATCTTCAGAATTTAGTACAGGATATTTTGCATTGACTCACTATTTAATTTATGTCTGGTCTTAATACATTCTATTAGATTGTTTTTTGGGTTTGTACTTGAGAGATCATCTAGTTGACTGACATTGGAATAATGTGAACTTCACGATTTAAAATAAACATAGCAGTCTCCTCCTACCTTGGAGTTTTTCAGGTATTCTGAAGAGCCTTTAGTTTCCAGGAGTTAACCTTTGTCACCATGCTTTATTTCACCATAACAGAGTTAATGATTTCTGTGCTGCTTTGTAGGCTGTTTTTCTGTTTATGTGCAGTTTTATAATGGTTTCATGAAGATTTCATTACACAATTAACTTTTCTCAAATGATAAATGAACATTTAGCTTGTTTGATATGAAAATGCCAAATTAGCTGGTTGATAATTTAAGTTCTGATAAAATACATTTAGCACGATTAAATGTTTTTGAGATGCAAACAATTTTTTAGTTGGGAAAAATGCATATAAAAACACTGTGTCCAAGTTTTAATCTGTGATGGCAAAAGTAGAAAATAAACCAATCATATTTGAAGAAATAAGAAACATAGTTTAGATTTGTGATTTGAGAGCATTTAGATTGTTTATCATCAATAATGAGTAGTGCTTTACTTCATTTTAATAGATTGTTAGTTAGCATAATATGAATAACGAACTATGTTAAGCAATGCAAGAAGTATCAAAATAAATAATAAAGTTTCCTGACCTCAAGCAGCTTGCATTTCAGTAGCAGGAATAAGACCAGGACCCATCTATGTGTGTATATATATATATATATATATATATATATATATATATATATATATGATACAAGGATCTTTTATACAGCAGAATGTTATATGAAATATATATTATTATATCTTAATATTACAATGAAAGAAAAATTGCTATGGAGGGGGTGAATGGCTGGTTCCAAGAATGGCAAGAAGGCTTCTCATTGAAAGATTAAGCAGGGTGGCTACAGAAAGATGACATGATAGATAAGAGAAACTGGCCTGATACAGCAATCATCAACTACAACAAACCAAAGCAAAACAAGAGAGGGACTATGGTGAGAGAGCATGATTTATATGTAGAAAATAACCAGTTTCATGGAACTGGCATGCTGTGGACCTCTATGGGGATCACAGGTGAGAGGCCTGAAAGAAACAGCTGGGGCTATTACTGTGGAGGGGCTTAAGGGTTGGACTCACAGTTTAGAATAATCGAAAGGAATGGAGAGAAAAGAAGGTCTTTTCTTAATAACAACAAAAAAGAAAGTGTGATTGAATGAGTTTTTAAGTGGATTTTGAAGAAAAGAATTTAAGGTAAATTTCTTGAGTCACCTGTTTGAGCAGATGATAGTATCATGGTCTGTTTGTCGCACTGAGGGAAGTGTAGTTCTACCCAGCTCCCACATGCTGCCAGCACTTTTCTTGTTCAAGGACCACATTTGAGTAGCCGGTGCGGACCAGAGCATCGTGTCATGCAGGAGGGAGCTTGTTGGAAGTGCGGAGTGTAGGTGTGGCTTTTGACCTACTGGATCAGAGTCTTCTTTCTAACAAGATCCCCAGATGATTTGTATCCACATTAAAGTTTAGAAAACACTTTTGAGTTTTGGCCTGGAAATCATTATGTATTTCCTGAGAAAATATTTGTCTTGAGCTGGAAATGGGGGCCAGCTTTTTTGTACTTTGAGGAAACTCATTTCCTACTAAATATTTGTGTTTAGGGTATAGAAATGTAAAGTATGATAAGGGATGCATGACAAAAACTGTTTAGATACCCAGAAGGGTTATTACAGCAGTACAACTCAGAATTCACCAGATGCTCTAGTAACCACTTCAAGTGAGAAGTAAGCAGTTTTCATATACATGATTCCTAAATCCTCTTTTAGAAAGAGACTACACAATTTTATATTTGTCAGTTGCAAAACTTAGAAGAGTCAGTATTTCACATGATCTTCAACAAAATGCAAAACAGATAACATGTTACATTGCTATGAAAGGATGTGGATAAATCTTTGAAAAGCCTCCTTAGCTGGACATAAATGTAAGGAATGATTCCTTACAGTACCTAGGCTGTTGCTCATACTTAATGACCATGTGCCTTCTACAGACTCTTGGTGTTCTAGGAGAATCACAGATCTAATTTGAGTTTTGCTTAACTTTGTAAGTCTTTTGGATATGCCATAAGTGTGCATATTTGCTGCGTTCTTTATTTGGGATTATGAGGTTATTGAATTTCAAGACATTTATAAAGAGTAGATTATATGCAAGGCATTGCTTTAGATTAGAAAGATACCATTTACTTCCAGCCCTTAAGACTGTCCCTTATTGTCTCTCATGTCCCTCCACTGGCTGTTTCCTCTGGCTTCTCCTTCACCCTTTGATTAACAGGTAGTTTTCTCTAGTATCTCATTCTGTCTTGTTTTCTTCTGTCTTTACACATTTTCTCTGGGAGATCACATATATGTCTATGACTTTATCTACTGTCATTTGTATACTGAAAATCACCTGATAATGGTTAGGCTTTGTGTCCCCACCCAAAATCTCATCTTGAATTGTAATCCTCATAATCCCCACATGTGAAGGGAGAGAACAGGTGGAAGTAATTAAATCATGGGGGCAGTTTCCCTCATGCTGTTCTCATTCATGATAGTGAGTCTCAAAAGACCTGATGGTTTTACAAGGGGCTCTTCTCCCTTGGCTGTGCCACTCTTCTCCCTGCCACTTTGTGAAGAAGGTGCCGTGCTTCTCCTTCACCTTCCACCATGATGTAAGTTTCCCGAGGCCTCCCCAGCTGTGCTGGACTGTGAGTCAATGAAACCTCTTAACTTTATAAATTACCCAGTCTCAGGCAGTTCTTTTTTTTTTTTTTTTTTTTTTTTTTGAGGCAAGTCTCACTCTGTTGGCCAGGCTGGAGTGCAGTGGCACAATCTCAGCTTACTGCAACCTCCACCTCCCAGGTTCAAGCAACTCTCCTGCCTCAGCCTCCCAAGTAGCTGGGATTACAGGTAGGTGCATGCCACCATGCCTGGCTAATTTTTGTATTTTTACTAGAGATGGGGTTTCAACATGTTGGCAAAGCTGGTCTTGAACTCCTGGCCTCAAGTGATCTGCCCACCTTAGCCTCCCAAAGTGCTGGGATTACAGGTGTGAGCCACTGTGCAAGCCTCGGGCAGTTCTTTATAGCAGCGTGAGAACTGACTATAACACCACCCAAATCTAAATTCATAATCTAGATCTTTCTCCTTCACTGTACTGGCAGACAGTACAATGTAGAGGATAAGCACATAGCCTCTGAAGCCAGACTGCCAGGGTTTGAGATCTCAGCTCCAGAACTTTACTACCTATGGAATCTTGGTGATGATGTTCTTTACCTTCTCTATGCAGCAGTTTCCCATCTGTAAGACGGGAGCGGCAGCAGCTGCTATCTCAAAGGATTATGGTGAGGATGAAGTGCGTTGACATTTGTAACGGCCTCGCACATAATTTGCCCTGAGTAAGCATTAGCTGGCTGAGCACCAACCCCACTAGGTTCACCACCTGGGTATCTCATGCTTACTTCAGACTTTCATTATGTTTAAAACTGAACTCGTTTTCAAACCTACTCTTCCTTTTAAATCCCCTGTCCTAGGTAATGGCCCTCACCACAGTCACCTAAATTGCCAAGCCAGTTCTGTAACTTTTCTCCCTTTCTCTCAAATTCTATCTTACTGGACCCTGAAGTTGTACCTAACTGCCATTGTAATTTGCATGTATATGCTCTTCTCTTTCTCCATGGCTGCTGTCTTGGTTCACATGTGTGTCGTCTTCACCCACACTATGCCAGTAGTCTGACTGGGTCTTTTTGCCTCCCTACTCACCCCTGCACACTGCTGTATTCACTGGAAAAGCAAATCTCATTGCTTCTTTTGCTTAAAAATATTAAATGGCTTCCTATTGCTATCAGGTTAAAAATCTGACCTGTGCTCTTCACTGTGATTTTGCCCCCCAGGGGACATTTGACAATACGTGGAGATTTTATTGTTATTGCCAGAAGTGGGAAAGAGGTTGCTACTGACATCTAGTGGGTAGAGGCCAGAGATGTTGCTAAACATTCTACAATGCACACTACAGACCCCACAAGAAAGCATTACCCAACGCAGAATGGCAGTAGTGTCAAGGCTGAGGATCCCTTTCTTAAAGTGACATAGTCTGGGCCCTGCCCTTTGCCCTTCGTCTTCAATTGCCATTTGCCATATACCCACTGCTTCTGCTTTACTGAATCATTACAGTTCCTTGCTCTTTCACAGCTATATCGCTGAATCTAGATAAATGTGGTCTGGAACTAGAAAAAAGTTGAGGCAGTTCTTTGTGTCACCTCTTTTTTTCTGTAGGTTTTTCTTTTTCAACCAGCTTCCCACCCCTTTATTCCATGTCTTTTATCTTGAACCTGCAGTGGCTTCTTCAACTTGCTGAGGTCTCCCCAGTTCAGCTCCTAGGCCTTTTGTTTGGACCAAGCTGCTGCTAACATAGTTGTTTCATATTCCCCATTCTTCAGATTACAAAGAGAAAGAACCCATTTGGCCCTCTTCATCTCTTCGTAGCAGCCCATGGATCACTGTCAGTTTCTGGCCTAGGGGCTAGTTACTGGGGCTAGAACAGGAAGGAAAGACCCAGGAAAGGAGAAAGCTACATGTTAGAAGATCTGGATATGGTTACCTGGCTTCTTTCAGAAGTAGGTGTGGGAAAGATAGAACTTCCAAGTCTTACCTGTCCAGTGTAGGTACTTACAACATACTGGCCTGGCCTGGAGTTGCAAGTCCTGTTGCTTAAGCAGAGTAATAATTACTGGAGATAAAAGACTTATTTTATATTTCTTTGCATTACTTTACAGAGAGTTGCTCTCTCTAGGCACACAATAGACTTTTAATAAATAGTTAGTGACTGATTCTTAGAAGATGGGCTGGCATCTGGAATTTAAACTTAGTTCTGGCACCCACTATTCTGAGACTTCATGCAAGTTGATTAGCATCTGGCTATATTTTGCAGATGTCTGCTGCCGCTTGAAACTAGTGAAGTTGATGATCTGGTGTCCATAAGATGCTTTAGACAGTGCCAGACTCTATTGAAAGCTTTCTGGGTTTTCACACCTCTTGAGAATAAAGTAATACAAAGTATAGATTAGGTTTTAATTAAAACAATTTTATGAGAGCAATACAGTTATTTCTGATAAAATTTAATCATGCAATTTAAGAACTTTAAAATTCTCAAATCCATGACTTATGCTTTCACTTTTTCTCACAGCCATCAGGAGTGAGTATATACACTTCAGATTTTAAGTGTATGGTTGTGCAACTTCCGTGTAGTAGTCTCAAGCTGGCATTTTATATGAGTTGCCTTTTCCTGCCCTGCACTCATGATGACACATATTTTAATCACCCAGCATTTTTTTGAAGACTACAAAACAGAAGTTGGTTGTTGAACTACGTGGTCAGCTCCTCTATTTTGGGCAAATAAGATCTTTTAGACCATTCAGGCTCATGGAATTAAAGAAAGAAAGACAATTTGCCCCCAGCCTTCATTTAAATAATTCTTTAATAGTAACTTACCCCAACAGGCTTCCTCACTTCTGTTCCCACTGAATTAAGTTTTCATGGGTTTTTTTCTCAAACATGAAAGGGAATATTAATAAGCAAATTGACCTATTTGTTGGGATGAATTTATATTACACACACACACATGCACAATTCAAATATGTAATAACATAATATATGATTATGATAATTTTAGAAATATTGCCTTATTTTTTAAAAAGTCCATTTAATGATAAATTTATACCTGCCATCCTCAGTGTCTCACCACTTATCTCTCTTGTGTTACATTTAAGGCTAGTTGAAGTCTGGAGGTTTAGACAGTCGAGGGTATTGACTCTTCACAGCTGGTAAGTGGCTATCCCAGGTTTGTCCAGATCAAAAGCCTGGCTCACTCCAAGAATGGCAGAATACTCTTTCTGAGAGTGACTCGCTCACCATGGGACCATGGATCCAAACTCCTGGGATTGATCTGGAACAGACAGTTCTCTACAATCTAAGGTAGCCGTGCCCTTGGTGGTCATTCAGTTTGCTTTCCCCTAGCCCTGATTCCACCTGCCTCCCAATCTATCTAAGTACCTAAAGTTATAGTAGCAAAGACAGGAAGGTCTTTTCCACTTTTTTAGAACTGACATGTTTGAGACAGGTATGGATGTGTTCAGGTATTACAATACATGGTATGTGGAAATTATCCTGGAAAAGAGTGATAAGAACTGTGTGTCTTTTAGCCTGAGACAATAATATTTTTTATATCTAATCCTTGATATTAAACTTTATTTTTAATTTAATACTTATGAATGCCTACCACTGCTGAAGTCCTCTTTAAGATATGTTTTTATTGCAGACGAATGCCATTTGTTGTATCTAGAAATTAAGTGTTATAGTTGGTTTTTTTTTTTAAACTTCGATTTTATTTCAACCTCATATTATTGTTAGCACTGTAGTCAGGAAATTATTTCTTTAGGGAAGGAATTATCTGATGGTAAGAATTGTAATGAATGGTTCAGTTCTGTTTCCAAAACCTTGCTGAGTTATTTAACTTATTTTTCATCTCTTGAATGAGATATCATACCTACTTCATTTGAGTGGTGTAAGAGTTAATGATGGCTTGTAAAGTCTTGCATCTCTATTTTCTCTATTATAGTATTATAACATTTTTGAGATATTTTGAATCTAAAAATAAATCTGGATAACATCTCTACAAAAGAATGTATTGGTCTCTGCTAATATTGCAAGATTCTGATTCCCTGCCCAATGGATTTTTGAATTGCCTATATTCCCCAAATATTTTTCTAACAAAGAAAATGAAGATCTCACTGAACATAGATAGAAGTTTTTAATAATTGTTTTATTGTAGATTGGTAGGAGATCTGAGCAATGGCTTGCAGTATAAATACTTCTCTTAAATGTATATGATTTCATTTTTTAAAAGATAGAATTAGCTTGCTCTTGCCCAATGCCCAGGCAATAAAAAGGTTCCAGTTTCTTCATTCCTTTGGTCTTTGCTGATCCTTGTTTGATCTTGGCATAGCAGTAACCAGGAAAGGAAGGAGGAATGTTTGTCTTGAAAATCTGGCTTCCTGTATTTCCTACAGCCAGTGGTACTTTGAAGGCAGCTAAGTTTTTCAGGGAAATCTGGCTTGGTTTGCTTTTTTAGTTTAGTCCTTTCTTAAGGAGTTACATTGAGAACATTTAGACAGCTCCTCTCTGAAAATTTATAAGTTTCCAGTAGAAAATGGTTACCTATTCAAAAAATTGCTAGTATTGTACAACAGGGTGTCTTGGCAGACTTGATGGGACACAAGAAAACTTCATAATTGGTTTAATTTCAGTTTAGACTGCTGGCACATTCAAAATGTCAGCTTTAAAGAAACATGTCATATGTTTATCAGATTGTTTATTTCTTATAAGTAAAGACCTTTGTGGACAAAATTGCCACACAGCAAATTAAACTTTAAAATAACTTCCATAGAGCTTTATTGAATGTCACCATCATGTTACAGAGGTAACTTGGTGTGGTTCAACTTTGTCCTCTTAGCCATGAATTATTAAGCCTCCATTCCTGTTTATTTTTATGAAGGTTGTAAGATTTTTACCTACTTTCAAGCTAACAAGTTTACCTGCTACAGTTTTGTAGATTCTGGTAGGACACCCAAGACTCCTGGGTCAAGGACAAAGGACAGTTTGTTATTGTCCTTTTTTTATATTTTTTATCATAAATTATTACTCGCAGCAGTAGTAGGAGCCAGAATATTCATTTCTTGTGTGGTTCCCATACCCACAGGGCAACATGACAAGGGCCAGGTGACACCTGTAAGTGCAGTGGGTTGCAATACAGGAGCGGAACCCAGAGCTTGGGAATCCCCAGTCTTTTATGATAGCCTTCAAGCACACCTGCCCAACCTTTGCTTTGAAGGGAGACATCTTTAATGTATTTGATAGTAAACTACTCTCTGCTCTAGAGAGAGACACCATCTCTGTCTTCCAAGTCTGTTCACTCTACAAGCATCCACGCAGAGATAGCCCGGAGCACAAGGCTGCTAATGCCTCTGCTTTTAAGATGTGCAAAACATGAGAGAGTGGGGAATTGTCTCCCAACACTCCTTACCTAGTTATGAATTTCTGTTGCCATTGGAAAAACCTGTCACTGTTTCAGTAAGGTAGCCAGTTGATACTGCTCTAGGTTTTATCTCTCAGTTGCTAATGCATTGTATTTAAATATCTTAGAAGAAGCAAAGGATGGAATGGCCTCATTCCTCTTTGCTTTGTACATGTGTCATAATGAACCTCCAACTCAGATGTCAGTGTCATTAACTCCACCTCTAAAGCCTTATTTACAAGTCATAAAATTATAGACTTAGAAGGACCTTTAAAGATCATCTAAGGCAAATTTCCACATTTTACATATGGGAATATTAAAATCTCGAGTTATGTGACCAGTCCAAGTGAACACTGTTGCAGAAGCAGACAAAAAACCAAGTCATCTAGGTTCATAGCCTAGTATTTTTCCCAGAACAGAGAGAAAAGAGGCACGCTTTCTCTCTGTCTTTTACAAAATTGTGATATTTGATATGTTATAAAATGCTAAGGCCAGATAAGAAAAATAGAGTGACTTAATAAAGCATTTTCCTTCTTGATGAATTGCATGTGTTTCATGGACTTTTAAAAAGTACCTTTTCCAAGACAAAGAAACAGTGTTGTGTTAACAGGAGAAATGGGAATAAACAAAGGTAAAAAGATTTAAAGTGGCTCACGTGTCCAATGTAAATACATACTGAATCAGATGTTGCAGAGATAGGACAAACAAGGGAAGAGAGAATGCTTCCTTAGGAGAGACAAGGATAGTTTGGAAAAGCTAGCTTTAAAAAGGTAGGTAGATAACTCCCTATCACAAGTATTGTGAGTTTTCCGAGCATTTACAATTTGTTCATTTGTTCAATGTCCTTCAGTTTCCTCCTTTACAAACTGGGACTACTGTCCTAGGGCCACTGTGAAGACTAAATGAGTTAATACATTTAAAGTGCTTAGAATGGCATCTGCTGAATAGCAGTCACCTATCGGGGGAACCAGCCCCCAATATTTCAATGTAGGTTCTTTTCTATTTTTCCTAAGTGTCGGCTGGTCTGAGAAATAAAGAGAAAGAGCACAAAGAGAAGAATTTTACAGCTGGGCCGCCGGGGTTGACATCACATATCGGCAGGTTCTGTGATACCCACCTGAGCTGCAAAACCAGCAAGTTTTTATTAGGGATTCTAAAAGGGGAGGGGGTGTACGAACAGGGAGTAAGTCACAAAGATCACATGCTTCAAAGGGCAATAAAAGATCACAAGGCAAAGGCAAAATTAGAATTACTGATGAGGGTCTGTGTCCCACTGTGCACACATTGTCTTGATAAACATCTTAACAGGAAATAGGGTTCGAGAGCAGAGAACCAGTCTGATTAGAATTTACCAGGCTGGAATTTCCCAATGCTAGTAAGCCTGAGGGTACTGCAGGAAACCAGGGCGTATTTCAGTCCTTATCTCAACGGCATAAGACAGACATTCCCAGAGTGGCCATCTATATACCTACCCCCAGGAATGCATTCCTTCCCCAGGGTTGTTCCTTGCTGGGAAAAGAATTCAGCAATATTTCTCCTACTCGCTTTCTGCAAGAAGAAAAATATGGCTCTATTCTGCCTGACCCCACAGGCAGTCAGACCTTATGGTTATCTTTCCTTGTTCCCTGAAAATCGCTGTTATTCTGTTCTTTTTCAGGGTGCACTGATTTCATACTGTTCAAATACATGTTTTACAAACATTTTGTACAGTTAACACAATCATCACAGAATCCCGAAGTGACATACATCCTCAGCTTACGAAGATGACAGGATTAAGAGATTAAAGTAAGACAGGCATAAGAAATTATAAAAGTATTGATTGGGGAAGTGATAAATGTCCATGAAATCTTCACAATTTATGTTCAGAGACTGCAGTAAAGACAGGCATAAGAAATTATAAAAGTATTAATTTGGGGAAGTAATAAATGTCCATGAAATCTTCACAATTTATGTTCTTCTGCTATGGCTTCAGCCAGTCCCTCTGTTCCGGGTCCCTGATTTCCCGCAACAGTTACCCAGTAATTATCAAAGGAAAAAGATCTTCCTTGTTAGAGGGCTCACAGCACCATGTCTTGTTCTTGATGGTGCAGTAGGTATTTGAATGAATGATGAAATTCTGATACTTGAATTGAGCTAAAACAAATGGTTAAAATCTACTGGCTCTATAGGTAAGGAGGAACCAGTGTGCCTATAGACTACCTTGTTTTTGGGTTTTTTTCTTCTTCTTCTTCTGTGAAGCTGGTATCCGTCACACACATACTGGATCCTATGCAATCGGTTATTTGTGTTATCCAATAATATGAGTATTATTTATATTTTATAATGAAGAAACTAAATGTCAGAGAAGTAGCTTGTCTATGGACAGTGACAACATTGGTATTTAAACCTACACCTGTGCTCTGTCTACAACACCTTCCTTTGCCAGTGCTTCTTATAAGTGAAGTTTTAAATTAAAAACAAGTAATTTGTGTACTTGGTCGTTTAATATAACACTTTACTTAGGGGCAGTTGTTGCCAGTCTTTCTAAACATGTGATCCCCCTGTTGACATGTTTTTAAAAACTCATTGACTATCTTTCAGTAGTTACTGACTGAAAAGATTTGAGGGTGAATAGTGGGGGTCCCAGACACCCTGTGACAGATGGTCTAAGCAGCTTTTCCCAATCGGAGTTCATGAGAAAATCAAGTCCAGCGGAGAACCAGTTAAGTGAGGATTTCCTCAGTTCTCCCAAGGAGATAGTCATACGTAGCAAATACCCTCTAAATGAGTAGGAGAGAAGTTAGTTGATGACAAAACTTTTGCCTTCTTAGGAATCCTGGTTTAAAAGATCTGTGAGGACTTCGGGGTTTGAGGTCCACTGGTTAAGAAAAATTACTATAGGAACTCAATGTGACACTCCTCCTGTTAATGACTTTTTTAAAAAAAAATCTAAAATGTGCCTGCTTTCTTCATTAGTCAAACATGAAGATTATATTGAAGCGTAAGAGTATTTGTCTATTCTTTACTGAATAAACTTTCATGGACCCATTAGTCCTGGAAATTCAGAAGTATATACAACTCTGTCATAACTTACTGCCTGATATCGACATAATAATGGTATCTGAGTACATAAGCCAATCAGAGACCTTCATAGCATTATGAACTTCCAATTTAGGATCACTCAGTATTAAATGAATCACTGAGATTCTAAGTATGTTCTCTGAGAAACTAAAGAGACTGGTTCTAGCAATGATTTTTTTTTTCTTTTTTCTTTTTTTTTTTTTTTGAGACAGAGCCTTGCTTTGTCACCCAGACTGGAATGCAGTGGCATGATCTCTCAGCTCACTGCAACCTCCACCTCCCAGGTTCAAGCAGTTCTCATGCCTCAGCTTCACAAGTAGCTGGGATTGCAGGCACATACCACCACACCTTGATAACTTTTGCATTTTTAGTAGAGACAGGGATTTACAATGTTGGCCAGGCTGGTCTCGAACTCCTGGCCTCAAGTGATCCACCATCCTTGGCCTCCCAAAGTGCTCATATTACAAGCGTGAGCCACCACGCCCAGCCCTAACAATGATTTCTTCGTGGAGTATTTTAAACAAGAGTAGGTATTTAGGGGACATATAATCATTTATCAGATATTTTCTGTGTGGCTACCATGTGTCAGACATCTCCAGGCATTGGCAATTCACACCATAGACTCATGCTGTCTTCAGAGAGCTTATTGTCTAGCAGGCTCTGTGTTTTACTGTGATGAAAGTGGGACCCAGGAGAAGGCAGCCCGCTCACCTGAGTGTCACGGAAGCCTTACCAGTGAGATGATTGATGCTTGAGTTATATCTGGGAAGAGGAGCAGGTCTCCTCTTTTAAAGTAGCGAGGAGGCAGCTCTTTTCTCTGTCCATCTGGCTCTTGGCCGTTCCCTAAGCTTCCTTTAGAAACCCTAGGTATAGGCCGGGTGCGGTGGCTCACGCCTGTAATCCCAGCACTTTGGGAGGCCGAGACGGGTGGATCACGAGGTCAGGAGATCGAGACCATCCTGGCTAATACGGTGAAACCCCGTCTCTACTAAAAATACAAAAAAATTAGCCGGGCGTGGTGGCGGGCGCCTGTAGTCCCAGCTACTCGGGAGGCTGAGGCAGGAGAATGGCGTGAACCCCAGAGGCGGAGCTTGCAGTGAGCCAAGATGGCGCCACTGCACTCCAGCCTGAGCAACTGAGCTAGACTCCGTCTCAAAAAACAAAAACAAACAAACAAAAATAACGCTAGTTATAACTTGACGTTTTTGGGTGTACTTCCCTTTCAGTGACCTACAGAAGACGCAAAACTTCCTTCATCGAACTTGACTCCCACAAGGTGATGAAAATAAACCATGTATTAAAATACAACCCATCTAGAGGCTGTGTGTCAAGCTGACCTTCATCCAATTTTAATTTGTTTTCTTACTCAGGAAACTTTATTTTTCAATGTATATTACAGTTATAAGATGGTTGAAATACTCAGATTACTTTATGCATTTTTATTGTTATTATTATTTTTTGAGACGGAGTCTTACTCTGTCACACAGGCTGGAGTGTAGTGGCACTTCCCACTCAGTGCAACCTCCGCCTCCCAGTTTCAAGCGATCTTCATGCCTCAGCCTCCCAAGTAGCTGGGACTACAGGCACACACCACCATGCTCAGCTAATTTTTTTGTATTTTTAGTAGAGATGGGGTTTCGCCATGTTGGCCAGGCTGGTCTCAAATTCCTGACTTCAGGTGATCTGCCTGCTTCGGCCTCCCAAAGTGCTGGGATTACACCCGTGAGCCACTGCACCCAGCCCAGATTACTTTAAATTAGATCAGCAGTTCTCAGCCACAGTGGAATGGTGGGGTGGGGTGAGAGCAAGTGGAGTGTAACTCCAGGCAGCCTGTCTGACTCATCTTTGCAGAAAGACGCCTGAAGAACATGTGTGGTGCATGTTGTAGTGCTGGGAAAATGGTTGATAACTCGCAGCGTAGAAGGTGACTTATCGTAGAAACTGAATTTGTACATTATTAACTTAACGACAGTCGAAGCATAATTATTATAGAAGCCTCAAATGAGTGATCAGCTTTTTCCTTTTTAATTTGAAAAATTCGAAATATGTTTGAAGAGAATTATATAATGAAACTTTAGATTGTCAGCCCCTACCTTCGGCAGATATCAGTTCTTGACAAACTATTTCATTTATTTCCCCTCCTTTTTCTCCCTACCCTGGATTATTTGGAAGCAATTCCTGACATCATTTCATCTATCAGAATTGCATTATGTAAAGAGGTACATTTTTATGAATATCCATTTATTATTTGGTCCCTCTACAAGTGGTGGAGAGAAAAATAAAATCAGGTTACCACCATCTTCCAAAACATGGAAATTAGCCATAGTTTTGGTCCTTAGTCATTTAGAATCTGATTGAGTTCGGGGCTTACTCTATCACTCATATTGCTAGTCAGTGTTATATGGATGCTGTCTTATTTAATTATAAGTCTAGCCATCTATAAGGTACAGAATTTCTGTTTAATAGGTGAGGAAACTGAGACTCAGACTGAAACTTAGCCAAGGTCATGTAGCTAATAGTGTGGAGCTGAAATTGAAATCCAAGTTTGACCCTAGCGTAGAAATGTTCTTTTTGGCAGACCTGACATTGATAAAGCTGAAAAGGATAGGCAGACATCATCTACCTTATACCTGCACTCAGATTCTCAGTTGTGAGTGAGTAGAATGTCCACTATATAAAGTTTCTGTGCAGTCTTGGATCACTTCTGTGCATTGATTCTCGAAGTGTGTTCTGTGGGCCACAGAGAGTCCATGGAGTCTAAGCCTTTTATAATAAGACATCATTTGCCATTTCCACTGTGCTGACATTTGCATCAAGGGTACAATAGCAAAGTTGGGGTAAAACTGCTGAGACCTTAGCATAAATCAAGTGGTGCCTAACTGTACTAGTACTCACTATATTTTCCACAACCACACACACATTTGTGGTAAAATAAAAACCATCTTCACTGAAAAATGTCCTTGGCGAAATAGTAAAAATGATTAGTTGTTATAAATCTTGACCCTTGAGTACATCTTTTTGATATTTTCTGTTGTAAAACTAGAAGCTCACATAATGCACTTCTACTCCATACTGGGTTCCAATGATTGTCTTGAGGAAAAGCAGGTGTGTGATAGAGTTGTGAGCTGAACTAGCCACTTTTCTGATGGAATAGCATTTTTACACGAAAGAACATGAGACAGTCTTGGCAGAGAGGAAACTGCCAGTGTTGGTTGCCAATAAAAAAAATTTTCAAGTCAAAATTAAAATTTCGAAAAACTTATATTTGGCATCATGAGTTTGACAACTTCCTAATAATTTAGACTTTTGTTATAACATCAATGATGTTAGTAAATATGGATTTTAAAAACTATTATTTGATGAAATGTGTCAACATTTGGAAGATCTGCATAATTCAGTGAACCAATATCTCTCAAATGACTAAAGGGGCTTTTTCATTAACTGTATTAATGTTAACATGTAATGTGTTTATTATTAAATTTAAATGAATTAGTAAATATTTAATATTTTCTCAGTTTTAATATCTGTCAGTATAACTGACATATGAAAAAATTCTTTGGGGTTCTCATTAATATTTTTAAGAGTTGAAAGGGGCCCTGAGAAAAGTATAAGAACCAGCACTCTAATGCCCTTTCAGGATGAGATAGGTAGAGTGGATGTGAGCATGTCTGTATTACAGAGTTCAGTGTATATACTTTTAAATATCTACTATTTCTGAATTATACCTTCCTTCCATCAGTATAATCAATATTTAACTATATTTGTATTATTCATGCTTCCATTTAATAAATATTTATTGAGAACATAGTTATCAGAGGTTGAAAGAGAAGGGGTATACAGAATATATAAATCATGTTTATTCTCTGTAAGAGCTCATGGTCTCTATTCTAAAAAGTCATAAAAAAACAATGTTACTGTACTAAATTGCCTTTTAAGTTTATTGCTTATCTTGCCTGGGTGTGGTTATGAAATAAATTTGTTGCTGTTGTCTATTTCTGTGTAACAAACTACCCCAAAACTTAGTGGCTTAAAACAACAATTTGTAATGACCTCCACAGGGCTTTGGGTTGATTGCTTAGCTAACTGATTCTCTACTTGTGGTCTCTTGTTTGCCATCGTAGAGCAGCTGGGCTGGGTGTCCAGTGTGCTCCCATCTCAAGGCTGGCAGTTGATGCTAGCTGGGAGATCTGTTGAGGTGTTGCCTGGAACACCTCAGTTCTTCTTCTTGTGACCTTGCTATGAAGCTTGGCCTCCTCACCGCAACGCAGGCAGGTTCCCAAGAGGGGACATCCCAAGAGTGGCAGAAACTATAAGGTTTCTTATGGCCTAGCTCAGCTATCCCTGAATGTTACATTTTATTGGTCAAAAGCAGGTCACGAGACCAGCCCAGATTCAAGAGGAAAGAACCACAGAAGGGCATAAGTGCTGGGAGATGTGGTTCATTTGTGGCCATCTTTGGATGCTAGCTGCCACAAGACTGCTAGGAGACTGTTGAATTAAGTTTTATAAATTATTGCTTATTGTAGCTGGGAAAATGAATACTTTCATTCTTAAGATCAATATCCAGGCTTCTGTTCAAAATAGAAAATTTAAGCTGAATCCATTCAAATGCTATTCTTTGCATTTTTTTCCTTTAATTTACATTTGACATTAACATTCTCTCCCTGACTTTTTCCCATAGTTTCTTCTGATGAGCAGGAAATGTCCACTATCTAGTACAGGTGTCTTCACTTATAGTCAAAATGGAAGAGGAGCAAGTGCACAGAGTTCCTGTAAGATGCATGTTCATGTGGCTGCACTTGCTGGCCACTGAGTTGTTGATATTGACCAAATCTTGTCTTTAGTCTGAGAAAATGTAGGGCTGTGTTATCTTGTGGCAGTGTGGCAGGCTGGATGTTCACTCTGACAATAACAGCTCAAGTTCTATACAAGAGAGGCTGAGGGGCAGCATTTGGAGGGTGGAGTTTGAGGGTTGTTTGCAAGTGCCATTTAAACAGCATTCACAGTGTCTCCAATTTGATTATGTATTCACAGTGGCTTGGAAATCTGGCTGGAGGAGTGTTTCTTTTTTTTTTTTTTTGAGACGGAGTCTTACTCTGTCACCCAGGCTGGAGTGCAATGGCATGGTCTCAGCTCACTGCAACCTCTGCCTCCTGGGTTCAAGCGATTCAGCTGGAGGAAATTTGATAGGGAGATGCTTTAGCTAAAGCTCCCCCTTGGTGGTGCTGTTGCACTATAACTTCCAAAGAAAACATCTTTTTTGTTGCTCATTTTTTTAAGCAAACATTTTATTGGACACTAAGGTGCACCAGGCTCTGTGCTAGGCTTAGGGGAACTAATACAACAGTTAATATCCTTATAGTCTAATCCTGGCTATTAACTTTCTTAACATCAAGAGTGAAGAAATAATATTATTATATACTATTATATTAAATAATAATATTAATACATAGCTAATTAATTCAAGCCAGATCCATTGCTGCATGTAGACACTATGGAGGCAGTAACCAATTTGCCTAAAGATGATGCATTCACAAATTTCACAATTTTAAAGGTTACTTAAAAGGGTATCACATAGCTCTTAAATATAGCTTAAAATGCACAGTTTAAGTCTAATAAGAAAATTGCAGTTTAAAACTTCACTGACATGCTATTTCTTACCTATCAGATTAGAAAAATCCATTTTCCAGGTTATGTGGAAACAGACCGTCTCAAAATTTTCTGGTTGAAGTGTAAATTGGTACAACTCCTATGAAGAATGTGGTAATATCCATCCAAATTTCAAATAACATCACCCTTTGACCCAGCAATCCTACGTGCATTTGTGCAAAATGACAATGTACTAGTTTATTTTGGGAGTATTTTTTATAATAGCAAAAGATTAGGAACAACTCAAATATCCACCAACAGAGACCTACTTAAATATGGTACATTGATCTAGTAGTGTGCAGCTGTAAAAAAAAAAAAAGAGTAAGGTACTGATGGAAGGCTCTTTCAGATATATTACGTGAAAAATACAAGATATGAAATAATACATGTAGTATGTGATTAGTGCAGGGGAAAATAATATTTGTTTGCATTTATCTTTGTTTACATGCAGAAACTCTGGAAGGACACACAAGAAACTGATAAAAGTGGTTATGGGGTGGGAGGAGAGCTAGCCTTTTCACTGTGTATGTTTTTCCTCTCATCTCTTACCATGTAAGCACCAAAGGGGCAGTGATCTTTATTTTTTTCACTAATGGTATCCTTATAACAATACATGGCACATAAATATTTTTAGAATAAATGATTCAAAAATAACTCAAAGAACAAAAGTAACATAAGCTGATTACAAAAAATAGAGACAAACTTGAAGCCAACTGTTAATATAATGTCTGCTTCCAAGTAATCCTTAAATTGATGTCTTGTTGTATAACACTCTAGATGATTTTCTACTTGCGTATATGCAATTTAAAAAAAAAGTTTTATAGGCATTTTCCATAATATAATCTATGTTGAAAGATATATGGCCTCAAAATATCATTGAATTTATCCAGTGAATATTGCTAATGCCATATATTACGACATTTAAGTTGTTTATATAAATGCATGTCTAGACACATACAAACAGCTCTGGAAAGAAAATATTCACTCATGCATCAGAGACAGTGTATGACAGTGTGAACACTGGAATGGGAGACCCACCTCCATTTCTTGCCAGCCGTGTGATCTTGGGAAGTTACCTAACCTTTCAGTGTGTACAGTCCTTTAGTACTTGTCCCATAAAGTGATTGATTCCCGGGTTCCAAGCAGGAGACCCTTATGGATAATTTGCTTAATAAAATTGAGCATGAAGATACCTGGATAAGCAACTGCAGGAGAGTTTCTCTCTTCAAGAGGGTAGGGCTAGGTGAACTGCTCCCAGATCTGATGTGTGTCTTGAGCTTCGTTAAGCAACAAGGAAAAAGACTGAAAGTCTAGCAGGAGCAAGTTCAAGATGAGGGACCACTGATTCCTTGGTTCACCTTGCTAAGTTATATTTGCAAAGAGCAGATGGTTTGGACTAATCTGACTCTCGCGTGCATGTTGTTTTCATCCTCTACCTCAGAGGCTGGGAGTTCTGCAGGCCCGGCTCCTACGGAGTGGCCTTTTGGGAGCAAGTTCACATTTTCCTATTTACTTACGTTGTTATTTTTAAAAGACTTTGTTTTCATTTCCCATTGTTAATTGGCTCTTGGAATTTACCCCTGCCTATTTCCCTTCCTGAATCTTGCCATTTATAAAGCAATTTCTTCTTTCCATATATTAGTTTTCCTAAAGTGGGGTATATTTGATCAAATTCAAATAGTTCTGAAGTACCAGTAACATGACTGAGAATGGCTATTTATTTATTTATTTATTTTTTTTTTTGAGACAGAGTCTCGCTCTGTCGCCCAGGCTGGAGTGCATTGGCACGATCTCAGCTCACTGCAAGCTCCGCCTCCTGGGTTCACACCGTTCTCCTGCCTCAGCCTCTCGAGTAGCTAGGACTACAGGCGCCTGCCACCACACCCTGCTAATTTTTTGTATTTTTAATAGAGACAGGGTTTCACCGTGTTAGCCAGGATGGTCTCAATCTCCTGATCTGGTGATCCGCCCATCTCAGCCTCTCAAGGTGCTGGGATTACAGGTGTGAGCCACTGTGCCTGGCCTATTTACATATTTTTTAAAAATTTGTAAATGGGCATTTCGCAGGCCATTCTCATATAAGAGGGAGAATTGGAAGTCCTTTGAAATATGTTTTTTAAAAAGGTTTTAATTTTTAAGTTATCCAAAGTGACACCTGTAATGTGAATAGGACATTCCAGAACAAAAAAGTTGAAACAAAATTATCAGTGTTTTATACAAATTTTGTACTCCTTGTGTAGCTAGAAATCAAACGTTTCATATTAAAATGAGAATTGAATTAGTTTAAACAAGTTTTGTTTGCAGAAGTCTCTGATTCCTTATGAAGAGGAAAAGAATATGAAAATTTTATAGTATTATGTTTTTATATTGCACTTACAAAATTGAGTGAATATTGTGTGATGATCGAAAGATTTTAGGCATTTTTTCAAGCCACAGTTTTTTTTTTTCTTTCACAGTGATATATGGTACTTACTGGAAATTTTACTTTTATTTCCTACCATATCATTTGCACCTGTTTTGCTGGTGTGTGTTGATTGGTCTTATTCTATCTCGTAAGTAATTACTGACCCTGACTGGTCTAGACACTGACTGGTAGCAGTGTAATGTCAGGCCACTTAAAAAAGGACTTTCTTAAAATTGGGCCACAGACTAAATGTTATTAAGTTTGAAGTATCACACCATATCTTTGTTGCAACTAAGAAAGTGAAAATAGGCCTTATTAAAGTCTGTTTAACTTATATCATTACATCTATTTTTAAATTTTTTTCACAACTTGAATAGTATTTCACTTTAGCTTCTGTTATTCTTTAGCTTTTGATCATGATATTGCTATGTGTTGAAAGGATTTCATCAGGTGTATCAGTCAGATTTAGGTTCAACTGTGAATAAGAGAAAAACCTAAAATCTGAGTATCTTAAAGAAGAAATAATTTCCTCTATCTCCAGGTAAAGTCCAGAGCAGTCCTTCTGAGACTGATAAGGAGGCTCTGCTCCAGAAAGTCTGTATTAGCTTCCATTTGCTGCTGTAACAAGTTACTGCAAACTTAACTGCTTAATCAACACAGATTTGTTATCCCACAATTCTGTAGATCAGAAATCTGACTTGGCTCTGCTGGTTTCTCTGTTCCAGGTTTCACAAGGTTGAAATCAAGTTGTAGGCCTGCTGGGTTCATATTGGGAGGCTCTGGGAAGAATCTACCACTAGGCTCATTAAGGTTGTTGGCAGAATCTAGTTCCTTGTGATTGTAGAACTGAGTTCCCCCTTGCCTTCCTGAGGGCTGCTTAGCTCCTGGAAACCTCTCTCTGGTCCTTACATGTGGGCCCCTGCATCTAACTGGCACATCAAATGATGCTTCTCATGCTTGAAATCCCTCTGACTTCTGCCACATGTCTCTGACTCCAGACAGATAAAGTTCTCTGCTTTTAAGGGATCATATGATTAGATTGTGCATATTTGGATAATCCAGGATAGTCTCCCGGTTTTAAGGACAATAATCTTAATTATGTCTGCAAATTACCTTTTGACCTGTAATGTAACATGTTCACAGGTTCCAGGCATTAGGGCATAGACATCTTTGAGCAGGGGAAATTCTGCCTATCACACAGTCCTCGGAGACTCACACTCTTTTCAGATGCACCATCCCCTAACCATCCCCTAGGGTTTCATCCTCCTTCTTAGGTCCAGGAAGCATCTTAGTTCAAGCCACAGGATAGGGGAGGAGGCAAACAATAAAAAGTGAAGTGAGACACTGGGTGACTTTTCTTTTTTTTGAGACAGGGTCTCTGTTACCCAGGCTGGAGTGTGGTGGCACAATCTTGGCTCACCGCAATCTCCCCTTCCCGGGCTCAAGCAATCCTCCCACCTCAGCTTCCCAAGTAGCCAGGACTACAGGCATACATCACCATGCCCAACTAATTTTTTTCTATTTTTTGTAGACACAGGGTTTTGCCATGTTGTCCAGGCTGTTCTCGAACTCCTGGACTCAAGCAATCCTCCTACCTCGACCTCCCAAAGTGTTGAGATTACAGGCATGAGCCACCATGCATGGCCAGCACTGAGTAACTCTTCAGTTTTGTTGTTGTTGTTGTTGTTTTGAGGTGGAGTCTTGCTCTGTTACCCAGGCTGGAGTGCAGTGGTGCGATCACGGCTCACTGCAAGCTCCGCCTCCCAGGTTCATGCCATTCTCCTGCCTCAGCCTCCCGAGTAGCTGGGACTACAGGCGCCCGCTACCATGCCCGGCTAATTTTTTGTATTTTTTTTAGTAGAGACGGGATTTCACCATGTTGGCCAGGATGGTCTCGATCTCTTGACCTCGTGATCCACCCGCCTCGGCCTCCCAAAGTGCTGGGATTACAGGTGTGAGCCACCGCGCCCGGCCAGCACTAACTCTTAATGAAGGTTCTCAGAAGCTGCCAGGAGACCTTCAATCTAGCAATCCAGAATTCACCATGGGATCATACTTAACAGCAGTGGAAGCTGAGAAATATAGTCTTTATTAATTGCAGCCATGTGCTCTACTAAAAAAAATCTGTTAGTGTAGAAGAAAGGGAGAAATGGATCATTGGGGAACAGTCAACAGCCTCTGCCCCACCAAGTGCATTTATCTAATCATTGGAAACCAGCAAACTGGAGGGAGTGATAGCACAACTACTACATTGTGGGAGTGGAGCAACAGCACCATCATAGGCAAGTTAGAGGGACATAGGGTTAGATTGAAGAGAAATCTGTCATGTAACTACATCTGAACACAAAGATTTTATACCTGAAAGAGCATCTAGAAGCTATTTCATCTGACTGAAAAAATGGATGCTTTTTTTTTCATCTGACTGTTCTGCGAAAGGTGTTTTTTTTCTTTTTTTTTTTTTTGATGGAATCTTGCCCTGTCACCCAGGATGGAGTGCAGTAGCTTGATCTCGGCTCACTGAAGCCTCTCCCTCCTGGGTTCCAGCAATTCTCCTGCCTCAGCCTCCCGGGTAGCTGGGATTACAGGTGCAACACCAAGTCCAGCTAATTTTAGTATTTTTAGTAGAGATGGGGTTTCACCATGTTGGCCAGGCTGGTCTCAACTCCTGACCTCAGGTGATCCACCCGCCTTGGCCTCCCAAAGTGCTGGGATTACAGGCGTGAGCCACTGCACTGGCCGAAAGGTACATTTTTAGATATTGTATTAAATCTCTGCTAGACACCCCCACAGTTTGTAACCAATCCATGTATTTTTGTATTATATGGATCTTTAATTCTTACAACATCTAAATACCTTATCTACTGAAAGGGAGTGTGAAAGTACACTTTAAGTATAAGAAATTCCGTTTCAGGCTGGGCATGGTGGTCACTCCCGTAATCCCAGCACTTTTGGGAGGCTGAGGTGGGCGGATCACCTGAGGTCAGGAGTTCAAGACCAACCTAGCCAACGTGGTGAAACCCGGTCTCTACTAAAAATGCCAAAATTAGCCAGGCGTGGTGGCGCGCATCTGTAATCCCAGCTACTTGAGAGGCTGAGGCAGGAGAATCGCTTGAACCCGGGACGCAGAGGTTGCAGTGAGCCGAGATCTCGCCACTGCACTCCATCCTGGGCGACAGAGCAAGTCTGTTTCCAAAAAAAAAAAAAAAAAAAAAAAAGAGGCCGGGCACAGTGGCTCACGCCTGTAATCCCAGCACTTTGGAGGCCGAGGCGAGCAGATCACGAGGTCAGGAGATTGAAACCATCCTGGCTAACACGGTGAAACCCCATCTCTACTAAAAATACAAAAAATTAGCCAGGTGTGGTGGTGGGTGCCTGTAGTCCTAGCTACTCGGGAGGCTGAGGCAGGAGAATGGCATGAACCCACGTGGATCTTGCAGTGAGCCGAGATCGCGCCACTGCACTCCAGCCTGGGTGACAGAGTGAGACCCCTTCTCAAAAAGAAAAAAAAAAAAGAAAAAATCAAAAAAGAAGAAATTCTGTTTCAATCAAGTAGAATTTCCGTATGGCCAGCTAATACAGAAAGTGATAAATTGTGCAAAGTATATGAATATGGAAAGTGGGGGGAGCAAATAGTTCCAAACTAGGATAAAGCAGAATACTTCATAACGTACCTGTCTTTCAAACAAGATCTTATCGGATGAATAGTATTTCAGTAGGTAAAAGGCAGGGGAACATGAAAATCACATGTGTAATTTAGAAACATCAACAGATGGCAAGAAAAAGAATTTTGGAAGGTATATATAACTGAATATTATTATAAAGGAATTACATGTTTTAAAATTTTTTATCTATGAATACTAAGTTTTCTTGTCTCCAACCTGTGTTCCTTTTCTTGCCTGCAGAAGTAAAATCAGATACAGACGTTGCAGTTTTAAGAGTCATGTTGATGTGACCCTCTTCAAGGCTAGTTAGTACTTACAG
This sequence comes from Homo sapiens, assembly GCF_000001405.40. Lineage (NCBI taxonomy): Eukaryota > Metazoa > Chordata > Mammalia > Primates > Hominidae > Homo > Homo sapiens. Next base: position 49,231,837 of record NC_000018.10, on the reverse strand, counting down.
TTTGTATTTAGAGGAATCTTTGACTAAGATTCCTCTGGTGACTTTTTAGCTCCAGATGTGCTAGTACACTACGAAGCATTGTAACAGCTGTTTATTTCATTAGAGTTGGATCTAGACTGCCACTACCTCAGAGGAACCAGATACAAGTAGATCCACTCCACTTTATTTGACAAAGGAAACATGCTGATCCTAATAACCAAAAGGAATGTGGCAACTCGTTCATGTATTTCAGTATCTTTCACATAGGACAGTGTAACTGTGACCTGCATTTTCACTTGGGAAAGAGTCCTGGGAAAGACCTAAGAGAACTTAAGCTGTTCAGCAGTGGCTGCATACCTTTGGAGGCACCATCAGAGAGATGGATGGAAAATTGGGTAAAGGGAGGTCTACCCCCAAATCCAAGATTCTGTGATTCTGATACCTTTTACTTTAAAGCAATCATTTTCAGGTTCTGTGTTTTGTTCTCGTACTCTAGATCTCGTGCTTTCTTTGCTGGTGTCAACATGAGCAGCCACCAGCTGCTCTGGGATACCCACTCTACTCCTCCCAGAGCAGCTCCCCTCTGCTTTGATCTGTTTACACGTTGCCATTTCACATCAGCTTTCATTGGAAGAAAGGGTTCCATTGCTTTAAATATATGCATACATAAGCGCATACATATATGAATAAATAAGTTGAAAATTAGAAAACCCTTTTTAAAGGATGGAGTAATGAGGTTGATCTTAAGGTTCTTTGAACTTCTCAAAAGGCAGTGTAGTAGTCTAAGCTAATATATCTATCTAAAAGATGAATATTGTGCATTAGAAAAATAGTATTCTTTTAGTGACATTCATGAAGTCATTTTTTAAATAAATAATGGACCCATTTGATTATTTAAGCTCTATGTGCATTTTAAAGTATATTCATCGTGTAGAAATACTCTTTTTTGCCTTTTACTTATTTCTACATATAGGTTATTGAGTTTTTCTGCATGGTTCTGTATCTCTTTTGTTCTCTGCCCTCTGCAGAATTTTATCTGATAGTAGATAGAATGTGGATTCTTAAGGAGAAAATCTGTTTTATTAATTATAAGGCGTATGTCTCAGACTACCAAACCAAGTATACTGAGTGTTTTGAATTAAATATTTAGTGCTTCATTGACTATTTCCTCTGACTTCCATTAAGACCTTGAGAAATAACTCTTCTCTAATAAGCCTTTTGTTTGTTTGGGGCCAATATACAGATTGATGTGGAATGAACCATTGCTGTAGTATTTAGGGTGTGGTAAGCTTTTCTCAGGAACTTATCTCATTTCAGTATAGCTCATTTTTGGTAGGATATTAACAAGTCTCTGTCATGGCAGGAAACACTTGGTTTTGTTCCCAGATGTCTGATAGTAGTTCTTTTTTGAGGTAGTAAGATTTTTTTGGATGCTAGCATGGGAAAGACATGTGAAAAGTGTAGAGAGATTATAAGGGGCTTGATATCAAAGGTTTTTAAAGACAAATGGTCTGTGCTTGAACAGGACATTAGAATTGAGCTTAAAATCTATAACCTAATTTTCTTCTTCCCTTGAATACAGTTGGTATATTCGACCAGCATAGGCTACTGCTTCACCTTAGTGACTGTTGTTTTTAATTTGTTAGGACACTAAAAAATGTATTACATGTAGAAAATTTCCCTTTTAGTAAATAGTTCTTTGAGTTGACAAACACATATAGTCATGTATTTACCACCATAGTGAAGATAATATGTTCATCTCCCTAAAGATTCCGCTGTGCTGCTCTGTAGTCAAACCATTCTTACTACCCAAGCCCCCTTCTGTTATTTAGTTTTCCTTTGCCACTTTGTCATAAATCTTATCATATGGTATTTAGTCTTTTGAGACTGGAGATTTATCCATGTTCTTGTGTGTATCATTCGTTTTTATTACTGAGCAAGTATTTTATTCTATGGATACCACAGTTTATCCATTCACTGATTGAAGGACATTTGGATGTTTTCATTTTGGGGCAATTATGTATGAAGCTGCCATAAATATTTGTGTAGAGAATTTTGTGGGAACCTAACATTTTCATTTCTCTTGGGTAAATACCTAGGAGTAGAGTTTCTTGGGCATATGTAATTGTATGTTTAACTTTATAAGAAGGTGTCAAAGTATTTTCCAAAGTGGCCATACCATTTTGCATTCTTGCCAACAATATATGACAGTTCTAGTTGCTCCACATCTTCACCAGAAATTAGTGTTTGCTTTTTGTAAAAGCCATTTTAATAGTTCTGTGGTGCTCACTCATGGTTTTAATTTGCATTTCCCTAATGACAAATAATGTTGAGCATCTTTTCATGTGTTCTTTTGCCATCCATGTATCTTCTTTGGTGAAATGTCTATTTAGATCTTTATCCTTTTTAATATTGGGTTGTTTGGGTTTTTGAGTTTTGAGTGTTTGAGTTTTCTTTATATATTATTTTGGATACAAGTACTTTGCAAGTATGTTGTTTTGCAAACATTTATTTCTTCCAGGCTGTGGCTTGTTTTTTCTCAACATTTCAAATAATCTATAATTCCCATTTATCATTTTTCCCCTGATACTTGTTTATAGACCACAGTACTTTATTTTGTCCCTGTTCTTATACCTCTTATTGTTATAGATTTATTATTTTGTCTAATAGATTTATTATTTGTCAAGTAATTTGGAATTATTAGATTATTAGGTTAATAAATCTAAAATTAGTTTTATTATTTGTCAAATAATAAATAATATAGAATCATTTTATGTCTTGTTTTCGTGTTTAACTTTTAGTAAGTATGTGTATACTTTACATCTTCAACTAGATTATAAACTGATGAGTAACCATTGGTTAATTTTCTTAAAAATTATGTACAAAATAGAGATAAAGGGAACAGTTGAATAACTAATAACTGTTTATTCAGATGTGAGATAAATAAGAACCTGTGTCCTTTTCATCAGAATTTAGGTCTTCTTTGGACCCAGTTTTCACCTTCTAGGAATGGCCACCAAAAATGCACTTTAGCTTGTCTTCCTATCCACAGTAAACTTCCTCCCAACCCCCATCATGATCTCTTTCATTGCACCTCACCCATTTCCTATATCCAACAGTTACAACTTTTACCTGAAAAAGGATAGGTAGCCTTCATAAGGGACCCTAGTTCTAGAGGTTGGTAGAAGTATTGCGGATTTTGATTTAAAATAATCTGAAATAATTCATAGAATGAATAAAGTGATAACTATAAAGTCTTCAGAACTATTTCAGTTTGGCCAACTGTGAGATTAATCATGTTATTCTAGTTCTCTATTCTGCTGGAAGAAAATAGAAAGCTTTCCTTTTGGCTGGGGACCAGGGATGATTATAATGATTGAATTTTTCTCACTTCCGTCTGCAAAATGTCCAAATTGTGGGGTTTTCTTAAGATTTTAAGAAATGAGCAGTTAAGACCTTGGGAATTATTGTGTAAGTTCCTGTTGCCAGTGATTTATAGGCCTTTGCTTACTCCTAAGGAAGGAAGTAATTTTATGTTTATGGTTATGACTCTGAATCCCAGCCCAGCCTAAATTGTGCTTGTCAGTCTAATATAAAGGTAATGATGATGCATAGAACTCCCATACATAAGATGACTTGTGGATCATTGAATATGGAACATTAGTTTTTGTCCATTTACTCCAGTTAATAAATATGGTGGTTTCTTATGCCAAGCACTATAGTGGGTATAGAGAAACTAAAATAAAAACTCAACATCTGCCCTCAAAGATTCTATGATTATTGAGAGGGGAGATAGACAATAAAGCCATTTACAAATTCATTTTGTGAAGTTGCATGTTGGTAGGAAGCATAAGGCACAGTGGGAACCTAGAAGGGAGAGCACCAAAATGTGCATGTAGCAATCGGGGAGGGCCTCATAGAAGAGTCACACTTAGTGAAGAGTAGGAGTTTTCCAGAGGATACGGAGATTGAAGAAGTATCTCCAGATAGTCAGCAGCAGGTGCAAAGACCAGAGGCAAAAGACTGCATAGCTTGTCTTTTTTGCTTGGAGAAGATGCTGAGGTATATGCCTCAGTCACTATGGCAGTCAGGCTGATACTTCAATTAGAGTGGTTAGAACATTGGACTGGTGAGACCAAGATCAGTCTTTTCATCTCCACCCATCCACCTCAGCAAGCTTCAATTTCTGATGACTACATTCCTGTGACAGACAGCTCCCACAATCCTCACCTGCCAGCTCACAGATGTGGGTTTAGTGTGTATCACCACACCCTTCTGAGTACAAGGGTGAGAGACTGTGGATGTTTCCGTGTATATCCATGACCACAACTGAAAAATGACTCTGAGATGGTCTTCTGATAATGACTTAATGGCATAATTTCTGTGTATATATATGAAAACTTGTTCTTATTTTAATGACTCCAATAGACTTTAAACTCTTACCGTTATGTAGCATTTTATCTTGTGTGTATTTTTACTGCTCTGCTATAGAAAGGATATGACATAAATATTTAATCACTCTCAGCAGAATTGGCCTTATTTCATGGCTCCAGATTATCTAACTTCACTGATCTAATATTTGTGGCATGGATGTTGAAGAATCATAACTTAGAGCTCAGTTTTTTAGGAAGAATTTTATAATGGCTATAAATCGTTTTGCCAAGAGGCAGTTTGTACAAAATAATGACTTTAAAAATGAGCAAGCTTTTTGATGATCATAAAATGTGCTGAATGTGCTATTTTATACCTGTTTATTTGTGAACTCAATTTTTCCATTACATTCTTAGTGTTTATGCCTCAGATTATTCAGTGCAGACAGATGGGTGTGGACTGAAGAACAGTTTTGATTTTAGCATATAGTCATCATTCATGTCCCCCAAAGTCTAGATTTTTTTAAAACAAGTATCTTAATTTCTCTGGATGACATTAAAAGGTAAATTGTAATATTTTCAGGCTGAATTATATGTCTTTGATGGCTATTTTTGTAATGAGCATGTGCTTTAGGTCTTTTTTTCCTTTAGTCAACTGCATTCCCACTGGAACCAATTTGGCATCTGTGGGAGTCATAGTTTTAATGTGTGCTCTGTCCATCCACCATTTCCTTTGGTACAAAGAGGAACATAATGACATTGAAATGCTTCTTTCAAAATGTAAGTTGTAAACAAATCTAATCAATAAATTATTTTCAAGTAAATTTTGTTCTTATGAAATCTCCATTAGAGTTCCCTTCACCCTAACTCTATATTCATCACAAGAAAGTGCCAGAAGGAAATTTCAAATGAATGTCTGCATTTGTGGAGTTTTAGACCTTGCTTATTAGACCACAAGTAGAGTAGACAGCAACATGCTATTAACACATTGAAATACAACTTCAAGCCATATAGCAAACTGTGCATTGCTGGGAACCAAGCCAGCTTCACATTGCTGCATGGCCATATTGGGCATTTGCAGAGCAAATGTCTGTAGTGGAGAGCCATGACAACATTCTTTTTAAATAGTTGCTTTGTCCGAAGTCAGAAGACGTTTTTCATCCACATACCATGTAGGAAGGAATGCTGGTAATAAATTGATCTGTTTATCTACACCTGTAAATATAGATGGTACATCTGTAAAACAAGGGACAGTGGTATACTTAATGAGTTCCCTGTACATTTTCATCTGTTCAGTCTCGGAATTTTAGATACCTGGTGCATATGACTTACTGTTTACAAAACCTTTAAAAACTATTTTCAGGTGCCTTGTCCCCTTTGCTTTGGTGGTATATGATAATCTGTGCATTTACTTTGTTTTCTATGTGGAAGAGAATGAGATTCTGTAAACTGTGATCAAGTCTTCAAAGACAAGTTAAAGTTCTCAAAAATATTGTTGGAAATAAAATTTGTCCCTAAGAGATAATATGATTTTTCCTGTAGCTATTGCCAAATTTATATCTGAACCTAATAATATTTACAATATTTTAAAATCAGAAAGCAAGTAATTTGACAAAGATATTATAAAATTGCTATTTAAGATATTTGGCTGTTATTTATGTTTCTACAAATGTTCAGGTTTTAGATCTTTATTGATGCACTTATATACCAGAATGAGTGGCTAATTTAGGATGAAAGCACTTATTGGAAGGTTTTGAAATCAGCAGAGAATATGATTAAATCTCAAGTACCAGTGATGGTATACATTTTAATTGATTAAAAATTGTATTTTACTACAGATGTAGGAATTTCTTATTCTGAATTTCTTCGGCAATTAATAAAACAACTCACAGAAAAGATGCTAATATTGTTATGTTATATTGTAAAGAGGTTCATTATTATTATTATAGTCTCTATTATTTTATAAATCTGGCAGTGGGATGTTAGGTCATTTCATCCCCTTTGAGCTAGTACTAGATTGTTCCCTTCAATATATTTTCCAGTGTTTCAGCCAGTCTGTTAATCCTTCATACTAGAGATTCCCAGGATGTTCGTTGCTGGCAGTAGATTCAGCTCCAGGAAAAATGGCTTCTGCTGCCAAGGAATGAAATGATTCAAGGGTTGTGCTTGCACCACTGTTGTATAGTTTCCTGACATTCATTCCAGATTTTCCTTTGCTTATTTTCTTGGATATGTAAGTTTTATACTGTGTAAAATTGTGTGTGTGCACGCATGCTATTTTATAAATTTTTAGTTTGCAAAAATTTCCCCTGGAAACTTAATGCATATTTAATGCATGTGAATGAGCTAATCAATGGGATTAACGATATCTCAGGAAGTCTTACATTCAGATTATGTTTTAATCAATGGTATTTTTAATGTTACTAATGAAAAGAATTGTTGGTCACCAGTGACCTCCATATTGCCAAATCCAGTGGACATTTTCTGTCTCGTTTGTCCTTTCAGTTGTATTTGACACTGGTAACCACTCCTTCATCAAGATAACCTCTTCTTGGTTTCCTCATCTTCTTTATGGTTTTTTTGGCCACTCTTCAAAATTCTGTAAAAGTTTATCTAGATTTGAAGTGATCTTGTGATACTTTAAATGTTGGCATTTCTCAAAGTCACCCTGTCTTAGTTCGGGTTGCTATAACAAAATAGCATATACTGGGTAGCTTATAAACAACAGACATTTACTTCCCACAGATCTGGAATCTGGGAAGTCCTAGATCAAGGCGCCGACTGATTTGGTGTCTAGTGAGGACCTGCTTACTGACCCAAAGAGGGCAGTTTTTTCTCTTGTCTTCCCATGGTGGAGAGTGGAAGCAAGCTCTCTCGGACTCTTGTAAGGACACTAATCCCATACATGAAGGCTGTACCCTCATGACCTCACCTAATCCTAATGCCTTCCCGAAGACCCCACCTCCTAATACCATCACCTTGGGGGCTAGGATTTCAACATATACATTTGTGGGGGACACAAACATTCAGACTGTAGCAACCCCTTCTCTTTTCTCTCTCTACTCTTTTCCTAGGTGATTGTAGCCACTCCCATCCTTACACCGATGACTCACAAACATACATTTAGCTAGCCCTATCCTCTGGCTTCAGACCTGCATGTCCAATCAGATGACTAATGTCATCTTTTGGGTTTATCAGAGACATCTCAAACTCAGCATGTCGAAAATGGAAATCTTGCCCTTTCCCAGAGTCTTTTGATCCTCTTCCTCTGTTGCCGCCTCATTGAATGACACCACCATTTATGCATGCCAGAAACCTGAGAGTCAATTTTGACACTCCCTGTCACCTGCCATATTCAATTCATTACCAAGTCTTGTCAGCAACCACCCCTCAAATCCATTCATTCTCCTTTATCATCGCCTTAGTGCCTACTCTCCTGCAGTAACTCTTTAACAGGTCTGATGTCAACTCTTGCTTCATCAGTCTCCAACCAGCCAATCATTTCAAAATGCAGATCTCATCCTGTGACTCCTCTGCTATATACTCTTCAGATACTTCCCATTGTTCCTAGAATGAAGGCATAATTCCTTGGTGATTTTACCTACCTCTGTTCTTCCCCAAGGTCAGCTCCTTACACATTGTCCTTTACTTTTGCATAGGAGACATGTTTCCTTCCAGTCTCAGTCCTATGTCTGCCTTTTTCCTTTGCTTGTAATTATTTTCCTGCTTATCTTTAGTCATCTTGCAGATCTTGGCTGAATCGTTACTTTTATGAGGAAACTTTCCCTTACCTATCTATTCAGGCAAAATCTCATCTATTTCAAGTTTCATCTGTAGTACTTTGTTACTCATTTACATCAATTTGATTATTTAGTTTGTCCACTCAAGAATATTAACAACACTTCCCTTAATATTAGCTGATTCAAAACCCATATTCACATTATGCCTGATTATCTTTGAAAAAAATATGTTTATTTTGATTAGTTCAAATCAGGATTCATACAGGATCCCACACCACATTTGATTAGTCATGTGTCTTAGTTTTTTTCAGTCGAGCAGAGGCAGGTTTTTGTAAATGAAGTTTTGTTAGAACACAGCCATGCCCATTTGTGTGCATCCTATGGCTGCTTTCTCACATCAGTTGCAGAGTTAAGTGATTTTAAGTGAGACAACACAGACTGCAACTATTTGCTACCCGACCTAAGTTTAAGAAAAAAGTTGTGCAGTACCCCTTGCTTGCTTTTCTTTTTTAACTATTCAACTCACATCTTTGACTAGTTGGTCAACAGGTAAGCAGTCTTACAGAATATCTCACATTTCAGATTTGTTTGTTTGCATCTTCCTGTGTCCTTCAATTTGTTCCCTCTCATCAATTTCTATTGTAAACTGAAAATTAACTCTAGATGATAGATCATTTAGATGGAATTTTTTGGCAAAAATACTTAATACGTGTTCCTGTTTATTTCATATTCTATCATATCAGGAGATACATAATGTCTAGTTATCCTGGAGATACTAAGATTGATTGGTAGGTTCAGATGGTGATAGCTAATCCTTTCATTCTAAATGTCACCATCATTCTTTCATGTGACTTTCATTTGACTAAACGGTTTTATTATATATTGCCAAACGGCAAATTTCTAGTTACCATATTATGTGCATATTTGTGACATAGAGTTTTTCTGTAAAGAAGAATTTTCCTTTATCCACTGTGTAATCATAGTTGGAAAGAGGGGAGTAATGCTTAACTTCTTCCTTTTAATATTTAATTTTCAAAACTAGAGTTTCATGCCTTTGGTACCTCTAGTAGTAATTGATACATTTTCATTTTTTGTTTATTTATTTTATTATGAACCTCTGTTCATATTGTCCATATAGATTGTATGTTTTTGATCAGTCGCAGAGCAGTTATTCTTTTTGGTTTCTGATTGTTTCATTTTTGGCCATTGGGAGATCCCTTATGTTGCCTCTTATGTCTTTTTGACAGGACTGCATTTATCTTTGACAGTTTCCTTGCTTCCTTCCTTGCTTTTAGGCCAACAAGATGTCTCAAACTCATTTGTATTAAATACATTTCTTGTCTCGGACCTAGAAGCCACAACGTTGTTGGTAGGTGATAGGATGCTCATTATTGAGGAGTCTGTAATTTTTTTTAGGTCTCTTCAATGGACAAAGCTGAAAAGATATAAATTCTTGTAAAGAAAAAAGATTATACTCTTAGTTCTAATTCAAATTTTAGATTATTTAACAGAAATTCTGATTTGCTTTTTTGAATAACATAAATATAATGTTTTTCTCTTTATTCTGTTCCGTGTATGTGTATATAGTTGTTTCACAATATTATAACTAATTTTAAGTAAGTGAATGAAGTTTAGGATTTTTTTGTGTGTGTTTCTATTTGTCCTTAGAATATAACCCACTGAGTATATAATGTCATTTCTACATTTTAAAGTTATTCAAAATAATACTTTGTCTAGTTTCTTTTTTCTTTCTTTTTTTTTTATAAAATAACAGTACTTTTATCCAAATGACCAAATAAAGGTTGCTGCCTGATTCTCAATTTTTTTTTAAATTTTATTATTATTACAGTTTAAGTTTTAGGGTACATGTGCACAATGTGCAGCTTAGTTACATATGTATACATGTGCCATGCTGGTGTGCTCCACCCATTAACTCGTCATTTAGCATTAGGTATATCTCCTAATGCTATCCCTCCCTCCTTCCCCCACCCCACAACAGTCCCCAGAGTGTGATGTTCCCCTTCCTGTGTCCATGTGTTCTCATTGTTCAATTCCCACCTATGAGTGAGAACATGCGGTGTTTGGTTTTTTGTCCTTGTGATAGTTTACTGAGAATGATGATTTCCAGTTTCATCCGTGTCCCTACAAAGGACATGAACTCATCATCTTTTATGGCTGCATAGTATTCCATGGTGTATATGTGCCACATTTTCTTAATCCAGTCTATCATTGTTGGACATTTGGCTTGGTTCCAAGTCTTTGCTATTGTGAATAGTGCTGCAATAAACATACGTGTGCATGTGTCTTTATAGCAGCATGATTTATAATCCTTTGGGTATATACCCAGTAATGTGATGACTGGGTCAAATGGTATTTCTAGTTCTAGATCCCTGAGGAATCGCCACACCGACTTCCACAATGGTTGAACTAGTTTACACTCCCACCAACAGTGTAAAAGTGTTCCTATTTCTCCACATCCTCTCCAGCACCTGTTGTTTCCTGACTTTTGAATGATTGCCATTCTAACTGGTGTGAGATGGTATCTCATTGTGGTTTTGATTTGCATTTCTCTGATGGCCAGTGATGGTGAGCATTTTTTCATGTGTTTTTTGGCTGCATAAATGTCTTCTTTTGAGAAGTGTCTGTTCATGTTCTTCACCCACTTTTTGATGGGGTTGTTTGTTTTTTTCTTGTAAATTTGTTTGAGTTCTTTGTAGATTCCGGATATTAGCCCTTTGTCAGATGAGTAGGTTGCGAAAATTTTCTCCCATTCTCTAGGTTGCCTGTTCACTCTGATGGTAGTTTCTTTTGCTGTGCAGAAGCTCTTTAGTTGAATTAGATCCCATTTGTCAACTTTGGCTTTTGTTGCCATTGCTTTTGGTGTTTTAGACATGAAGTCCTTGCCCATGCCTATGTCCTGAATGGTATTGCCTAGGTTTTCTTCTAGGGTTTTTATGGTTTTAGGTCAAACGTTTAAGTCTTTAATCCATCTTGAATTAATTTTTGTATAAGATGTAAGGAAGAGATCCAGTTTCAGCTTTCTCCATATGGCTAGCCAGTTTTCCCAGCACCATTTATTAAATAGGGAATCCTTTCCCCATTGATTGTTTTTCTCAGGTTTGTCAACGATCAGATAGTTGTAGATATGCGGCATTATTTCTGAGGGCTCTGTTCTGTTCCATTGATCTATATCTCTGTTTTGGTACCAGTACCATGCTGTTTTGGTTACTGTAGCCTTGTAGTATAGTTTGAAGTCAGGTAGCGTGATGCCTCCAGCTTTGTTCTTTTGGCTTAGGATTGACTTGGCAATGTGGGCTCTTTTTTGGTTCCATATGAACTTTAAAGTAGTTTTTTCCAATTCTGTGAAGAAAGTCATTGGTAGCTTGATGGGGATGGCATTGAATCTGTAAATTACCTTGGGCAGTATGGCCATTTTCACGATATTGATTCTTCCTACCCATGAGCATGGAATGTTCTTCCATTTGTTTGTATCCTCTTTTATTTCATTGAGCAGTGGTTTGTAGTTCTCCTTGAAGAGGTCCTTCATGTCCCTTGTAAGTTGGATTCCTAGATATTTTATTCTCTTTGAAGCAATTGTGAATGGGAGTTCACTCATGATTTGGCTCTCTGTTTGTCTGTTATTGGTGTATAAGAAAGCTTGTGATTTTTGTACATTGATTTTGTATCCTGGGACTTTGCTGAAGTTGCTTATCAGCTTAAGGAGATTTTGGGCTGAGACAATGGGGTTTTCTAGATATACAATCATGTCATCTGCAAACAGGGACAATTTGACTTCCTCTTTTTCTAATTGAATACCCTTTATTTCCTTCTGCCTAATTGCCCTGGCCAGAACTTCCAACACTATGTTGAATAGGAGTGGTGAGAGAGGGCATCCCTGTCTTGTGGCAGTTTTCAAAGGAAATGCTTCCAGTTTTTGCCCATTCAGTATGATATTGGCTGTGGGTTTGTCATAGATAGCTCTTATTATTTTGAGATACGTCCCATCAATACCTAATTTATTGAGAGTTTTTAGCATGAAGTGTTGTTAAATTTTGTCAAAGGCCTTTTCTGCATCTATTGAGATAATCATGTGGTTTTTGTCTTTGGCTCTGTTTATATGCTGGATTACATTTATTGATTTGCATATATTGAACCAGCCTTGCATCCTAGGGATGAAGCCCACTTGATCATGGTGGATAAGCTTTTTGATGTGCTGCTGGATTCAGTTTGCCAGTATTTTATTGAGGATTTTTGCATCAATGTTCATCAAGGATATTGGTCTAAAATTCTCTTTTTTGGTTGTGTCTCTGCCAGGCTTTGGTATCAGGATGATGCTGGCCTCATAAAATGAGTTAGGGAGGGTTCCCTCTTTTTCTATTGATTGGAATAGTTTCTGAAGGAATGGTACCAGTTCCTCCTTGTACCTCTGGTAGAATTTGGCTGTGAATCCATCTGGTCCTGGACTCTTTTTGGTTGGTAAGCTATTGATTATTGCCACAATTTCAGATCCTGTTATTGGTCTATTCAGAGATTCAGCTTCTTCCTGGTTTAGTCTTGGGAGGGTGTATGTGTCGAGGAATTTATCCATTTCTTCTAGATTTTCTAGTTTATTTGCGTAGAGGTGTTTGTAGTATTCTCTGATGGTAGTTTGTATTTCTGTGGGATCGGTGGTGATGTTCCCTTTATCATTTTTTATTGCATCTATTTGATTCTTCTCTGTTTTCGTCTTTATTAGTCTTGCTAGCGGTCTATCAATTTTGTTGATCCTTTCAAAAAACCAGCTCCTGAATTCATTAATTTTTTGAAGGGTTTTTTGTGTCTCTATTTCCTTCAGTTCTGCTCTGATTTTAGTTATTTCTTGCCTTCTGCTAGCTTTTGAATGTGTTTGCTCTTGCTTCTCTAGTTCTTTTAATTGTGATGTTAGGGTGTCAATTTTGGATCTGTCCTGCTTTCTCTTGTGGGCATTTAGTGCTATAAATTTCCCTCTACACACTGCTTTGAATGTGTCCCAGAGATTCTGGTATGTTGTGTCTTTGTTCTCATTGGTTTCAAAGAACATCTTTTTTTCTGCCTTCATTTCATTATATACCCAGTAGTCATTCAGGAGCAGGTTGTTCAGTTTCCATGTAGTTGAGTGGTTTTGAGTGAGTTTCTTAATCCTGAGTTCTAGTTTCATTGCACTGTGGTCTGAGAGACAGTTTGTTATAATTTCTGTTCTTTTACATTTGCTGAGGAGAGCTCTACTTCCAACTATGTGGTCAATTTTGGAATAGGTGTGGTGTGGTGCTGAAAAAAATGTATATTCTGTTGATTTGGGGTGCAGAGTTCTGTAGATGTCTATTAGGTCCGCTTGGTGCAGAGCTGAGTTCAATTCCTGGATATCCTTGTTAACTTTCTGTTTCGTTGATCTGTCTAATGTTGACAGTGGGGTGTTAAAGTCTCCCATTATTATTGTGTGGGAGTCTAAGTCTCTTTGTAGGTCCCTCAGGACTTGCTTTATGAATCTGGGTGCTCCTGTATTGGGTGCATATATATTTAGGATAGTTAGCTCTTCTTGTTGAATTGATCCCTTTACCATTATGTAATGGCCTTCTTTCTCTCTTTTGACCTTTGTTGGTTTAAAGTCTGTTTTATCAGACACTAGGATTGCAACCCCTGCCTTTTTTTGTTTTCCATTTGCTTGGTAGATCTTCCTCCATCCTTTTATTTTGAGCCTATTTGTGTCTCTGCACGTGAGATGGGTTTCCTGAATACAGCACACTGATGGGTCTTGACCGTTTATCCAATTTGCCAGTCTGTGTCTTTTAATTGGAGCATTTAGTCCATTTACATTTAAAGTTAATATTGTTATGTGTGAATTTGATCCTGTGGTTATGATGTTAGCTGGTTATCTTGCTCGTTAGTTGATGCAGGTTCTTCCCAGCCTCGACGGTCTTTACAATTTGGCATGTTTTTGCAGTGGGTGGTACGGTTTGTTCCTTTCCATGTTTAGTGCTTCCTTCAGGAGCTCTTTTAGGGCAGGCCTGGTGGTGAGAAAATCTCTCAGCATTTGCTTGTCTGTAAAGGATTTTATTTCTCCTTCACTTATGAAGCTTAGTTTGGCTGGATATGAAATTCTGGGTTGAAAATTCTTTTCTTTAAGAATGTTGACTATTGTCCCCCACTCTCTTCTGGCTTGTGGAGTTTCTGCCGAGAGATCCGCTGTTAGTCTGATGGGCTTCCCTTTGTGGGTAACCCGGCCTTTCTCTCTGGCTGCCCTTAACATTTTTTCCTTCATTTCAACTTTGGTGAATCTGACAATTATGTGTCTTGGAGTTGCTCTTCTCGAGGAGTATCTTTGTGGCGTTCTCTGTATTTCCTGAATCTGAACGTTGGCCTGCCTTGCTAGATTGGGGAAGTTCTCCTGGATAATATCCTGCAGAGTGTTTTCCAACTTGGTTCCATCCTCCCCGTCACTTTCAGGTACACCAATCAGACGTAGATTTGGTCTTTTCACATAGTCCCATATTTCTTGAAGGCTTTGTTCGTTTCTTTTTATTCTTTTTTCTCTAAACTTCCCTTCTCACTTCATTTCATTCATTTCATCTTGCATCACTGATACCCTTTCTTCCAGTTGATCGCATTGGCTCCTGAGGCTTCTGCATTCTTCATGTAGTTCTCGATCCTTGGCTTTCAGCTCCATCAGCTCCTTTAAGCACTTCTCTCTATTGATTATTCTAGTTATACATTCGTCTAAATTTTTTTCGAAGTATTTAACTTCTTTGCCTTCGGTTTGAATTTCCTCCTGTAGCTCGGAGTACTTTGATTGTCTGAAGTCTTCTTCTCTCCACTCGTCAAAGTCATTCTCCGTCCAGCTTTGTTCCATTGCTGGTGAGGAACTGCGTTCCTTTGGAGGAGGAGAGGCACTCTGCTTTTTAGAGTTTCCAGTTTTTTTGCTCTGTTTTTTCCCCATCTTTGTGGTTTTATCTACTTTTGGTCTTTGATGATGGTGATGTACAGATGGGTTTTTGGTGTGGATGTCCTTTCTGTTTGTTAGTTTTCCTTCTAACAGACAGGACCCTCAGCTGCAGGTCTGTTGGAGTTTGCTAGAGGTCCACTCCAGACCCTGTTTGCCTGGGTATCAGCAGCGGTAGCTTCAGAACTGCGGATTTTCATGAACCACGAATGCTGCTGTCTGATCGTTCCTCTGGAAGTTTTGTCTGAAAGGAGTACCCGGCCGTGTGAGATGTCAGTCTGCCCCTACTGGGGGGTGCCTCCCAGTTAGGCTGCTCGGGGGTCAGGGGTCAGGGACCCACTTAAGGAAGCAGTCTGCCCATTCTCAGATCTCCAGCTGTGTGCTTGGAGAACCACTACTCTCTTCAAAGCTGTCAAACAGGGACATTTAAGTCTGCAGAGGTTACTGCTGTCTTTTTGTTTGTCTGTGCCTTGCCCCCAGAGGTGGAGCCTACAAAGGCAGGCAGGCCTCCTTGAGTTGTGGTGGGCTCTACCCAGTTCGAGCTTCCCGGCTGCTTTATTTACCTAAGAAAGCCTGGGCAATGGCGGGCGCCCCTCCCCCAGCCTCGCTGCCACCTTGCAGTTTGATCTCAGACTGCTGTGCTAGCAGTCAGTGAGACTCCGTGGGTGTAGGACCCTCCGAGCCAGGTGCGGGATATAATCTCGTGGTGCACCGTTTTTTAAGCCCATCGGAAAAGCGCAGTATTAGGGTGAGATTGACCCGATTTTCCAGGTGCCATCTGTCACCCCTTTCTTTGACTAGGAAAGGGAACTCCCTGACCCCTTGCGCTTCCCGAGTGAGGCAATGCCTCGCCCTGCTTCGGCTCCCGCACGGTGCGCTGCACCCACTGTCCTGCACCCACTGTCTGGCACTCCCTAGTGAGATGAACCCAGTACCTCAGATGGAAATGCAGAAATCACCCGTCTTCTGCATTGCTTACTCTGGGAGCTGTAGACCGGAGCTGTTCCTATTCGGCCATCTTGGCTGCCAGCTTCTTTGTGTAGTTTCATTACCACTTGAGATGCAATTAAATTTGTTTTAGTTTTCAGTTTGAGGGAATTTGTTTTTCTTTTTAGTTCAACTTTAGTTTTTGAGTATGTATAATTTTAAGCAGCATTAATAGAGTATAATCTTTTCAACACTGCCCAAAACATGACACATCTAGAATAATCTGTTTACTTCTTTTTGCCATATTTTAGGAATGGCCAGCCCAGTATCAAGGGTGGGATGATACGAGTGGTTTATCCTGGATCTGGATGGCAATAAGGGGATATATTGTCTATGTCTGTAAAGAATTTCAAAACTATAATAAAACTAACAAGATTTTGTCTGGGTTTTTATTCTCACCATGCACCAGCAATTCTCAATACTACCAGTGAGAAAGTACTTCTCCCTCCACTGAGTGTGTTGCTAAGAAGCTTATTAAGCAGTTTGAGTATCCAAAGGAGAGTAATAAGACTGACGAGGAATCTGAAAACCATAGCCCATGAGAGATGAACAGATTTTAATATCAATCAGAGAAGAAAAGATGAAGAAATTCACAATTTCCTCATCTATTTAAAGACTGTAGTGTAAGGAAATAAGTTAGACTTTGTGTACTGAATTCCATGTTTCATTACTGGGTAGAAGTTACAGAACAAATGGATTTAGCTTATTATAAGGAGAAGTTTTCTAATTGTTAGAATTTACATATCTGTGGAATGAGGCTATTTGTCAAACTAGAGAGTTCTTTTTCCCTTAAAGATGTATAGTAAGAGCAGTGCGAACATCTCACAAGGGATGTTAGATATTCTTCTGTGGATAGATCTTGCACATGATGACCTCCTGGGCTCTCCCAGCCCTGTGATTCTGAGATCACAGTGCCCATTTCAGGAATCCTCACTGTCTAGACCCATCCACTAAAATGAATCATCATCTTATTCACATCTAAGCCCCATTACAAGTTTATTAGTATCATCCCTTTCAGTGGAAATGCGAAATATTTTATTCAGTTATGCTAATGTAATTAGCTCATAATGTCAAATGCTTGAGAAGTTGAGGTTGTAGTTCTGCTGGGTATTTGTTTCTCATGTCAAATATCATACCATCAGTGAAATTGTTCATAACCACCAAAATTAACAATTAGCCCCTTCAGCCCCTCTTCCACCTTTATCATATTTATTTGCTTAACAAATTTATCTTTTTTTTTTTTTTTACTCATTGATTCTGAATCTCCCTCTATTTAAATGTATATTCTGTGACAGCAGTCCTCAACCTTTGTTGCACCAAGGACCAGTTTTGTGGAAGTCAGTTTTTCCACGGACAGGGGCAGAACAGGGGATGGTTTTGGGATGAAACCGTTCCACTTCAGATCAGATCATCAGGCATTAGATTCTCATGAGGAGCATACAACCTCAATTCCTCGCATGTGCAGTTCATAATAGGGTTCGTCTTCCTATGAGAATCTAATGCCACCACTGATCTGACAGGAGGCGGAGCTCAGGTGGTAATGCAAGCAGTGGGGAGTGGCTCTGAATACAGATGAAGCTTTGCTCATTCAACTGCCACTCACCTACTGCTATGTAGCCCAGTTCCTAACAGGCTTCAGAATGGGGGATGGGAACCCTGGTTCTATGAGAGCAGAATCCATGTATCTTTTTGTACCACTGAATCCCAAGCATTTCGTGTTGGTACATTTTTCTGTAAGGGAATCCGTGTCTTTTGTTGGCTTTTAAAATGGCCACCTAAAAAAATTTAGGAACTACTATAAGAGTAATGTTGTCAAAATCAAATACCACTGTTGAGATTTTGAATCTGTGAAGGATAATTGCATTCTTAATATTTTGTCTTCCCTTCCAAAATCATGCTAGTTAGTATTTCTTCATTTATTCAAGATTTCTTTTATGCCAAATAGTAAATTTTGGTAATTTTCTTTATATAGGCCATAAACATGTATTATTAATTTAATTTCTTGGTATTTTTTAATCTACTAATGGGTCTACTAATGAGCTTTCTCAAAGGAAGGAGAGGAGGGAAGAAGAAGGGACATTGGAAAAGGATATACAGAATATTTTTATCAGTCTAGGTAAAGGTTAACTTGCCTCTGGTAATCTCATTTTTTTAAGTTCTTTAAGCATATAGATAATTAAGAAAATAAATTGGCTAGGCACTGTGGCTCGTGCCTGTAATCCCATCACTTTGGGAGGCTGAAGTGGGTGGATTGCCTGAGGTCAGGATTTCAAGACCAGCTTGACCAATATGGGGAAACCCCATCTCTACTAAAAATACAAAAGTTAGCTGGGCATGGTGGCATGCGCCTGTAGTCCCAGCTATTCAGGAGGCTGAGACAGGAGAATTGCTTGAACCCGGTAGAATTGCTTGAACCCGGGAGGCGGAGGTTGCAGTGAGCCGAGATCATGCCATTGCACTCCAGTCTAGGCAACAGGGCAAAACTCCATCTCCAAAAAAAAAAAAAAAAAGTTAGAAAAAGTTCCTATGGAAATGTGTTATAATTTTATTATTAAAGTACTGAAAAATACATTATTAGAAAACTTCACCTTGGAATCTTTTTTAAGCATTACTCTTTTGCTTGTGGTTTTTGTCATCTTTTACAGACTTGAATGTTGTTCTAGGACAGAATATTGTTGTACTTTATTTTAGTGAAGCATAACCATATCAAATAACATTTCAGAACTATACATTGCACAATCTTGGACATTTTCTTGTAAGAAGGCACTAAGGAAATTTTATTTTTGTGAAAGTAATTCTTAAGTAACAGTGACTGTTTTTTATGGGCTAGCTCCAGACCACATTTGCCTCCTTCCCATGATCTTGTTTTTCTGATGTCCCAAGCTGTAAGTATAGAGGTCAGAATGACATTTTAGGGCTCTAGGTTTGAATCTCATAATCTTAAAATGGATATTATTCAGTTTATCAAAAAGATCAGTTCTATTTTTTTTTTCAGATTAAAAATAAATTAGGCCGGACATGGTGGCTTATTTCTGTAATCTCAACACTTTGGAAGGCCAGGGTGGATGGATCACTTGAGCCCAAGAATTTAAGACCAGACTGGGCAATATAGTGAGACCCTGCCTCTAGTAAAAATTTTAAAAATTAGCTGAGTGTGGTGGCACACACTTGTGGTTCCAGCTATTTGGGAGGCTGAGGTAAGAGGATCACTTGCCTAGGTAGTTTAGGCTGCAGTGAGCTATGATTGTGGCACTGTACTCCAGCCTGGGTGACAGAATGAGACTGTCTCAAAAAAAAAAAATTAGTTTTACCAAAAATAGTGCAAATAATTTTCATTTACCTTTAACTCACATTCCCAAATGTTAAAATTTTACCACATTTGCTTTACTATTGTGTTTGTCTCTTTTTTTTGAAATGGTTGAGAATAAGTTTACAGACATGATGTCCCATTGCTAAGTACTACATGGTGTATTTCTTAAAAATAAGGATATTTTTCAAAATCAGGAAATTAACATTGATAAAAACTATTTTAAGTAAAAAATGCCTTTTTTCTCCTCCAAGTCAGGAATCTAATACCAAAATCATGTTACATATAGTTGTCTTCTTTCATCTTTTTTAATCTGGAATGGTCCCTCAGTCTTTCTTTGTCTTTTATGGCCTTTAAAATTTGGAGAATACAGAACAGTTTTTTGTTTATTTGTAGAATGTCCCTCAATTTTGGTTTGCTTGATTTTTTGGGAATTAGATTTTGGCTATGCTGTGATCATATCAGGAGCCACATGACATCTACTTGTTCCATTACTGATGTTAATGTTAACTGTGATCCCTTGTTTAAAGTGCTGGTGATACACATTTTTCAAGAATATGTTTCTTGTATTTTAAGTTTTTGCTCTCTTTTGGTAGATGGAGTCCTAGAATCCTTTCCAAGACTCAATAGAAATATCTCTTTAAATATAAGCCTACTTTAAAAGATTTTTAACTACTCTGTTTTGGAGATTAACAGCTTCTTAAGACTTTCTCTATTTCAGAGGAATTTTGTTTTGTCTAATAATCTGTCTCCTGCTCTAGGTTGTAAGCTCCCTAAGGGTAGAGATTGTGTGTACATCATTCCCCACCCTGTCTTCAATGCCCAGCACTATTCCCACATGCAGTAGATAGTAGTTACTGCTTGACTGATTGGTTGTTTGATAGGCTGGTGGTTGAATGGATGAATGGATTGTTCGTTTGTGGAAATTTGCCCATTTCAAATCTTCTAACTTACTAGTTTTGAGTTCAACATACTTTAAAAATTACCTATCACCCTCTTGGTATTAATACTTTGATATAGTTTTGATGTAGTTCTTCAGACATGATTCTCAAGGACTAATAATAGCCAAGACATATCAGATATGTTCACTATTGTGTTGATTCACCTTGTCAGATTGATTTTACATTCTCTTCTCTCTAGCTTGCTATTTTTAAATGGCCTGAAATGTGGCGTCAGTGAAATTACTCTGACAATAATAGTAATAATTCTTATTGGTCCTCTTATTACTTTATTTTTTGTAATATCACTTTAAAATCTTGGAGCGGTTTAAAATTTTTTACTATGTTGTTCGCTTATGGGTTTGAGGCTTAGAGAGATCATACACCCACTATTATAAAGCTGCCAATGGGTGAGCAGGATTTAGATTTCTAAGTTTTGTCTTTCTTTAAAAAATTTTATTTTTGCAAGCACTTTTCCAAAGGATTTCTAAGTTTTCTGACTCCTAATTCAGTGTTCTCTCTACCATAATCTCTTCCATATTGTAGTAGTATTATTGCCTACTTGCCAGGAACATATTCCTAATACCGTGAAGAAAAAGTATTTTGTATCACTTTGTTCTACCAAGGCGTATTTTATGTGGTTCACTAATGACAGCCTCATATTTTGAGACTTTTCTCCCAGTGAGTATGCCTTTTCTCCCCTAAATAGACTTTTTAAAGAGCAGTTTTAGGTTCACAGCAAAAGTGATCAGAAAGTATAGAGTTGCCATATATCCCCTGGCCTCCAACCTCCCCCACTATCAACATCCTGTGCCAGAGTGACGTATTTGTTATAGTTGATGAAACTGCATTGACACATAATCATCCAAACTACATAGTTTACATTAGGGTTCACTCTTGGTGTTGTATATTCTTTGGTTTTTGACAAATGTATGTATCCACCATTATAGTAGTAATACAGTAGCTTCACTGTCCTAAAAATCCTCTATGCTTTGTATATTCATCCCTCTCTCCCCTCTAACTCCTGGCAACCCCTAATCTTTTTGCTGTCTCCATAGTTTTTCCTTTTCCAGAATGTCATATAAATGGAATCACACAATATGTAGCCTTTGCAGATTGGTGGCTTTCACTTAGTAATTTAGGTTCCTCCATGTCTTTTCATGACTTCATAGCTCATTTTTTTAGCCCTAAATAATAATCCATCGTCTAGATGTACCACCGTTTATTTATTTATTCATCTACTAAAGAATACCTTGGTTGCTTTCAAGTTTGGGCAGTTATGAATAAAGCTGCCATAAACACCTGTGTGCAGATTTTTGTGTGGATATAAGTTTTCAACTCTTTTGGATAAATTCTAAAGAGCACAATTTCTGGATTGTATGGTAAGAGTATATTTAGTTTTATAAGAAACTGCCGAACTGCATTCCAAAGTAGCTTTACCATTGTGCATTTCCACCAGCAGTGAATGAGAGTTCCTGTTGCTCCACATCCTCGCCTGCATTTGGTGTAATCCATGCTCTGGATTTGGGCCATTCAAATAGTCTGTGGTGGTGTCTCATTGTTTGAATTTGCATTTTCCTAGTGATGTATGATGTTAAACATCTCTTCATATGCTTATTTGCCATCTGTATATCTTCTCTGATGAAGTGTCTGTTTAGATCTTTTGCCCATTTTTTATTCTGATTGTTCATTTTCTTTTTTAACTTTTTATTCTGACAGTTTTTTTTTTTCTTGGGCACCATCTAGTGAAGATACACAGAAAGCTTTGAGGACATAAAAAATGATTTATTTTTTCAAAGGAAAACTCCTCTCTTTCTGTTTCTCTCCTTTTACCTTTGTCTTTCAGTTATACCTGCCGCCACTTGCGGAGATATGTTTATGTGTTGGACAAACTGTATTTCCCCCACTCTCACTGTTCTACGCTTCAGCATTGCTTCTCGACCCTCAGTGACAATGGAGAGGAACTCTTGTCTTTAACTTGCTCTCACATTCTCAGATCCTATGCTTCCAGGTTATTAACCTCTGCTGTCCATTTACTGCATGCTGCATGTTGTATATGACTGACAATTGCATGTTTTAATAAGACATGTGTCAATTAAATTATTAAAGAGAACATTTATATTTGAAATGGTACTAAATAATTTTTTTAAAATAATAGCTGGATTTTGTTTCCTTACAAATGTCTTCTTAAGTAATTTATATTATGTTTCACGGGAGAGAGGAAAGCTTTCAACCACAGAGTTGTCTATATAAACTTGCCAGAACTATTCTATACCGCATTCCATTTGGGAATCTTTTGATTTATAGTAGTTGGAGTGCTCTGATGTTTTATATGAAATAGACTCTACAGTTACTATGACCTTTGAGTTCTCCTTCATGCAAGCACACCTGAGAGCTAGCTGTAGGATTTCACCTATGTTCCGATAGAGGTGCATTCAGTTGAGCAGGTTGATTTTATAGGAAGGCAGAAATTATACTATTGGGGTTTTGTATTTTGTACTCATTTTATTTACATACAGAGTGGCTATAAAATCATATAAAATCAGCAGGTTGCAATGTGTCATGGATGAATGTAGATTAAACATAATGGGGGTCAGTGGAGTAAGAAAGAGACAAGCTGTCAATCTCGAATATCAGAGAAAATCAACACCTGCTGTTTTGTGTTTATCGTGCACCAAAATAGAGGGGCAGTATGACATTACCACTTTGTGCTTTGCAGTTAACATTTTTAACACGTTTTTTTTTTTCTAAGTAAGAGATGACTTATACCAGCACTATACTGTTAGCTAGATATGGTGATTTAAGGCAATAACTTCACTGCCAGATGATTTAGATGAAGAAGGAGAAAACTCCATGACAACCTTAACCAGAAATTAGCAAACATTTAGAATTTAAAATAGACCTTTTCAGATGATGAAACATATAAAACTTGAGACTATACATAATATCTAAGTGAAAATACTTGATTGCTAGGAAAGGAAAGCAGTCTGGTGTGTAAGTTGACAGAGACTTTTCTTGGAAGCAGAAAGATTTTATAGACTCGTGATGATGTTGATCAGCCTCACATCGAGTCATTGTAGATACTTTTGAGAAATAAAAAACTGAGGGTTAGAAAAGTAGGTGAAAATAATAGAATTAACTGTTACGTATGTAATGTTAGAAGAATTTATCAAATTTAGCAGACTAAACCCAGTGACTTTCCACTGGCTTATGGAAAGTGAGGGAATATCAGGTAAGTTGCATGATACTCTCAGGAATTGGAGACAGAGTGTGTCTGGTTTCAAGGAATGAGGAGAACTGCTGCTGATCATTGAACTTCTGAAATGTGCAGGATAATTGACGTCTTTTTCTTTTTAATTTTTTTTTTTTTTTTTTTTTTGAGATGGAGTCTTGCTCTGTCACCCAGGCTAGGCTGCAGTGACTCAATCTCTGCTCACTGCAACCTCTGCCTCCCTGGCCCAAGCAGTTCTCCCACCTCAGCCTCCCGAGTAGCTGGGATTACAGGTGTGCACCACCACGCCTGGCTAATTTTTATATTTTTAGAAGAGACAGTGTTTCACCATGTTGGCCAGGCTAGTCTTGAACTCCTGACCTCAAGTGATCTGCCCTCCTCGGCCTCCCAAAGTGTTGGAATTACAGGTGTGAGCCACTACACCCGGTCGACCTTACTCTTATTTACTAGTGTATCATCGGACTCTCCACAAAACCAATAGGAGATTTTATATGTAAGTGGAGAGAGAGAGAGATGGAGACAGAGCTATTTTGGGCTTTGGCTATTGCAGGGGCTTGCAAGTCTGAAATCTGTAGGGCAGGTTGGCAGCCTGGAAATTCAGGTAAGCCTTGATATTGCAGTCTCAAATTCTAAATGCACAGGGCAGGCCGTCAGACAAGTGACTCAGGCAGGATTTTTATGCTGTGGTCTTCAGACAGAATTCCTTCTTCCTCAGGAAACCTCAGTCTTTATAATAGCTTCAGCTGATTGGGTGAGTCCTATTCATGTTATAAAAGGTACTCTGCTTTCCTTAACATTCCATAAATGTTAATCACATCTGCAAATACCTTCACAGCAACATCTAGACTAGTGTTTGACCCAACAACTGGGCACAATAGTTTAGCCAGGTTTACACATAAAACATCATCACACTATGCTTCTCTTCTGTGTTCTTTGTTACCACGTATCTGTTCCATGTGTTTTTCTTTGTATATATCCTATCCTGTCATATCTCTCCTATGGTTTTGTGGAAACTATAAGCCTTCTGGGGGTAAACACTATATCTTGTTCATTGTTATACATCGTATAGCATATCATGCCTGGCGCATTGTTAACCCTCATTAATACAGCTGGCAGCAGATTTTAGCATTCGTCATGTGTGCCAGAGGCCCCTGTCTTTTTTCTCCTGGAGTCACACTCCTCACCTAGCAGGAGCAGACAGGAGACAGAAATACATGTTCAGCTGGGAAAATAAAAGAAAATGAAAGAAAAAGGAGAAGGAAGACAAAGTAGGGAAAAACAAAAGTTTAAAAATGAGGAGAAAGATGGAGACACCATGTGGTGAAAGCAGTGTCCAATTCCTGAGCCTCCTTCCCCTGATGCCCAGCAGAGTTCAGCCAACACTCAGTTTCTGAGTCAGTGTAGAATTTATTCTGCATTTTCTGTTTCCTCTTTCAACACCTTTCCTGGAACCCCCTCCTTCCTTACCCACTTGGGTTTCTCAGTACTCTCAGCTGGGGTTTACAGTATGAAGCCTCCAGGGGGTATTTTTTCAATATCAAGCCCTCCTGAGGCCCTGCCCATTTTTTTCTGAACAACAGAGAAGAAATACAGTGTTAATATAGTGTAGTGGCTAGGGGCATGGGCTCTGGAGTTAAGGCTTCCTCCCCATACCCCCAACCAACTTTCACTCCTTGCCTTACCACTTGCAGTCTGGGACAGGACAGAGGACACTGTTCTATTCAGGACAGACCTGAATAGATTTGCATAAAAGGAATTACCTCGCCATCTTCTCTTGCCGTGTTCCTTTGCAGGTGACAAACATTTTGCATACACAGTGACACATGGCCAGGTGGAGTGTAGTCCCTGCAGGTGAGAGATTTTCTTCAACAGAACTACATTATATAGAGAGACAAACCAAGCCAAATATCTGAATGGAGCAATCATGGACTTACTTAACAAAATCAAATAGCTTTCTGTTATGCGGAATTTAAAAATGTAACTCAGTTTCTAGAGAGAAATATAAGCTTATTTCTTAAAAAAGAACTTTACCAGCTGGGCGCGGTGGCTAATGCCTGTAATACCAGCACTTTGGGAGGCCAAGATGGGCAGATCATAAGGTCAGGAGATCGAGACCATCCTGGCTAACACAGTGAAACCCTGTCTCTACTAAAAATACAAAAAATTAGCCAGGAGTGGTGGCACACGCTTGTAGTCCCAGCTACTCAGGAGTCTGAGGCAGGAGAATCGCTTGAGCCTGGGAGACGGAGGTTGCAGTGAGCCGAGATTGTGCCACTGCACTCCAGCCTGGGTGACACAGAGCAAGACTCCGCAAAAAACAAAAAAACAAAAAAAAAACTCTACCTTAGTCAAACATGACTTACTGCTATAGATAGAAGTCTTACTCCACTGCAAACTTCTTCCAAATGTAAGAATTCGTTTCACAGCAACCCTGAAAGAGAGCACTTCTGTGTGCTGCTTACCTCAGAAGGCAGTAAAGCTCTTGCTGTTTCATTTTTAGAAAGATTAGAATATGTTAAGCCTGCCTACCAATAATTTTTGTATATTGGCTATAGCTCTGTGCTTTAGAGAAACACATAAATGTGTAAACTGTGCTGTCTATGAGGTCCCCTTGGGTTTTTGAAAACACCTGTCATTGACTCCCCTTAATTTTTGTTCTCTTCAGCTTAAATACCTTGGCCACTTAAACCATTCCTGACAGCCGATGATTTTTAGATTATGCAGTCTTTTTATTATCTTCTTGGATGATTGATAGTACCCATCATAAAATTTGATATCCAGAATTTGATATAATATTTCAGTATATTTTATAATTTAAAAATATGAATTATAAAATTATAGTTATGTTATATGTATTTTTTTCTCATCTACTATGGCAATCTGTAATAAATTATACTCTTAATTTGTCCTAAGACTGGAGTGATTTTTAAAAGCAGGCACACCTTGACTCATATAGAATTACCAGATCTTTTTCACACAAAAACACATTTCTCTAGATTTGTATATTTAATTATTTGAATGTGATTGCAGGGCTTTACATTTGTTCTTATTTAAATGTAATGTATTGAGGCCAGTCACAGTGACTCACGCCTGTAATCTTAGCAGTTTGGGAGGCTGAGGCAGGTGGATCACCTGAGGACAGGATTTCAAGACCAGCCTGGCCAACATGGTGAAACCCTGTCTCTACTAAAAATACAAAAAATTAGCTGGGTGTAGTGGTACATGCCTGTAGTCCCAGCTACTTGGGAGGCTGAGGCAGGAGAATCGCTTGAACCCAGGAGGCAGAGGTTGCAGTAAGCCGAGATCACGCCACTGCACTCCAGCCTGAGCAACAGAGTGAGACTCTGTCTCAAGAAATAAATAAACAAATAAATATATGTAATGTATTGAATTTATCTTGTTCTGAGTCACATTTTATGAAGCCATAAGCCTTTCAGACCTGTTAGCTCCTCCATTTTACCCCCAGAAGCATTGAAATCAGCTCTCAAACTACCAACCTTGGATTTGACTTCTCTAGAAATCAAATTTAGAATTTTGAGTAAGCGCTTGAGAATTTCAATTCATTGCTAGGCTTTTTTAGTTTGTGTGTGCACTTCAGTAGCGAGTTGAGGTTTACTTAGTGCTTTTGACAATGATTGTGATATGGTCAAAGCATGCTGCTTCTGATGACTGTCATGCATTTAAGTGAATCTGAGAGGAAAGAATCTGACTTTAGGTAACAGACCAATACTGCTTAGAGTTCCACGTCCAATTTTAAGTTCTAATTTCTTAGGTTTCAGGGTGGAGTAGTGAATAAGTTTGGTGAGAAATCTGTGAAGTAAGAAAGTACCTATTTGTCTTTATTTTTACTTCACATACTTTGCTGATGTCAAAAATATAGCTGCTACTATTGTTTTAATTAGGCCTGAGGCAAGGAAAAATGAAGGGCTAAGTTTAGTGTTGAGTTAATTCTGTTGCAGTGGCACAGTTTATTTTGAGTTACTATTAACTCGGCTCTTCAGATTGTTGCTGCTTGATGAGAGAAAGCTGAAAAGAGCATCAGAAATGTTTAAAAATTATTTTCTAACACACATTGAGTTAAAAACATTATATTCTCTTTTTATAAAGTAAAGCATGTTAACACTGAAGTCCTTGACTAGTTAATACTTTGCCAGGATCAGTGGTTCCTGACCTTTTGGGGTTCATATAACTCTTCTACAATCTATTAAAAATTATAGACCCTCTCTTCAAAAACCAGAAGTAGGAGTGGACCTGATTTAGGCTTACATGGACCTGATTTAGGTAGAGTTTTAGATATAGGTGCTGTGTAAAAGAGAGACTCCCCTGCCCAAATAATAGTGGCTTAAAGAAGCAAATGGAAGTTTACTTCTCAAGTAAAAGTAGAGCTAATGTGGCAGCTCTGCCCCATAGAATTTTCAAGACCCAGAGTTGTTTTTTTTTTTTTTTTTTTTTTTTTTTACTTTTTTAAATTTATTTTTTTATTGATAATTCTTGGGTGTTTCTCACAGAGGGGGATTTGGCAGGGTCATGGGACAATAGTGGAGGGAAGGTCAGCAGATAAACAAGTGAACAAAGGTCTCTGGTTTTCCTAGGCAGAGGACCCTGCGGCCTTCCGCAGTGTTTGTGTCCCTGATTACTTGAGATTAGGGATTGGTGATGACTCTTAACGAGCATGCTGCCTTCAAGCATCTGTTTAACAAAGCACATCTTGCACCGCCCTTAAACCATTTAACCCTGAGTGGACACAGCACATGTTTCAGAGAGCACAGGGTTGGGGGTAAGGTCACAGATCAACAGGATCCCAAGGCAGAGGAATTTTTCTTAGTGCAGAACAAAATGAAAAGTCTCCCATGTCTACTTCTTTCACACAGACACGGCAACCATCCGATTTCTCAATCTTTTCCCCACCTTTCCCGCCTTTCTATTCCACAAAGCCGCCATTGTCATCCTGGCCCGTTCTCAATGAGCTGTTGGGCACACCTCCCAGACGGGGTGGTGGCCGGGCAGAGGGGCTCCTCACTTCCCAGTAGGGGCGGCCGGGCAGAGGCGCCCCTCACCTCCTGGACGGGGCGGCTGGCCGGGCAGGGGGGGCTGACCCCCCCCACCTCCCTCCCAGACGGGGTGGCTGGCCGGGCGGGGGGCTGACCCCCCAACCTCCCTCCCGGACGGGGCGGCTGGCCGGGCAGAGGGGCTCCTCACATCCCAGTAGGGGCAGCCGGGCAGAGGCGCCCCTCACCTCCCGGACGGGGCGGCTGGCCGGGCGGAGGGCTGACCCCCCAACCTCCCTCCCGGACGGCACGGCCGGCCAGGCGGGGGGCTGACCCCCCCACCTCCCTCCCGGATGGCACGGCTGGCCGGGCGGGGGGGCTGACCCCTCACCTCCCTCCCGGATGGGGCGGCTGGCCAGGCGGGGGGCTGACCCCCCCCAACCTCCCTCCCGGACGGGGTGGCTGCCGGGCGGAGACGCTCCTCACTTCCCAGATGGGGTGGCTGCCGGGCGGAGAGGCTCCTCACTTCTCAGACGGGGCAGCTGCCGGGCGGAGGGGCTCCTCACTTCTCAGACGGGGTGGTTGCCAGGCAGAGGGTCTCCTCACTTCTCAGACGGGGCGGCCAGGCATAGACGCTCCTCACCTCCCAGACGGGGTCTCGGCCGGGCAGAGGCGCTCCTCACATCCCAGATGGGGCGGCGGGGCAGAGGCGCTCCCCACATCTCAGACAATGGGCGGCCGGGCAGAGACGCTCCTCACTTCCTAGATGTGATGGCGGCTGGGAAGAGGCGCTCCTCACTTCCTAGATGGGATGGCGGCCGGGCGGAGACGCTCCTCACTTTCCAGACTGGGCAGCCAGGCAGAGGGGCTCCTCACATCCCAGACGATGGGCGGCCAGGCAGAGACACTCCTCACTTCCCAGACGGGGTGGCGGCCGGGCAGAGGCTGCAATCTCGGCACTTTGGGAGGCCAAGGCAGGCGGCTGGGAGGTGTAGGTTGTAGTGAGCCGAGATCACGCCACTGCACTCCCCTAGAGTTCTTTTCTGTTGTGTTCCACCACCCCCTGTGTGTTGCTCTGACCAAAAGGTCGCGAATGGCTCACCACAAGCTCTGCATTTCAGATAGTAGAAGAGTGAAAGGGACTAGGGTTGGATGTACATTTCCATTTTAAGGGCATCACACATCCCTTTGGCCAAAAGTTTGTCATAGGACTACCCAACGTGCGTGGTGAGCTGGAAAGAAAGTTTTCGGCTAAGTGACCCTGTGGCCTGCTAAGTATTCTGCTGTTGGGTAAGAAGGGAAGATGGTTATGGGGACAACTAACAGTCTCTGCCATACAATAGAGAGTTCCTGTCCTGACTAATTAACAAATGCTTATTCAGTGATTACCGTGTGATTAGTCCTGTGCCAAACAGCAAATGGGGTTCATGGTGAAGACAGAAAAATAATACCATTGGGAAAAAATCATTACCTTGTACTGTTAGTTAAATATAAAATTAGTAACATATAAAAAGCGATCTCTTCTGACAGGAGAATCTGAAGTAGTCTGAAACAGGATTATCTGCGCAGTAACTAAGAATAGATAATGTGCTATTAGCAGAGTAGGCATGGAAAACTCAAGTCCAGAAGTTCACATATAGAAGAGCACATGACATATGCTAAGGCAGTAATAGGATGTTTGGCAAAAACAGATTTATCTGTGATATTAATCAGTATTGCAACGAGTTACATTCTCCAGGGCCAGACTCTCGAGGGCCTTGAATGCTAGGCCAGGCCATTTCATGTATTTTATTTGTTCTGGCTTTTTTTGTGTATGATTTTGGTAGCCCATTGAGTTTTACTTGGTGCTTTTGAGCCTGACTGATGTGGTCGAAGCATGCTGCGTCTGATGACTGTCATGCATTTAAATGAACCTGAGGTGAAAGAATCTGAATTTAGGTAATAGACCAACACATAGACTACCTGATTGTGGCAGTAGAGATGGAAAAAGAAGGACTTAATGGAGGTGAACTTTGAAAAAAAAAGGAATTGAAGTATGATATTGAGAGAACATAATTCAACATTGAAATGGTGTAGTATGAAATATTAGTAGGAACTGTGTTATTACTTCTGTGCATGTAGTTAGTTCCTATCAACATGGCAAATATTTAGTATGTATCATTTGTGTGGTTTATATTTTATACTGTAAGAGGAGTGTGCTAGGGGTATTCTTATTACCGATACTCATATTAAAAGCTTTGTGTAATCAGTTGGTAAAAGAATGATTTTTTAAGAGTGAAGATTTTTTGAACTGTCCAACCATTTAAAAATTTGTTATACTAAAGATATAGCATAATACGTGATTCTGGATTATTTTCCAGCCATACAATGCAATACAAAGAATGGCGATTCAAGAGATCTGTTTCACAACATGGTGATTATTGTTAATAACAATGTATTGTATACATGAAAATTGCTAGGAGAGTAGATCTTTAAGTGTTCTTACCACAAAGAAGTATGTGAAGCAATTAATATGTTAATTTGCCTGATTTAATCATTTCCACAATGTATACATATATCAAAACATCATTTACATCATAAATATATATAATTTTTGTCAATTAAAAAATTTAGTAATGAAGATAGTGGATTCTATAAAGAAATATGCTAGAAGTATTTACCAAAAGTCATTAAAATGTTAATATATTGGAATTTATCTTAAGGGAAGAACTTAACCTAAAGAAAGGGTTATATTTAGGAACAAAATAGAAGAATGGTCAAATAAACTATATCCTATCAACTCAATGGAATATCATACAGCCATTAAAATATTATAAAGAAAAATAAGTAGAAATATGGAAAACATTTGACATAATGTTTATGAAAAAAGAATATAAGCTTCTATACTGCTATTTTCTATTTTTAGTAGTTATATTTGATATAATGTTTAATGAAAAAAATATAAAATTATATACTGCTATTAAAACAACTACATAAAAATTATGTATGTGTCCAAAAACCAGATAATGTATAAAAATAGCTGTGGAACAATAGTAAAATGTACATGACATTTCTTTTTAAAATTATTTAAAATTTATCTTTTACAAATTAAAAAAATTATGCAAATTTAAATAAATTTTTTCTCTCACTTTTCTCTACCCTCCTCCCAACCACCCCTAAGTTACATGTATGTCTTTGGATTTTCTTTCCTTTTTTCCCTCTACTAACATAATGCAATGCCACTTTATTAATTGGCAAAGAACTGCGGTGGTTTACAGGATTAGATAGGAGTTCCTCAGTATGATCACAGAGAATTTCTCCCATGGTTTATTTTAGAACTTTCATAGATTTGCTTTTTTTCTTCTTTTTTTTTCTTTTCTTTTTAACTGAATGGATTTATAATTCTAAGTACGTGTAATATGAAATCATTTTTATATCTCAACTGTAGCACTTTCAAATTTAGGAATACTTTTACCCATTTGTCATGTCTTTTATACTGTGCTTTAAAAAAAATCACATCTGGTGCCATTTTATTACTTTCAAAGGATTGCATCTTCAGTCTAAATCTAAGACAAAGCTCTAATGAGTTTCCTCAAAACAAGTTTTAAAAATTGCTGGAATGGTCTTGTCATATAATATGCTATTCACTTAATCTGTAATGAATAAATACTTGAAGCTATAGTAATAATTTTTCATGCATATGATACTGTCGTAATAATTCTGTTGTGGCTGTGCTTTATTGATTTCTGTGCCACTTCTGTGGCATGAAATGAAATGTATTATCCCACTTAAACCATTATGGTTTCCTTTTGAATTACATATTCATTACTTGATCCTGTCATCAAGCCTATTCTATTTTCCATAATGTGGTATTCAGTCTTAAAGATTTACAGCGTTAGTCAGTGCAGTATAAGTCAAAATAGGACAAGTAAATTCAGATCAGAAAAGTTGGTAAGAAAATGTAATAGATAAATTTTTTTATTTAATTATACTTTAAGTTTTAGGGTACATGGGCACAACGTGCAGGTTTGTTACATATGTATACATGTGCCATGTTGGTGTGCTGCACCCATTAACTTGTCATTTACATTAGGTATATCTCCTAATGCTATCCCTCCTTTCTCCCCCCACCCCACAACAGGCCCTGGTGTGTGATGTTCCCCTTCCTGTGTCCAAGTGTTCTCATTGTTCATTTCCCACCTATGAGTGAGAACATGTGGTGTTTGGTTTTTTGTCCTTGTGATAGTTTGCTGAGAGTGATGGTTTCCAGCTTCATCCATGTCCCTACAAAGGACATTAACTCATCCTTTTTTATGGCCACATAGTATTCCATGGTGTATATGTGCCACATTTTCTTAATCCAGTCTATCATTGTTGGACATTTGGCTTGGTTCCAAGTCTTTGCTATTGTGAATAGTGCTGCAATAAACATACGTGTGCATGTGTCTTTATAGCAGCATCATTTATAATCCTTTGGGTATATACCCAGTAATGGGATGGCTGGGTCAAATGGTATTTCTAGTTCTAGATCCCTGAGGAATCGCCACACCGACTTCCACAATGGTTAAACTAGTTTACAGTCCCACCAACAGTGTAAAAGTGTTCCTATTTCTCCACATCCTCTCCAGCACCTGTTGTTTCCTGACTTTTTAATGATTGCCATTCTAACTGGTGTGAGATGGTATCTCATTGTGGTTTTGATTTGCATTTCTCTGATGGCCAGTGATGATGAGCATTTTTTCATGTGTCTTTTGGCTGCATAAATGTCTTCTTTTGAGAAGTGTCTGTTCATGTTCTTCACCCACTTTTTGATGGGGTTGTTTTTTTCTTGTAAATTTGTTTGAGTTCTTTGTAGATTTTGGATATTAGCCCCTTGTCAGATGGGTAGATGGCAAAAATTTTCTCCCATTCTGTAGGTTGCCTGTTCACTCTGATGGTAGTTTCTTTTGCTGTGCAGAAGCTCTTTAGTTGAATTAGATCCCATTTGTCAATTTTGGCTTTTGTTGCCATTGTTTTTGGTGTTTTAGACATGAAGTCCTTGCCCATGCCTATGTCCTGAATGGTATTGCCTAGGTTTTCTTCTAGGGTTTTTATGGTTTTAGGTCTAACATCTAAGTCTTTAATCCATCTTGAATTAATTTTTGTATAAGGTGTAAGGAAGGGATCCAGTTTCAGTTTTCTCCATATGGCTAGCCAGTTTTCCCAGCACCATTTATTAAATAGGGAATCCTTTCCCCATTTCTTGTTTTTGTCAGGTTTGTCAAAGATCAGATGGTTGTAGATGTGTGGCACTATTTCTGAGGGCTCTGTTCTGTTCCATTGGTCTATATCTCTGTTTTGGTACCAGTACCATGCTGTTTTGGTTACTGTAGCCTTGTAGTACAGTTTGAAGTCAAGTAGCGTGATGCCTCCAGCTTTGTTCTCTTGGCTTAGGATTGACTTGGCGATGCGGGCTCTTTTTTGGTTCCATATGAACTTTAAAGTAGTTTTTTCCAATTCTGTGAAGAAGGTCATTGGTAGCTTGATGGGGATGGCATTGAATCTTTAAATTACCTTGGGCAGTATGGCCAGTTTCATGATATTGATTCTTCCTACCCATGAGCATGGAATATTCTCCCATTTGTTTGTATCCTCTTTTATTTCATTGAGCAGTGGTTTGTAGTTCTCCTTGAAGAGGTCCTTCACGTCCCTTGTAAGTTGGATTCCTAGGTATTTTACTCTCTTTGAAGCAATTGTGAATGGGAGTTCACTCATGATTTGGCTATAATAGATAAATTTTTAAAAATTGTTCTTCTAACTTAGTATGTTTCTGGTTTGGGGTTTTTCTTTTTTTCAAGAACCATGGGAGTGAATTGTTTACATGCATTCTAGGGGAGAGTAGAAGGCACATTTTGAGAAACTTCACCGCCTTCTTTACTTGACCTCAACAGATGAACTAGGTAGTACAGCCCCACCCTCTTTTGGCTTCTGTGACAGCATACTCCTGGCTTTCTTCCCCCCCTTTTGCCATTTTTTTTATGCTTTTTGGTTTTAAACATTAGAACTTTTAAAAAGCTTGTTCCTAAAGCCCTTTTCTGTACTTAAACTCTTACCTTAGCCATTTTCATCAATTTCTATGACTTTACATGACATCCACATGCCAATATGTTCCAAATTGATAGTCCAGCTGAAACTCTGAGCCCTTGTCCTGTCCTGAGAGCTGCCTTACTGTTAACATCAACACTCATACCTCACATGTCCCATCTCCCAAGAGAACTCTTAAGCTTTCTCCATAAACCTTTTCATCTCCATGAATGGTGCCTGTATCCGTCAAGTTGCTTCTGCCCACCATCTAAGAGTCATCAGCATTTTCCCCTCACCTGCTGTATTCATCCTCACTACATCCATTTCAGTTCTCTATCCAAAATATAAATCAAATCTCTACTTTTTTTTCTCTGTTACCACTGCCAGTCACCCTAGCTCAGACAGTCCTTATCACACACCTGGACTCCTACCTAGTCCTTTTCCTCAAGTTCTGTCACCCCACCCTCACCCCTAATTCCCGATCCAGCAAGCATCTTCATAGATTCTAAGTTACATGTATCTTCCTTGCTCAACCCTTTAGTGACTTTTCTTTGCCCTTAGGATGCTACATTCTCTAGCCATATCAATTGTGCTTTCTCTTCCAGGAGTTGCTCACCCCTTTTCTATCTCAGGACTTTTTGCATGTTCTTTCCTGTCTTTTTCCTTCTCCATATTTTCTTACATTTTTCACTTCCTCAGACAAGTTTTCCTTTATCCAAAACATTGTTATGTTAATATTATGGTTCCTCTCACACACCACCCCTCGCACTCTCTCACTTTTGCTGTCACTCTCACTCTAAGAGTAGATCATTAGTTCCATAAGGGCAGAAAATGTGTGTGTGTGTGTGTGTGTGTGTGTGTAACCACTGATCCCTAGCACTTAATATGATACTTGGGTATTCAATAGGTGCTTCATATTTGCTGAGAATGGGTAATTTTGTTTTGCTGAAATGAACTTAACTTTTTGCAGACTTGCTCAGTCTACTAATGACCACTTTTCAATAGACTTAGAGAAGCAGTAAAGTGTGATCCTGTTATAAAGCTACTGTGTCTTAAAAGTAGCATTCAAGGCCGGGTGCAGTGCAGTGGCTCACACCTGTAATCCCAGCACTTTGGAAGGCCAAGGCGGGTGGATCACCTGAGGTTAGGAGTTCCAGACCAGCCTGGCCAACATGGCGAAACCCCATCTCTACTAAAAATACAAAACATTAGCCGGGTGTGGTGGTGGGTGCCTGTGATCCCAGCTACTCGGGAGGCTGAGGCAGGAGAATTCGCTTGAACCCGGGAGGTGAAGGTTGCAGTGAGCCGAGATCGCACCACTGCACTCCAAGTTGGGCAACAGAGCGAGGCTCCGTCTCAAAAAAAAAAAAAAAAAAAAAAAAAGATGGTAGCATTCAAGAGAGCATAATTAGATAATGAAGTATTTGGTTGTAGTTCTCTGGTTTTAGTTTCTACCCACGTACAGTAAAACTACCTGACTAAACGAAGGCTCCCTAAGTCTTCTTGAATTTGTGGAATTGCATTGCTTTTCCTCCCAGTGAAAGAATTTACAAATTTTCCACTTGTTGAAATTATCTGATAACCATGACCATCAAGGCAGTATCAACATGCTTTGAAACATCCCTCCTAAAAACACAAAACTTTTTCTTGTGGTTGTATCTATAGTGTTGAGTGGGTAGGGTGCTTTGGCTTCAATTCTGGGTAGAAGCAGTAGTGTAGATTCTGTTATGATTTCCTCAGCTAGGAGGGGAGGATAGGGAGAGGCTGGTTAATGAATACAAAATTATAGCTAGCTAGAAAGAGTGAGTTCTGTTGTTCTGTGGTACTGAAGGGTAAATATGGTTAACTATAATTTATTGTATATTCTCAAAAAACTAGAAGAGAGAATTTTGAATGTTCACAACACAAGGAAATGATGAATATTTGAGGTGATGGCTATCCTAATTACTTTGATTTGATCATTACCTGTTGTATACACACATAGAGGTATCACTCTGAATCGCATAAATATGTACAGTTATAATGCATCAACTAAAAAGGAGAAAACTTAATTTTAAAGTAACACGATACTTTGAGTAGACAGTGAACTGAACTAACAATTACATCTTGTTAGGTAAGAATAAAGTGTTGGGAAAATATATACATATATGACCATTAATTAAATAAAAGCATGAAAAAAATCATAAAGTAACATTTACTCTGCTAGCTTCAGCTAAGCAGAAGAGCACAGAAGGGAAAGCAAAATTATTTTACATTAAATTTTGCCACTTGACATTTAAACACAAAATTGGAAAAATTTGAAAATAGAGTAGTCCTAGCAAGCTTTACCATCACCACTCACTCCCCCAAAAAGTTTTCCTTTGGCATAAGTAAATTATGGAGGCTAATGACTGCAATAGTAGTAACAGAGTGAAGTTTCAGGAATATAGGTAAAACATAAGAAAATACATATTTGTGTATATTAAAAATACCATTTAACTTTTTAATTCAAAATGACTTAGCAGAAAATCAAATAAATTTGTACTATAACTGGAAATATTTTTAAAATATTTTTTTGTGTTACTTATGAGAGTATTGTTAAGATTTATTGAAGACTAACAGTAACATTAAAACCCCACCCAGAATAAATTTTAGATTACTAGCCTGCCACAGTGATCTACACTAAAATGTCACCAAATTGTAGTATCATTCAAAAATGGAAGAAATTAAGTCAGTGACTAAAAATATAACAAAAATACTTATTAACTAACTGGATTTTTAATCTGTAAGAAGGATGTCATGAGAATTTTGGCATATGGAAACAATGTAAGAATAGGACCTTAGGAAAGAACGATATGAAATTCATATTTGATCCAAAAAATGGTAGTAGATCCTTTTTTCCCACCAGATGCTCCTAGGTGTAGATTGCGTTGGTGAAGGAGGCACTCTAGTCTCAGTTGATGTCGAGTGTGTAGGTGTGGGTGTGTAGGTGTGACCAGAATTCCTGAATATGGACATGCTAAATAACAAATTAAAATTTCTCGTGCAGTTTAAACTATGTGTATGGAGGATTTGGATTGGATACAAAATTCCTCAAGTTGGATGCTCTTCCTCTGGGCTGCCATTTGCAGGGAATTTCATGTACATATTCAGACATGCAGACTTGCACAACTGCTTATTATAGAAATATTCTTTGTTACTAAGTGTCTAACAGACTTAAACATACAGGGTTTCCGTATATGGAGAAAAGTGATTCCACCCACTCCATGCCCTGGCACGTCATGATGCCAGCCCTTAGATTTATTTGGCTTCCAGAATTTAAATAGACAGTGATGTAAATCAGAAGTTAGTGTTTCACCTACTGGCACTAAGTAACTAAATCATCACATTGGTGATGAGGAAGGTAAATCCTTTTCAGTTTGGCTACAGAATGGAAATAACATTTATTACAATATGATCTAAGTTATATTGACAACAGAATGATTTATTTCTATGTTATAAAAGATGAAGAAGGAGAGGAGAATACAGAGAAGTTAAATGGTTTGGCAGTGATCACACAACAAGCCGAAAGTAGAATCCAAGTCTCTCTGGAGTCCCTTCTCTGATCAAAGTTTCATCTTATTGAATGTCACAGCATTATAAAGTGAGATAAATGTATCTCACCACACATGTGCTTAGTGAATTATTCTCAGTAGATAGCTTCTTCTATTTTTAAACATTTTGTTCTGAGATTTTAAAATTTCAATTCTATTCTCTTATGTTTTAAAACCGTGTTCACAGATTTGAGCTAAAATGGGAATCGAAGAGTGACTTTGGCATTTTTCCATGACTATTCTTGTATTGATCTTAAACTGGCATCACACGTGTTCCAGGAGGGCACTTGTTTTGCACAACAGTTTTACAAACTAGCTGTCTATAAGAGGCAGTTCATTAAAATTTAATGTTTTTAAATGATCTTTAGATGTATAGAATTTTTTAAAGACTACATATTAGAGAAAGCATGCATACAAAATATTTTTTTTTTTGCCCAGTAGTGGTGATAATAGCTAACATTTATTGAACTCTTACTCTGTAATAGCCACTGTTCCAGTGATTAACTCTTTATTTTAATTTTTTTTAATTTTATTTTTATTATATATTGACAAATTACAGTTACATATTTATGGGGTGCAAAGTGGTGTTAAGATTTTTTAATACAATGTGGAAAGATTAAGTTAAGCTAGTTAGCATATCCATCACCTCGATATTTAACATTTTTTGTGACGAGAACATTAGAGATTTACTGTTAGTGATATTGAAATGTATATAACAATTATATTCACCATGCTGTGCAATTGATCTAAAAAAGGATCAAACTTATTCTTCCTGCCTAACTGGGGCTTTGTACCCTTTGACTGTAATCTCCTTTTCCCCGCTACCCCCTTGGCCGCTGGTAACCACCATTCTACTGTCTACTTCTATGAGTTTAGTCGTTTTTCAATGCAATCTCCATAAAAATTCCAATGCCATTTCTCATACATATAGAAAAATAATCCTAAAATTTATATAAAACCACAGAGAAACCCAAGTAGCCAAGGCAATTGTAAGCAAAAAAGAACAAAGCTGGAGCATTACACTACTAGATTTCAAACTACTGTATTCTATAAAATGATAGTAATTAGAACACATTGTACAGTATAAAAAAAGACACATTGACCAGTGGAACAGGGTAGAGAGCCCAGAAGAGAACCCATGCAACTGTGGTCAATTGATCTTCAACAAATGTATCAAGAATATACAGTAGGAAAGGACAGTGTCTTCAATAAATGGTGTTTGGAAAATTGGATATCCATATGCAAAAGAGGGAAATCGAACCCTTACCTCACACCACCTACAAAATCAAATCAAATTGGATTAACATCTTCAGCATAAGACCTGAAACTGTTAAACTACTGGAAGAAAACATAGGAGAAAAGCTAAATGACATTGTGTCTGGACAATGATATTTATAGTTATTAAATATTTTTATTTAAATCCTCAAAACAACTCTATGAGATATTATTATTCCCATTTTATGGATAAGGAAACTGATGTACAGAGTGATTAAATGACTTGCTAGAGGCTAGGTGCAGTGGCCCATGCCTGTAATCCCAGCACTCTGGGTGGAAGGATCGCTTGAGGCCAGGAGTTCAAGACCAGCTTAGGCAAGACTCTGTCTCAAAAAAAAAAAAAAAAAAAAAAAAAAATTAGCCAGGCATGGTGGCACATATGTATAGTCCCAGGAGGCTGAGGCAGGAGGATCGCTTGAGCCCAGGTGTTTGAGGCTGCAGTGAGCTATGATTGCACTATTACACTCCAGCCTGGGTGACATAGTGAGACCCCGTCTCCAAAATGAGTGAATGAATGACTTGTTTAGAAAGCTATTAAAGCAGTATTGCAATCCAAACATTCTGGCCCCCAAAGCCACACTTTTGACCTTATTCTTTGCCTCTTAATAATCCTTTTAATAATAGTATGATTTCATTAGCTTTGCCCTTGAAATCATTTTGACTCATCGTAGAGCCATTACAAATTTAATATTATTTGATGTCTATACATTCTAAATTATATTTGTGTCTAAATTATTGAACTTCTGTTCTTTACCTACTCACAATTTCACTAGGAGATAATTTATAAAACTGGCTAAAATTTAAAATTGATGTGTAAACTGTAGAAACAGAAGAAACTCAAAACCATTTTTCTTGGTCATTTAAATTCTTTATTTTCCATTTAGTCTGGTCTCTGTTCTCTAAATATATAATAATGTCCTTGTTTTCCAAAGCTACTAATCCTTATAAAAATTTCATGGTGTTGTATCCAAAATATCTAAGTTCGGTTTTGATTTTTTATACAGGTTTGATTTTTTTTTCTTCTCAAAGTAATAGTGGATATAGGGTATTTTCAACTAGATTTCACAAAGTAAGCATTTATAGGCAGATTTTCAAGGTAACCCAAAAGGTTAAGTTTTAGGTTTTACTTAGTACTGGAAGAGGAAAAATTAAGAGTAATTACCAACTGAGTATAATTTACAATGGTGATTAATAGTCTCATAGCTTCCTTGTCATTCTTCTGTTTAGTTACTAACAATTGTATTTATTATTCTGCTAACTTTAAGTAAACAAGCAGAAGCTTTTCTGGGGATTCTGAAGTATAGTTACTATCAAAATATAGTCGACCCTTGAACGATGTGGGGCAAGATGCCAACCCCCAAACCCCCCTGCACTCCCCCCAGCACAATCACAATAGAACTTTGACAAATAACTTTGCATATGACTTTGAACTTCCCCAAAACTTAACTACTAATAGCCTACTGTTGACCAGAAGCCTTACCTAAAAAATATACAGTTGATTAACATATATTTTGTATGTTTTATGTTTTATATACTGTATTTCTACTATAAAGTAAGCTGGGAAAAGAAAATGCTATTAAGAAAATCACTATTTATTACGTAGAAATGGATCATCATAAAGGTCTTCCCTGTCTTCACACTGAATAGGCCGAGGAGGGAGGACGAGTAGGGGGAGGTGGTCTGCTGTCTCAGGGGTGGCAGACGTGGAAGAAAATGCATGTATAAGTGGATCTGCACAGTTCAACCCTGTGTTGTTCAAGGCACTGTATGTACACTTTTATACAGGTAACATTTATACAGAGACTTAAAAATGTTCACTTTTAAGTTCGTTCTTGTATCTCATGTTGATACCATTATTTTCATATGTGCATTTATTTTCAGGTAGCACATACTATATGCCAATAGGAAGTTCAAGACCCTATTAATTATAACAGTAGAAGTCTTAAGAATTCAATGTATTGTCTCTGCATCCTAGCATGCAATGGTTGTGGCATTGAGAGTCTGGGCAGAGAGAGCAATGTATGTCTGGTTAGGGTGGTTTCATTAAGTTTCATGTGATATCCTTCAGTCCTAAACCTCCAAAATCACTTTTAAAGATAGCAATGTAACCATATACAATGATATTTCAGTCTTTTCTGTAAAATGTTAAAAGTAAAAGAAAAACCAATGTAGTATCAGTGAATAAAAAGCTGCAGGAAAATTTATTTCTGTGTGTTCAGTTAGAAAAGTGTGTTTGGGAAATACTTTTCACAGTTTAGCTGATTGTACAATAGCCTCTGAATTTTTCTTACTATCCCTAAATGGTCAAGTCAGAGAGCATCATTATGGTTTAAATACTGGTCAGTAAAACACAATGGACAGTTATCTGTTCTGTGATTATCTTGCTGTTTTCTTGTCTTGCATAACACTATAGTACTGTAGCAGGCAGCTATTGAAACAGTGTTGTGATTGTCTAGTTTAACGGAAGGAAAAGAGCTTTTGTTTTCATTAGTTTTTTAATATTCCTTTTGAAGAATCACTGTCATTTAATTTTGGTGCCTGGCACTAAGCAGCAAATGCAAGAGGTATGCAGACTGCCAAATTTTATGTAACAGTTGATGTGACTATTGCAAGAGTTTGTGGTATTTCCTGTTATCATGGTTGTTTAGAGAAATTTTATTTCACCCTCACCATCTAGTTTTCTAGTCTCTCCTTTTCCCTGTGGCTTTATTACTGATATTAATAACCTGTGCATTGACTCTATATACAGTAATAATTTGTGGTTCTACAGAAAGATGATCCATTTGAGCTGGAATCATGGTATAAACTAAGAGGCACTGGTTACAAAGTGTAAATGTAACTCACTTATGCCTGTGACTTTTGGGTTATTTGGATTTATTTTTCTGTTACTTTTTTGCCCACATGCTTGTTATTTGGTCATTTCTGGGCTTGGGTCATTGTTTGGCAGATAGTAAATGTAGATTACTTGTTTTTTTAACTACTCTGGAGATAAAATATGATAACAGCATATTATCTAATGCTTCCCAGTGCTCCATATGCCATTTAGAAGTTTGGCCAGAACTATGAAAGCAAAGTTCTTTTGCCCTGGAAAAGAAGAAGCAGTTGAACTCATATTCTTTTCCCCACCTCAACCCCTTTTAAAAAAATTTTCGATTCAGGGAATACATTCAGGTTTGTTACAAGGATATATTGCATGATGCTGAGGTTTGGACTTCTGTTGATCCCGTCACCCATATAGTGAACATAGTAGTACCTGATAGGAAGTTTTTCAGCCCTTGTCCCCTTCCTCTGTCCCCACTTTTGGAGTCCTCAGTTTCTGTTATT
The DNA here is from genome assembly GCF_000001405.40 of Homo sapiens. Lineage (NCBI taxonomy): Eukaryota > Metazoa > Chordata > Mammalia > Primates > Hominidae > Homo > Homo sapiens. The sequence continues at coordinate 49,189,128 of NC_000018.10, read as the reverse complement.
CCCATCTTTATGTCCATGTGTACCCAGTGTTTGGCTCCCACTTATAAATGAGAATATGTGATATCTAGTTTTTTTTCTGTGTTAATTCACCTAGGAATCACTGCAAAATACATGATTTTGTTCTTGTTTATGGCTGCTTAGTATTTCATGGTGTATGTGTACCACATTTTCTTCATCCACTCCACCATTGATGAGCGTCTAGGTTGATTCCATGCCTTTGCTATTATAAATAGTGCTGTGATAAACATGCAAGTGCAGTTGTCTTTGTACCCATATTCTTTTTTTTATTATTATACTTTAAGTTTTAGGGTACATGTGCACAATGTGCAGGTTAGTTACATACGTATACATGTGCCACATTGGTGTGCTGCACCCAGTAACTCGTCATTTAACATTAGGTATATCTCCAAATGCTATCCCTCCCCCTTCCCCCCACGCCACAACAGGCCCCAGTGTGTGATGTTCCCCTTCCTGTGTCCATGTGTTCTCATTGTTCAATTCCCACCTATGAGTGAGGACACGCGATGTTTGGTTTTTTGTCCTTGCGATAGTTTGCTGAGAATGATGGTTTCCAGCTTCATCCATGTCCCTACAAAGGACATGAACTCATCATTTTTCATGGCTGCATAGTATTCCATGTGTACCCATATTCTTAAGAGGAACTTTTCATTTATGAACAGCCAGATCTTAGAGGCCCATTTTCCTTTTCCATTGTCTGTGTGTCACAGACTGCCCCTGACAAGGTATATTAAGAATATGCTCCTTCTGTGCTACATTGTCTAGCTGTGATGGGCCTCATAAAACAAAATGGACAGAACCAGGACCCCCTGGATGAAGTACTTCTACTTCCCACCTCATATGAATCTTTTCTTTAAATGAAACCAAGTCAGTTTGTGTTAATTTGAAATGCCTTCTCCACAGTCAAACTGGTGGTGGTTTTGTTCTGCCATAGTGATAATGCTACCCCCCAAACAGCCAAATGAACGCTTAAAATGATTGCTTTATAGTTAACTCAGCTCTGGGATATTTGTATTCTTGGATTTCAGTTTGTTGGCACACAACTTAAATCACTGCTTTTTACGTATTGGGGAATGTATATCCTTATTTGAGTAGTGCTTTTTAACTTCAAGAATGAAAAAGAATCAATAAGTTGTTTTTTTCAGAGGATGAGGTGGCCTTATTGATTTATAACGTGTGGAAGTTTGATATCTCTCTCCATAATCAAAACCACAGAACTCACTTTCTCAATACCTATTGTGTTTTTTAGCATAAAGAAGCCATATGTATTATCATGTTATTTTTCCTAACATGGTTCTGTAGGTGATAGTCTCTGATTTTGTACATTTAGAAAAGTGAATTTTTCCCTCTTACATAACCAAATGACATTTCTTCTGGTGGTCTATATTTATATAAATACAATAGTTATTTTCTGGCCTATTAATATTTGTTACTCAAATATTTGGGGAGAGTTTCATTCTCATTCTGTTATTTTTAGATATATTATCATCCCATTAAAAATATCTTTCTGATGTCCTATTTCAGCTTTGAATTTTAATTCCTTGTATTTGTCTTAAACTGTGATGTTCAAAAATCAGTGTTACCTAGAATTAATTGTCTTGTTTAATGTACAATTCTGCTGAAAAATATGTTAATGGGATTTCTAATGCCTTAGCTCATTATACTAGCTCACTAAATGTATAGTGTTTGGCCCAAAAGTGACAGCTTTCCATGTGTGCTATTTTGTTTATTTATTACTGTCCTTACTGTCAATGTGAACAAATGAGCACAGAGTTGATACTCAGAATTGGGCAAGTTGTAGGTGTTAGGAGCAGGACAAGACCAGATCTTCACTTCACCCATTTTCCCCATGAGATTGCAAGAGTAACTTTTCTTAGACTGTGTACCAGCAGCGGCCGGGCGCAGTGGCTCACACCTGTAATGCCAGCACTTTGGGAGGCCGAGGCGGGCGATCATGAGGTCAGGAGATTGAGACTATCCTGGCTAACACAGTGAAACCCCGCCTCTACTAAACATACAAAAAATTAGCTGGGTGTGGTGGCAGGCGCCTATAGTCCCAGCTACTCGGACGGCTGAGGCAGGAGAATGGCGTGAACCCAGGAAGCGGAGCTTGCAGTGAGCCGAGATCGCACCACTGCACTCCAGCCTGGGTGACAGAGACTCCATCTCAAAAAAAAAAAAAAAAAAAAAGAAGATTGTGTACCGGCAGTGAATATATGATCTCCCTTTTGACAATCGGATATTCACAACTGAGCGTTTGTCCCTATGTCCTCTGAAAGTGATGGTTGGATTTATAATTTTTTAGCAAGATCCCTCTGGATTATGCGTGCATTTTTGGTTACTAGATACAGATATACCTGAAAGCCCTACTTTTACATTGTAAAGTTTGTTAGAATTCACATTCTCTTCGGTGTGAGTGAAGATGGTGAACCTCATAGTAGTGTAAAAATAATAAAAAATGTTTCAAATCTGAGCCTCAAAGAGGTTGGCCTGATGGATTCAGTCCATAAATAGGACAGGTGGGTGGATGGATGATCTTAGGTAGGCTTACTGACTAAAGTGACTTTTAAAGAAGTTTTTGGAGGACAGACCTTTGGTGGATTAATAGGTTTGTTCCAAGCGTAGGGGGTGGCATAAAAGAAGATATAGGCAATAGTGGGCGAGAGAGACAAAGGATTCATTTAGGAGAAGACAACAGGGAATGGGACAGGATGTGGGAGGAGATGAGATCAGACATAAGAATTGGAAAAGAGTTGTGGACCATTTAAAGACAAGAAAAAAAGTTGTGCTTTAAATGTTGAGAGCCAACACTGATTAGAAGTGTGTTTGAACATATACTCCCTCTAAAAGAGAGAATGCTAGCAGTTCAGTAAGTTTCATTGTTTAATAAAAAAAGACAGTGGGCAGAGCAAAAAATAAAGTGATTATTAAGTGAGTGATTATATAATTTATGATCCAAACCTGGTCACTTTAAGAGAGTGAAAGGGATACTATTTAGTGAGACAAAATGTGTAAACTGGGACTGGACAAATCAAGATGTGGTTATCCCATTATTATTAAATAATGACTTGGAATTCATTAATAGATCACAAAGACAGGAAAAATTAAAATCCTGAGTTTTGAAAGTGACACATCGTAATAATCCTTTAAAAACTAAACAGGAAGGTGTCAGATTTTGGTCAGGACAAGCAGAAACAGTTGCTGAGGTTGATAGACAAATGTTGGTGTTTTCATAGCATTGTGCATATGGTGCTTAGGCTATGAGTCAGGCTGCCTAGGCTTGAGTTCTAGTTCTGCCACTGACCAGCTGGTAATCTTCAGCAAGCAAGTTGGGAATAACAGGGAAACCTGCCCCTCTGGGTTGAGGCCAGGATTAAACGAGGCCATGTGTACACGCAAAATACTTTGCACAGTACATGTCACATGCTAAGCACTCACATGTGGCTATTATTTTTTTCTACTATTACTACAATAACAACTACTTTTTATACATTAGCAGTTAGCATATTTTCAATTTAAAGATAAATACTTTAAGCTTTCTGATGTTGTTGTGAGCTTTCTGCCTTTTATTTCTAGCAATATTTCAGTAATTGATGAAATAAATTCGAAAAACTGTTTTTCATTCCAGCTTTAATATTATGAAGCTCACATTACAACTTCTACCTGTCTAGACTGTTCTTACTTTTCATAAGTAGACAAGTTTCCACAGTCATATAATAGAATTATTGAATACAGTAATTCTCATTTTACATTCAAGTAAGTCTTAAAGATGTAATTTTTAGCAGCATTGTGTTTTTCAAATCCAATTCCTGCTCTGTAGCAGATAGGTTCTGTTGTTGCTATAAATGATAGCTGAATAGTAATCATTTAATTTTCTCTTTTAAGAAAGATGAAACTTTTCTTGGGGATGGGGGATGGTTCTTGGCAAACAAAAATGATGTGATTTAGGTCTTTTATAGAAATTCATGAGATTACTTGTAATTCAACTTGAACATGTCCTTCTTGTATTTATTGTTCCTTTTTATTGAAATACTCTTTCTCAAGATTGTGCACAACTCACACACACACAGCATCTTCAGGTCTTTGCTTAAATGACACCTCCTCAGTGAAGCCTTCCCTGACCACCCCTTCCAAAAACTAAAGCCTCCTTCTAGCACTCCTCATTCCTTCTGTAGCTTTATTTTATAATGTCATAAATGATGGTTATTTTAGAAGCCCTGTAATAGTTCTTCTTACCTCTGAGATATATGCGGTGGTCCCCCATTATCCTCGTTTTGTTTTCTGGGGTTTCAGTTACCCACAATCAAATGTAGTCTAAAAATATTAAATGGAAAGTTTCAGAAATAGAAAATTCGTAAGTTTTTAATTGTGCACTGTGCTGCATAGTGTAATTAAATTTTGCCGTGTCCCACCTGGAATGCGAATCATCCCTTTGTGTAGTGTATCCCTGTTGTATATGCGACCTGCCCATTAGTCACTTAACAGCCATTACTTAGCAGCCATCTCAGTTATCAGATCAAAAAACCATAGTATATATTGGGTTTGCTACTATCCATGGTTTTGGGAATCCACTGGGGGTCTTAGAATGTATCCCCCGTGGATAAGGGGGGAATACTGTATTGCTGCAGTATCTCTGAACTCTGACTCTGTGATGGAATAAGGGTTTGCACTTCTCTACTACCTCAGTAACCCAGTCCTTAGGGAATTGAGCTTTCTTTTATAATTAGTTTGCTTGTAAGAGAACTTATGGAATGTCTAATCTTAGTTGGGAGTGAGTTGTGGCCTTGGCTAAGGATGAAGTGACAATACTCTTTCAAGCATAGCCCTCTGGAGAAAAGGCCACTTCCCTTCCCCCGCCAAAAAAAAAAAAATTTTGTTTTTTGTTTTTTTGTTTTTCCCAACAGAAGAGTTTTTACTACTGGAGACCCAAGAGCCCTAACTTGCTTTTTAGTGGGAAGAGAGGAACTGCCTCATCTTAAACACATCCCTATGTATATTAGTCAGCTCAGGCTCATAACAAAATACCATAGACTGAGTGGCTTAAACAACAGAAGTTTATTTTCTCACTGTTGTAGAAACTGGAAGTCCAAGATCAAAGTGCCAGTAGGGTGGGGTCTAGTGGGGTCTGGTGAGGGCCCTCCCCTTGGGCTGCAGATGGCTGCCTTCTCACTGCGTGTTCACAAGGCCTCTTCTTAGTACGTGCACAGAGAGAGAGATCTGTGGTGTCTCTTTGTATGGAGACACTAATCCTTTTGGGTCAGAGCCTCACCCTTATGACCTCATTAACCTTAATTATTTCCTTATTCCAAATACAGCGATACTAGAGGTTAGGGCTTCAACATAGGAAATTTGGGGGAGACACATACATTCAGTCCCTAACACTGTGCATCCCAAATTATTTCTGAGTTCAGTTCAATTAAATAAACATTTTTTGAGACCCTGTTAAATGTACAGGCACTACGCTAGGCATCAAAGAGGCAGAAGTGAACTATCCCAGGCTCAAGAACTTAATATTTAGTGAAATAAAATGTATATAATTAACTTGAAAATGTGGTAAATATTTTTCTAAGCTACATTTTGAAGGGTGAATCGAAAATTGCCAGGCAGGTTTGTATAGGGGAGGGAAGTGAGTGTAGGCCAAGCAGTTAACGGAGGAACAGAATGGAGTGTGCAGGAATGATGAGCGGACTGATGTGGAGTGAAGTAAAGAGTGATGGGCACAAATTTAGAAGTGCAGGACTGCCTTGTGGTGTTTGTCCTTCCTGATGGTGCCACAACGTTTTCTGGAAAAGTAGCAAGTACCTAATATGTTGATTTTCACAATGAAGGATAAGTTTTAAAAGACTATCAATGACTGGCATTTACAATCTACAATAAGAGACTAGTTGTGCAAATAAAATACAGTGATACAAATCACTTAATTAGTGGGATTAGGTGAATAAAATTTCCCCTCAAATACGTAGTGTTGTATTTAAAAAATCACAGTGAAATTTAAAATACTGTGGTTATCAGAGATGGAAAAAAAATGTGCAATCACCACTTCAAGTAAGGAAAAACATTACATTAAAAATCTTTGGTTTTCTCCAGTGTTCCTTAAGTTTCTACGTAAAATATCTAAAACTGTGGGGTTTTCTTCACACAGATGTTCAAAAATCACTATTCACTTCCAACCAAGATAGAGTAACAGAGACTGGATTTACCCTTCTGCCTGAAACAACAACCAAAACAGACACAGTATATAGAACAGGGACTTTGGAGACACTGGGCATCAGGCAACAAAAGAAACAAATCCCTGAGAGATGTTAGCAATTGAGGGGAGCCCTGTGAGTATTGAGAGTTCCCAGACCACTGTTCAGAATTATAGCTAATAAGCCAACAAATAGAATCATAAAAATACTCAACCCAAAAGAAGGCAGAAAAATGGAAAAAGGGGAAAAAAAGAATCAATAGGACAAATGGAAAACTATAGCAAAAGGATAGATATAAATGCAACCATATCACTAACACCAGCAAAAGAAAGCAGGAGGGACTTATCAGGCAAAGTGACTTCAGAGAGGAAACATCACCAGAATAAAGAAAATTATTTCATAACAATGAAGGAATCAGTGTATCAAGAGGACTATTATAATCCTAAATGTGTACTTTATAACATACACATTTGAAGCAAAAACTAATAAAATTGCAAGGAGAAACAAATTACAGTTATAGTTGGAGCTTTCAATATATCTTTGTTATTAACTAATAGAAAAAGTAGACAGAAAATGAGTAAGAGTGTGGAAGACTTAATGCTATCAAACAACTTCACCTCGTTGACATTTATAGAACACTCCAACCAATAACAGCTCCAGCCAAAACATTTGCATAGGAACATTTGCCAACAAAGACCATATTCTATGCCATCAAACAAGTCTCAGTAAGATTCAGGTTATAAGATTCAAGTCATGGAAAGTTTGTTTTCTGACAACAATGGAATTATAATAGATATCAATAATGGATAACTTTCTGGAAAATCCCCATATATTTGGAAATTAAATAACATACTTCTAAATAATCCATGAATCAAAGAAGAAACCAAAAGCGATTTTTAAACTAAGTGAAAATGAAAATGGAACATATCAAATGTTGTGGGATGGCTGCCACTAAAGCAGTATTTTAAGGGGAAGGTATAGCCTGAAATGCCTATATTGGAAAGAAAGAAAGATCTCAAATCAGTGACTTCAGCTTTCACCTTAAGAAACTAGAAAAAGAACAACAAATTAAGCCCAAAATAAAATAAAAATAATAAAAAGCAGGAATCACTGATATAGAAAACAAATGCAGTAGATAAAATTAAAACCAAAAGCTCATTCCTTGAGAAGATCAACAAAAATGATAAACCTTTGGCCAAGATTGTATGTGGAGTAATTTTGGGCTGTATCTTGAACATATGATGGTTACACAGATTAGGTATCCCTAATCTAAAAATCCAAAATGCTCCAAAATTCAGAACGTTTTGAGCACCGACATAATACTCAAAGGAAACATTCACTGGAGCATTTTGGATTTCAAATTTTTGGATTTGGTATGTTCACCTGGTAAGTATCATGCCAATATTCCAAAATTTGCAGGAATTCAAAATTAAAAACACTTCTGGTTCCAAGCATTTCAGATGAAGGAAATTCAACCTGTATTGTGGGGACTCTGGACAATTCTATTATAAACCAGCTGGTTTGTGTCTCGTAAAACAGAATAACATGTTCTCTTTACTGGGGGATCAAGGATTAAATTAAAATGCATTTATGTAAAAATTAAAGATTTTTTCATTGGCATATAAATATAGTTCTGAGTGATCTCAAAATCATGCTGTTCCACGGAAACATTCATTTTGCTTTGGGTTTCTCTCATAAATCATCTTAACTTTTATCCTTGACTTTTTCTTACCAGAGCACATCTCTTTTGTTTAAAATACCCATCTAACTCCAACACGACCTTGACTCTAGATGGTTTGCTGCATTTCATGACGTGGTATTTCCAGTGATTCTCCAAATCAGAAACTGCATACTAACGGCCTGCAGCCTGGACTCAGGCTAGAGAGGTGCTGTGTTTGGTTTGCACAGTTTTTTTTGTTTGTTTGGTTTTGGTTTTTTGAAGTTAGAATTTGTTGCTAACATATAACAAGTTGGAATAGCTGGCAATGCAGAGCCCACAGTCCTCCATGCCAGAAATCAATTGGAACTGAATGGTGACTTTTTCCATAGGTTCTCTCTTAAGGGTTTTTACATTAATTCCCTCAATTTAACCATCACAGCAACTCTTAACTGCCACCATCATTATCACCAAGTATAAGGAAACTGAGTCTCAGAAAAATTAAGTGTCAGAAATCCCATGAGCTATTAAATGGAGGAGTGGGTGTTTAAATACAAATGTGTCTGAATTAGCCTATATTCCTTTCTGCATAACATCAAAAATGAGGTTATTTTATCTTTCAGTTGAAAAATCATTGGTATCCATAAATATTATATGATGCTAGCTGTAGTGCCCCAGGTATCAAGTTTATCATGTTAAATTGTGCAAGGTTAAAATTTACAATCATTTATCAATTTTCTTTAAGTTCCTTAATGTGGAGTTTACCATAGGCTACTTTCTCATTTCTAGAATATTGACATTTGTTGCCTGTACTGTCCATATAGGTTACTGATAAATAATTGAGAAAGGTGTTCACTTTAACATTGTTTTCCTATTTAAATTCTTTATTTAATATGATTCCCATTTATGAAAATAACAACTAATCACTACCAGAGAACGAGGATGGGCACTGACATCTATAGTTTTCTGGTTTCAAAAGGAACACAGAAATTAAACTTCATTTTGAATAAAAGCTGTCCATGATTTAGATAATAATTTATATCTCTTATCAAGAAAAAAGTCTTCCTTACAAAGATAGACTTGTATATTCTAGCTTAATAAATATTTACTTTTTGACTGAACAGATTAGATTCTTTAATCTGGGACTGTTTGTTTCTATCTAACTAGCATTGTTATCAGACTAGAGTTAGGTTTTTCCATACAACAGATCACTTGACAAATAATTAAATACATCTATTATACAAAAGTAAACTGGAATTAAATACTAACATTTATAGTCTAGGTCATGTAATTTCCTCTACCAAAAGTAAGGAAAATATTAACCCTCTCCACTTTAGTATAAACTTTAAAGAAGTTCAACAGATTCATGCTTTGAATAAAGTATCTTTTGCTTTCTTTTTTTGCCTTAAGTGGAAATGATGGTGCTGGTAGTAAGAGATTATTTTACTGTTGCTATCTCTGCTGATTAAGAATGAACAAAATATCAAAGCATTTACATACAGAGGAAGCAGTAGATACTTCGTGTTAAACAGACCTTGGGCAATTTACTTTCCCTCAGCTCCCTTCTCTGTAAAATAGGGATAGTAATATCTACCTTATGTTGACAATGATTTCTCTAAAGACCCAATCCTGTATTTGTTGTGTAATAGATACTCTATAGATGGTAACTATAAGCCTATTCATCGTTGTTGTCATCATCATCATCATCATCACAACAAAATAACTTTATGGTTTTGACAGACCTGAAGATATATTGTGTGGTAACTATATATTCCAAGTCAAAAGTTGTGACATGGTTTGTAAGCAAATGGTAGAATCACATTAGGTGACATTTTAAGTACTCAGTATATCAAGAAACTTTACAGTAGGTGTCTTAAATTGGACACTGTTCAAACAAATTAGAAATGGAGACACTCTTTAAGCCTAATAGATCTTTACTGAATATTGGTCAAATCTCCTTATCAGTTGTAATTACAGTACAGTGAAAAGTCTGTGTAACCCAAAGCTACTGAGCTTCAGATTTTAAATAACTCATAGCAAAATAAAGTTCAGTAATAGTCTCATACATGAAGGCAGTGAGATCATTATGGAATGGAAAGAGCACTGGATTGGGAGTCAAAAGACCAGAGTTGTTCTGGCTCTCAGAAAGCTTTGTGACTGTGGTCTAGTTGTCACCTCTCTTGTTTTTCATCAACACTCAAAGAAGGGAGCTGGATTACATTGTGAAGATCCCAAATATAATGTATCAATGCCCTTCAGTGTGCTGTAATGGGAATTAACTGTAGCTTTTGAGCCAGCAGAGGGAGCACGAAGCATGAATTTATGTCTGGGTTTTAGGAAAATGGGGGCGTGGTGGGGGGGTTACATGGTTAAACATTAATTACAGTTCTTAAAATAGATTATTTCCTATCAGGTTATACCCAACTTGATTTGATCTATAATATTATCTGGAGATGGTGGCATTCTTAAAACTACTGATAGAATTCTACCTCTGTAATTATCGGTAGTTATAATAAAGGACTATATTCCAAAAGTACATTTAATCCATGGTTATTTCTGAGGATTACTATCGTTTATTTTCTCTATTGTTAGTGTATTTTTATTAGAAAGAATTATAATTTTATCATTTTGGAAATATTCTGTTGATATTGAAATAACTGGGCTATTTGAAACCATAAGAATCTTTAAGTGATACATCATTTATCTAGCATTCTTGGGAATTGTGCAGTTCCACATATTTTCCAAATAACAAAAGTATGTTTCACTAAAGCGCCACCTTAAAAATGTTAGAAAGTATTTGGGATAGAGATCTTGCTATTGCAGACTTTTAGGAGTTTGAAGTAAAGACCTTACACACATTTGAATCTTTTTCTCATTGCTGCAGGGTTGTTGATTTGAGCATGTACTGATGTACTAAACCATAGTGGAATTCTGAGTTTGCTCCTTCTTTGATGTTGAGGCCCATTTTTCTCTTTTTGGTCACACTACTCTTAGATTTTTCCCATTTCCACATATTCCCATTCTGGTTTTCCTTTCTTCTTTGTTGCTTTTATTATTTAGAAGCTTTCACTGAGGAAGCCAGTAACTGAGCTTTCTGAGAACTGTGTTAAATTAAGATTCTAATTTAAGGCCTAAGGAGTTAAATCCATGGCTTTCCTATAGGCATTGATAACAACTTCATTCATGGAAATTGTTCTCTCTTTGTGGTTTCGGTTTATGTATTAAGAGGTTGGAAAGGGAGCTACTTCTTTATTCAGGATGAGTCACAGTAGAGATGGGTTTCTTATGAAGTTACTGTAAATATATGATTGGTTTTGTGGTTTTTCTAAAAAGTAGTTTTAGAACTTTAACTCAAAGAATATCTTATCCACCAGTCAGTAGATAGTTTATTTAAAAGGAAAATGAGGGATCATTAACCCACTGAAACCATTGGTATATACAGGAGGCATTGTGGAAGTGTTAAAAGAAGAAAAGAGGAATGGACATCTGTGCCCTTGAACTTGTATTCACATAAGAAATGAGACAAACCTACAAACAAAAGATAAAGGAAGACATGGGAAAAATGTGTAGGACAAGTATAAATTAATAATTAGGTACACAAAGATCAAAAGGAAGTTGAAATAAATGGATAAAGTTTTTACAGACATAAGATTTTTTTATAGTGATGAAGCTAATAGGTGTTGAAAAAAGGCATTTACCAGTAAAGACCTATAATTCCAGTTAAGGCTTCCTGTTCCTATGGCCATCCCAAAGACTAATTATATTCACTAAATTAAGATTAAGGGCTAAGCAAAAAAGAAATTTCAAAGTTCCAGTTGAGATTCTCAAATTAAGGGTCCAACACCTGGGAAATATTTTGGCTATCAATTGTGTTATAACGTAGTTATAGGTACTCTGCAGCATTTCCCCAAAGTTAGCAGTATCATGTTTCCTGTGACTATCTTTGTAAAATCTGACATATAGTAAACATGCTTTATTTGGTAGGTTTCCCCTGAGAGGAAATTTCTTTACACTTAGGAAGTGCCTTATGACCTGTGATAATAATAACTTCTACCCTGCCATCCTGGCTCCTCTTGCACTCACTGTGAGGTCATTCCACTTTCCAAATGAATTTTCTCTTTCAATGTTATTTCGATCCCAATTATTCCCATAAATTAGTGACACTGTGCCATAGGATTTTTAAAAAACTGGACAGATTTGCTATTTCCTTGGTGTGCAATTTTCTCAAGAGACTAAGAAAGGGTCACCGAAAAAGACAACCAAACTTCTTTCAAGTCAGAAAATCTCTTTCTTTACAGAACATAATTTTCTAATAGAGAAAATACCATAAAACTTCTAATAAGATCGATATCTTTAGAATTGCATACTAATTATAAAAAATTAGACTTTCATCGTAGTTTAGTTTATAAAGGATATATACATTTTTAAAATCCATTGTCCATGAAATATGTATAAAAGGAGTAAAGTGCTTTTTAGATAAATTACCAATTTTTAATTTTGTAATTTTTGCTAAATAACATTTCTGACCAAATCTAGTCAAAATTGGAAAGAAGCCAAGCACAGTGGCTCACACCTATAATCCCAGCACTTTGGGAGGCTGAAGTGGGAGGATCATTTGAGGCCAGAAGTTCAAGACCAGTGCGGGCAACAAGGCAAGACCTCATCTCTGCAAAAAAAAAAAAAAAAAAAAAGCCAGGCTTGGTGACACGTGCCTGTTGTCCCAGCTATTCAGGAGGCTGAAGCTGGAGAATCACTTGGGTCCAGAAGCTTGAGGCTGTCATGAGCTATGATTGCACCACTGTACTCTAGCCTGGTCAACAGAATGAGACCCTGTTTCTTAAAAAAAAAATTGAAAAAAAATGTGCTTATGTTAAAAACACAAATGAAATTTGCATGAATGTTTTTGTGGAAAATGAAAATAATTGTCTTTAAGCTAATGTTAGATTCTCTTATTTCAGTCTCTTATAAATTTGGTAGTATAGTTACCAGAGTGTATATTGACAGATTGTGTATTTTACCTATTATTTTCAACATATTTTATCAGTAATAATTTTTGTAACATCATTTTTTAAGTTGTTAGCCATCTTTCAGTTTTCTTTCTATGTCTTCCACATTTTGACTTTAGTTACCTTAGCTAGGGGAAATTCAATTCCTGAGTTTCAGCATTTTTTTAAAGAAACATTGTTTAGTCCAATACTTTGCCATGTTGTATGACTAGTTATTATTGGGTTTACATATAATTTTTGATTATGCAGTCATACCATGAAGGTCATACTGAATGTTGTACTATAATTTTGAGTTCTTGCTAAGATACATTATGTGTTTTTAGGATTCTAGGATTGGCTTCTCCAGTTACAATGCAGGGTGTGCCCTTTTGGTGGGAACCTCTTTCACTAAATATCACACATATATTTCTTTGTCTTTTGCTTTTACTATATATAGAGTTTTTGAAGAAGATGAGTTATTGTGTTTTCTTTATAGTGTTGAAATATGGAGCAGTAGGTTCTACTAGAACATGTGTGGTGCTTAGTGTACTGATGGACACATCTGTTGTCCATGCATTATGCTGTGTACTGCTAGTCACAAGACATTTGCATTTTAACAAGCATTACTTGACAGTCAGCAAGCTGGTGGTGCTGAGTTTTGTTATTTTGTTCTCCACCTTTTATTCCATAAAATCAACATCATTTTAGCTCTTGTCCTGGATGGAAATGAATTTTAAGCTAGTTATTATAAACCTAAAATAATGTTTATGGTTAGTAAGGCAATTAAATGTGAATGAACGGGCAGTTTACCCTGCCCTAACCTTGCTTCTTTGTATAAATGTCAGTGTTCTTAGTAAAGATTGTTACGTAATTAGTCTTTCCTTCATTTTAACTTTTGGTCCTTAAAGATAAGATTTTTAAACTAAAATCAACTAAGACTGCTTGTTTCTGATTTTGTAAGGCAAGAATACCGACGTCATTGCAGTTTCTTTTATTGGAGTAAGAACGATAGAAAAGAAGATAAATCATCAATTAGTAGTAAGCATATTTTAGACCATGTTGTGCGCAGAACACTGTCCAAGGATCTACAATCAAGGCCTTAAATGAACTTGGCATTTGGAAAAATACATGTTTACAGTACAAATATGCATTACACTTGTGTGTAGCAGTTTAAGAGCAACTATGAAGCCGCATATTGAAGCAAACAAATAATTAAGATGACATAATTTGATAGAGAAAAAAAGCTTGGGAAGTTACTATTTCTATTATAATCTGCAAGTAAAAAGAGACAAGTTTCATAACATGAATTTGTTCTGTCTTCGTCGGCTTTGATGTTTTTTTCTGTTATGGTGTATTAATCCTCACATGTTTTCCGTATTTGTTAGAACCATCGTTATCTGTCCCTTTCTTCTTCAGCCTTTTCCCTCAGTTCTCGCTCTCTCTCTGTCTCAGCTTAAGTTCACTTCATTCTCTCTTCTTGCACATGGGTTTTCTCTGTGAAGCTAAGCGTGACCATAGCCAACTCCGGGATTACGTCTTTACAATCTTCTAACCAGAGAGAAAAAGCAGCTTTCTCACCCTTTCTAGTTAGTAAAATCCTAGGGAATATTTCCAGCTGGCTCAACTAGAGCTTATATTCATTGACCAATCTTTGTGACTCAGGGAATGAGCCTGTGTCATAATCTCACTTTTTTCAGGAAAGTAGTTTCTGTTTCTGAAAGTAGGGGGTGAGAGTGAATCATATTGGACAAGAAAAATAGCCATCATAATTAATAAATCTCCATATAAGAGATAATGAAGTAGTGTAATGAGTCCATGGTCTAGACTCGGATTACCAGGCTGTGAATTCTAGCTCTTCCATTTATGAATAGTATAGTCCTTGGCAAGTTAATTTACTTCTGTATGTCATCACTTATAATGTGATGTTAATAATAATACTGTCTTCATTAAGGAGCTGTATATTTAGTTAACAAATGTAAAAGGTTAGAGAGATGTGTGGCATAGAGCACATTCTCAGTAAGTGCTAGCTGCCATCATTCTTATCTACATCATCATCATAGAAAAAGATACCATTGGGACCCATCCTAGGAATTGTAAGTCTGGTTTAACATGCCATAATCAATCAGTACCATCCACTATTTTATTAGACTTAAAAAGAAAACTATATGATCATCTCAGTAGGTACAGAAAAAGCATTTGACAAAATTCAATGGCCATTTATGAAAAGAAATGAAACCAGCTTTCACATAACAAGGAATAGAGGGAATTTCTTCAACCTGACAAAGAGCATCAATGAAAACCTTACAGCTAAAATCATACTTAGTGAAAAATGATACTTTTCCCCTAAGATCAGGAAAATGGCAAGAATATGTACTCTGACCTTTATTCAGTATTGTACTATAGGTCCTAGCCAGTGCCATAAGTCAAGAAACAGAAATTTTTAATATCCAGATTAGAAAAGAAGATTTAGAACTATCTTTTAAATTTTATTAACTATTTAGCTATTTGCACAAGACATGAATATGTGTTTTAAAAGTCCTAATGAATCTACAAGAAACCTACTAGGATTGCTAAATGAGTTTAGCAGGATCATAGGACACAAAAAGGTCAGTATATAATAATTTTATTGTTGAATTTACTGTTAAATTTGTTATTGTCAGCATATAGCAAATTTATTTCTACATTCTTGCTATGAACAATCAGTAATTGAAAAATAATGCCATTTACGGCAGCATCAAAAATATGAAATAACTTAAGAATAGACTTAAAATACATTCAAGACCTGGTACACTGAAAACTATAAAACATTGCTGAAAGAAATTAAGGAAGACCTAAGTAAACAGGGTGATTTTATCCTCATGGATTAGAGACTTAGTATTGTTAAGATCCTGAAATTGATCTATACGTTGAACACAATCCTAATCAAAACCTTACCAGGTGATTTGGTAGAAAATGACAAGTTGATTCAATATTATACAAAGGACCTAGAATAGCCAAAAGCAATTTTGACAAAGCCTAAGTTGGAAGACTCACACTACCTGATTTCAAGATTTACTATAAAGCTGGTGTAATCAAGACAGTGGGATAATAGTGTATGACAGATTTATGGACCAATGGAATTGAATAGAATCAAGAAATAGACCAGTGCATATATGCTCAATGAAATTTCAACAAGGGTGCCAAGGTAATTTAAGGGGGAAAGGATAATCTTTTCAACAAATGGTACTGGAACAATTAAATAGCTATATGCACAAATTAAAAAAAAAACACCCAAACCAATTAAATAAATTGTGACTCTTCATGCCATATACACATATTAATGCAAAATGGATCATAGACATAAATATAAGAACTAAAACTATAAAACTTAAAACTTAACTGTAAAACTATAGAAGAAATCATAGAAAATCTTTGGGATCTTGGATTAGGCAAAGATTTCTTAGATAGGACATAAAAAACAAACAATTTTTTAAAAATGTGATGAACTGATGAATTTCATCAAATTTAAAATTTTTGCTCTTCAAAAGACACTGTTTTTTGAAGAAAATGAAAAAGACAAACTGCCCCACTACCACCACCCACAGGCCATAGACTGGGAGAAAATGTTTACAAAACTTATACCTGATAAAGAACTTGTATCCAGAATATATAAAGAACTCTTACAACTCAGGGAGAAGAAAAACAACCCATTGTTTTAAATGGGCAAAGATTTGAATAGACACTTCACCAAAGACAACATATGAGCACTAGAAAACTCATTTGGAAAATGCAAATTAAAACCACAAAGAAAATTACTTCACACCCACTAAAATGGCTAAAGTGAAAAAGACTGAAATGCCAAGTGTTAGCAAGAATGTGCAACGGTTTAGCAGTTTCTTATAGAGTGAAACAAATAACATACAATCCAGCAATCTTACTCATAGGTATGTATTCAAGAGAAATGAAAACATATGTTCACACAAAAACCTGTACAACTGTTTACAGCAGCCTTCTTAATAGACCAACACTGATAAATAAAGAAATCGAGGCACGTCTGTGCAATGGAAAACTACTCAGCAATAAAAAGGAATGAATTACTGATATACAAAACAGCATGGATGCATTTGAAAAGCATTATGCTGAGTGATAGATGGCAGACACAAAAGAGTACCTAAGGTATAATTCTATTTGCAGAAAATTTTAGAAAAGGCAACTACAGTGACAGGAAGCAGATCAGTGGTTGCCTGGAAGGGTGAGGGGAAGGGTATTGGAGCAGGAGATTGAGTGTAAAAGAGCCCAAGGAAACTTTTTGGGGTAATGGAAATGGTCTGTATCATTATTGTAGTGATGGATTACATGAATGTTTACATTTTTCAAAAACATTTTTCATTGCACTGTCTACTTAAAATTTGTGAGTTTTATTATATAAAGATTATTTCTCAATAAAGCTGATTAAAACTAAGGTAACCAGTAGCATAGGGCTGTCATTAAGGACCACCAGTGGTTCAGAAGCAGGGAGAGCACAGGTTTGAGAAATCTTTCCCAGAGGGTGTGGAATCGGTGGTATGGGGGCTGTAAGGACTTGTAGGAGAGGAGGAAGGAGGGGTGTCTACACGTAGAGGGAATCAGTGTCTACAGATGAGAGCATGACACTTGGTGTGAGATTTGGTTTGTAGCTCCCACTCCACCTCTAATAATTTTAATAGTTTTTTGGTTTTTTTAATTTTTTATTGTTTTACATTTTAGTAGCTCTTTAGGATTTATAAAGAACTTTTGTATTCACTACATAATGTAAATTTGATCACGGGTCAAGCACCTAACTCTCTACACCTAGGTTTCTTTATCTGTAAATCATCTGCTCCCAGGTCTTTTGTGGAGTTCAGTTACTTCTCTTTTCCCCTATGACTGCTGTTACTAGTGTGTTAGAGGAAGGACTGAGGCATGGAGAGAGAAGTTGGCTGAGAGTTGTGAGGATTGGCAGGGCTCTCATAGGAAATGTCTGAAACTTTCAAAGACAGAACCTCCACACCCCCTCCCAGTAAGTGACCTTTCTGTGATGCGTTCCCTTTACCTTCGGAGCATTACTCTAGCACTCTGCTCCCCAGCAATGTTCAACTTCTTAAAAATCTACACCTATTTTCTGTACTTCCTCACATCCTGCTTATTTCTCAAGCGCTGCAGTCCAGCTTCCGCCTCCTCCTCCCCTCTGACAGTGGATAAAGTCACCACTGATTTGTTTCCTTGTGCCAAATCCAGTGACTTCGTTTTTTGTTTTTTTGTTGTTGTTGGGTTTTGTTTTTGTTTGTACGTTTGTTTTTGGTAAATCCTACTTTACTATTTGACAGCTTTTAACAGTGATGATTATTTCCTCCTTAAAATTGTTCTCTTGGCTTCCAGAATGTCTTTCTTTCCTAGTTCTTCTCCTACTTCTTATTTAAGTGACCCTTTCTGGCCTCTGTTCACCCTTTCGGTCTTGGTGTTTCCCACAGTTGCTTTTTTTTTTTTTTTTTTTTTTTTTTTTGAGACGGAGTCTCACTTTGTTGCCCAGGCTGGAGTGCAGCACTTGAGAATCTCAGCTCACTGCAACCTCTGCCTCCCAGGTTCAAGAATTCTCCTGCCTCAGCCTCCTGAGTAGCTGGGATTACAGGCACGTGCCACCACGCCCAGCTAGTTTTTGTATTTTTATTAGAGATGGGGTTTCACCATGTTGGTCAGGCTGGTCTGAAATTCCTGACCTCATGATCCACCCGCCTCAGCCTCCCAAAGCGCTGGGATTACAGGTGTGAGCCAGCACACCCGACCTCATACAGTTCTTTCTTACATTACACAATATCCTTGGGTGATCACCTCCACTTTTGTGATTGCAGCTGATGCAAATAGCCTAAAATTTCTCCTCCCCTCTCTTCTGAGCACCAAATTAGTATTTCTAAACTGCCCATCTGCTTCTTTCTGACCATCTCCACCTGTTGTTCCTGAGCACCTGTAGGTTTCCTAGAAGATTTGTTAAGAGCACAGATTCTAGAGCCAGCAATGCTAGCATTGACTCCTGACTCCACCACTTAGCTGTGTGCCTGGGCAAATTACTCTCTCTGGTTCAATTCCATCATCTATTTATAAAAGGGGGAGGGAGAATGGATAATGGTAGGACCTACCTCACATGGTTGTTAGATGGACAGCACCTGATATATAACTCATAACTGCTGCTACTGTTATTAATTTCTTTTTCTTCCTGAGCGCTCTCCCTCCCTTTCAACTTGTTGTATTCCTAGCATGTCAGTCACCTTATCAGCTAGCCACTGTGTTTCCCAAGTTAGAGACCTCAGTCAGCCCTGATTCCCTTCTTTCCCGCTCCATGCTGTCTCTGCCTTCCACATAGCTCCCATTTGCTTTAAGGCATCCTCATCTCTTTATTTGGATAATATGGACGTTTCCTAAAGGTTCTGTTTCTAGTCTTGTTCACTTGTCATCTCCTGTCCATCCTTTTCTCCAGGAGCAGAGGAGTCTTTCTAAAACAAGTAGAATTTTATACACTTGGCCCACATTGCTCAGGTCAGTGGTTTTCAACCTTCGGTTCTAGGAGCCCTGAAGTTCCATGGTAGAGACTCTGTGGCCACCATAGATGGCAGGGCATAGGGAGGAGGCTTAGGACATAGAGGCACAAGGAGTAATCTGCCATCCTTACTGCTGAGCCCTGCCTCCCACCTCACACCTCAATACCAAACACAGCAGTTTTGCGTTGATCACTTTCTCATATTGTAGTCCTGCTTTCATAGAACACGTCTGGCTTTCAGGATGAAGTCCAAGGTCTGAGAGAGACATGAGGCAGTTGATAAGCCATCCTCACTGCTACCCAGCCTCATTGCTGTGCTCTGCTGTGTACTCAACACTTGATGCACGTGCAGTGCTGTTTCCCCCACCCACAGGACTCGTATTTCTCTGCCCAACTCACCTTTGTGATTGCCTGATTTGCTCAGCTGACTCCTAATTGTTTCTTAAGAAGCAGTGCAGGCATCATCTCCCAAAGTGATTGCCTCTTTCTCCCTTCAGGTGCAGTTGAGCAGTCCTCACCTGTGTTCCCCTAACATTCCATGTTCACCTCCAGTCTATTTAGGCACGTCCTTTTTCACCTGACTGCGCCCTCTGGGGAGGCAGGACAGAAACTGTGTTGCTTTTGCTTTCACATTGCCTGGCACATACTAGGCGCTGGGTAAATATTTGACTCACTGTCTGTCTCAATGGCTGAGCAAGATGAAATGCAGACCTCTTAGCATGGTCCATGTGGCCTTCTTATTTGGCCCCTCTTGTCTTACCGGCTTCATTTCTTGCCACTTCTCACCCCTGTGAGTTTTCTCTATTCTTGCCTTATAAGTTATGGGTATTTCCTTGAAATCTCCCAGTGCCTTTCTAAACACTTTCCCCCTTCTGAATTACTCTTCCTCCCCGTTTGCTTTTCCAAATAGCAAGTCCTCTAACCTTCAAGGCCACAGTCAAGATAGATTTCCTCTGTGGAATGCACCTAATCTTCCCCCTGTTCTCCCACAGTGCTCTCTTCAGACCCATGGAATTCTCTGATTTCAGTATTGTAAAAATTTTTTTTTTCTCATCCCAGTAGACTTGAGTTCCTTGGGGGCGGGGAGCCATGTCTCTTTCATTATTTTGTAAGAATTAGCTTCTCACTCCGAATAGAATAAAAGTCCAGGGCTTTTGATGTGCCATAAAGCGGCCCTTCACAGTCTGGCTTCAAACTGTCTTCATTCTGGTGTCATCTCCTGCCACCATCTGTGTACCCTACACTACAGCCATTTCCACCAGCTTGTGATTTTCTCAGCGTGTTCCCGTTTGGACTGACCACACTTATTCTGTTTACATGCTGCTTTCTTTTGTGAAATGCTGTCATTGGCAGGGGCTCTGTTTTCTTCAAGATAGCATGTTCTTTTTATCAGATTTTTAAAACGTTATATAATACTTCCTGCATACACAAAAAATAGAGCAATATACCACTCTCTCATGTATGTATCCAGTGTTACCTAAGAACATTTTATATATACTGTATATGTGTCCATATATATATATATAGAGAGAGAGGGAGTACTCATGTGAGAGCTGGACTCCCTTTTTCCTCCTTCCTCAGAGAACAGTGGCTATCCTAAGTGTAGGATTTATCATTTCCATATATATTTGATGTTATTAATATATTTTATCTGTAAATGATGTGTAATATTGTTTTTCATTTTAAAAACATAAAATCAGCTTGTTCATATTTTCTAAGGATTCCTGCTTATTTTTTTACTCAACATTGTTTTTGAGATTTATTCATATTCATACATGTAGCATTAGATAATTTTAAATTGCTGTATAATATTTCCTTGTATAACTATCCCACAGTTTATTTACCCATTCTGTTCTTGATTAGTGTTTTGGCTGTTTTCATTTTTTAAATTTGTAATGAACATTCTTATGCAAAAAGAAAAACTAGTCTTTTTCAAATTTTAAAAAAGTATTCTAGCAAATAGATCCCAGCTAAGTGAATATTAAGCTAACTTAAAGATCATTTTTATTTTTAAGACTGATTTTTAAAATCAAATTTATCCATTTACATACAAACATCATATATCTTTATTCCTTATTCTGATTAGCATTAAGCTGGGGGTAAGTACGTTGAATGCAAAGCTTTAAGCAAAAGTTACTCTTTTCACTAAGCAGTTTGCAAGTCATGTCTCGTATACATTTTGCCTTAAAAATGTTAAATAAAAGCCAAAATTATAATGTTTAAATAAAACTTTGAAAGTACTTGCTATAAGATTTTAGTAAAATGCCTGTTAAATTGTATGATAGTAACAAAGGAAGTGTGAATTCTCTGTTTCTCTTCGATGGAGAGCTGAATGTGACCTCAAATGATCTATTCTTACAGAGAATTTCTTAAAGATAGCTAGAAGCAGTATCCACAGCTTCTTGGGGTATACCATTTCAACATTTGTGTCCTTAGTAGTAAAATTTTCCATTATGCTCAACCAAAATATCTCATGTTTGAATTGAAGCTCACTTCCTTGTTTGGTGTCCTACTAGCAAGCAAAACAGAGTGTTCATACTCTCTTTTAAAATCAGTAAACAAACAAACTAGCCTTTCTTCTCTAAAAGAAACAGTTTCAAGTGTTTTTTGCTCTGGTCCCTAGGACTGTTTAATAATTTTCTTAAATTGATAATGAGAGTTACTATAGATCACCTCTATTGTTCTCTGATAGTGCACTAATAGGGGACACAGGCGCGCACACACACACACACACACACACACACACACACACACACACACACGGAATGTGAGAATGAACATCCCAGGTTTGCTAAACTCAGGAAGCACCTCCTGAGTTCTTATTTTTTCTTCAACTAAGCAAAGTATGCTGCTGTGCTTCACTTGTTCCATTTCTTCTTCCTAACACCAAGAAGCTCACTTCTTTCAGGCATATTTATTGCTTTTCTTTTTTTGTTTGGGTAGCCAATTTATGTTTTTGAGTCTTGCCACACCTTGTGCAAGAATTGACTACCCAAAGTTCTTTTAGCCTCAAAAAATTTCTGAAATTCCATTTATTCCAGAAAATATACTGCAACTAATTAGAAGCGTATTACTGATTTCCTTCTGTATGCATTTCCATGTAAACATGTCTTATAAACAATCCCAATTTTTTTACCTTTTTTTTTTTGCATCTCCTGCAAAATAATTTACATACTCGAAAATATGGACCCCCTAATGCAGTTCAGTATTATGTTCAGTTACTCTTACTCAGCAGTTTTGCTTCAGGCAATTTATCCAAAAGATAGTCTCACTCAGGCATGCTAAAACTTATTTACAAGGGTGTTCATTTCAATGCTGTTTATAATATAAAAATTTGGAAACAATTGCAGTGAGTGATTAATAATGGACTAAATAAATTACGGTATATCCATATCCTTTGATATCAAGTAACAGTAAACACTCATGTGTTTGTTGAATGAATGAAGGAATATATTGTTAGATAGACAAAGTGAAAGGTACAGCATAGTATATATTTCATGGAATAACAAAGATGGATATATATGTATACAGTATGCATTTGTTTACATGCATTAATGCATATAAGGTTTCTGGAATCATACACAATAAACTTAATATTAGTTATCAGTGGGTCATGAGAATAACGATGAGTGGAAAGTATGGTGTTTACGGTTAACCTTAAAAAGGAAAGATAAAGCAAAACTAAACCTCAAATGGAGAAGACCCAGAAAAATAAAATGATTGGAAAAAAGTGTGTGCTCTTATGTACTGAATTCTGTTTTCTACTTCTTGTATAGTACCTCCATTCCAATTTTCTTGCTCTCTCCTACTTTTGCCTCTGTGCTTTGCCTTCTATTTGGAAGTGGCTTTTATTCTCTCTTGCACAGATAACTCTTTCTTCTTTTTCAAGACATTGGGTAGGGCCTAAGGTGACCTTCATGAAACTTCACTGGAGTATTTCATTTCAGAAGTGTTTCATTTCAAAGAAATCGTTCGTTCAGATATATCCTCAGCATGTAACCAGTATCATAAAATTTCATACTTATTCATTCAGTAATTACTTCATGTAATTATTTTTCTTCCCACTTTATTTAAGTATAAATGTAAATAATATTCATTGCCTCTGTTATGTTTGTTTTGTACAACATCTAACATTACCAATAAATGTTAAGGAATTTTTTTCCTTGATGATATGAGTTGAAACTTAATCTACAAAGACTACTTAGTGGCCCTGTCTTCAATGGATATCCTTTTTAAACCATCTGAAATAATTACAGATTTTCCTAAATTGATATTTAAATATTTTATTTGTAAGGGGATTACTAAATACTACAGTGAAGTTTTGGCATAAAAAAATACTAAAGGCCATACTTCAGATTTTTATGGGAAGTACATGGAATCAGAATTGCCTTTGTTTTTAAGCTGCCATCTATCCCAAAGAAGAATCCTTTCTTTATTTGATACAATAAATTTAATATTGGGATCATATAATTATAATACATACCTCTGAAGTTCTTTTATTAGGCACATAAGTATTTAGGATTGTTATGTTTTCATGGTAAACTGGCTTTCATCATTATAAAATCTCCCTCTTTATCTCTAGTAATAATAATATTGTTCTTAAGCCTACTTTGTCGGAAATTAACATGGCCATTCCAACTTCCTTATGATTAATGTTTTTATAGTATGTCTTTTTTGTATCCTTTTGTTAACTTGTCTGTATCTTTAAATTTACAAATGTGTCTCTTTTAAACTGCACATGGTTGGGTCTCGCTTTTTTATCCAGTCTGAAAATCTCTGACATTTAACTGGAGTGTTTAGTGCATTTATATTTAATGTAAATCAACTGTATTCTTTGAAGATTGTTTGTTTTGCTCTATTAGGGTGCCTCTTAGAATAAAGTAATTTGCACTCTAGAATAGAATAGTCTGACTCCTAAAGCATGGCCTTTCTAAGCATTCAACTAAATGTTCATGTTCATTGATTTTTATCTTCTGGCTGGTTGGAGCTCCAATATCCCTCAGTCTGTTATGGTCCCCAAAATCTCTGTTTAATTTACAGCTCCTGGGTAGTTGTTTACTGCCACACCTTGTGGAGTCTTGCTCTGCACATTACAGCTTAACATTTATACAAACATTCAAGAAGACACTTGGATTTCTGGACCTGCTTTCTGGAAATTCTCTCCTCTCTAGTATTCCACCTTGCAAAATGCAGTTGCCACAGCAGTGTTAAATTCCTCTCTCTGCCTTAGCTCAGCACAACACTGCTGTGTACTCTTTGGGTCCCACCTTCCTGGACCATAGTCTGCAATGTTCCTCGAGACAGAAGCTCACCATTATGGGGCTCATCTTCATCTCCCTTTTGTTAGGGATTATAATCCTTTACTTCACATGTTGTGTTACATCTGAAAACAGTTGTGTCATTTTTTTTTTTTAGTTTTCAGTTAGTGATAGCAGGAGAGTTAGTCCAGTATCAGTTAATCTGTCATGGCCAGAAGCAGAAATCTTATAAAACATTTTGAATCATTATTTTTGAGAAATAAAGCTATAATACAGAACCATAGACTCTGTATGACAGTAGAGAAATAATCTTGTCCAACACACTTTTTCAGAAGATGAGAAAATACACAAGCTCAAGTGACTTGTAGTAGATTGCACTATGAGTTAGTCATAGTCTACATCTCAGGTTTTTGCCACTATTCTTTTCCCTATAGTAATCTTATGAAAAATGCTCCTGTGTTTGAAACATAATTTTAAACTGTCATTAAAAAATTTTTTAGAATTCTTATGATTTAAACATCCTCCCCACTCCTTTTTTCTTACATAAATACTATTATTAATCTTGCTGTTAACACAGGCATGAAGAAAGAATCATTTACAAGTATATTTTAGAATAATTGACATGCTGTGGAACTATATATTTCCACAGAAGACAGAAAAGAAAACAGTTCCTTTAATATAATTGGTTTTTTGTTTGTTTTTCCAGTTTATTTTCTTTGCTGTCTAAAAAACACAACAAAGTTCTGGAACAAGCCACACAGTCCTTGAGAGGTTCGCTGAGTTCTAATGATGTTCCTCTACCAGATTATGTAAGTAGTTACCTTATTCATCAATAAAAAATTTTCCTTTCAGCCAGGCACAGTAACTCCTGCCTGTAATCCCAGCACTTTGGGAGGCCGAGGCAGATGGATCACTTGGTCGGGAGTTCAAGACCAGCCTGGCCAACATGGTGAAACCCCATCTCTACTAAAAATGCAAAAATTAGCCGGGTGTGGTGGTGCACACCTGTAGTCCCAGCTATTTGGGAGGCCGAGGCAGGAGAATCACTTGAATCCGGGAGGCAGAGGTTGCAGTGAGCTGAGATCATGCCCCTGCACTGTAGCCTGGGTGACACAGTAAGACTCTGCATCTCAAAAAAATAATAAATAAATAAATTATTTCATTGTAAAATTTATAATAGCATTACCCCTCTCTTCTCAAGATTTTACTGTGCTGAAAATCTTTGCTGCCCAAGAAACCTCTAATATGCAAATAGAAGAATGATGTCTCAAATCAAGGGAACAAGTTGTAAATGATTGTTAACAAGTGGTTGAAGAAAATCAACCTTAAACCAATAATTTGTACATAATTAAGAATCTTTATATCTGAGTTGAGAAACCCACTCAAGCTAATAACACAAAAACAAAAGCAGGGATGATTTTATAGGAAGTATGCAAAGATTCCTTATTGAACTTAAGGGGAGCAAGTACACCTGGATTTCCCAGAGATCTGGAACCTAAAATTGAAAAGCCATTGGGTCCTGTTTTGGGGGTCATTTCGTTTCTGGTCTCTGCTTCCTTTTGCTTCTGCTTTATTCTGCTGCTGCTTTCTACCATCCAGGTTTATCTGTTTGCTTACTTGGACCTAAAATAGCAACCCCAGCCCTTCCTCTTCTTCCCTCCAACCTTGTGAGTGCAGTGCCTTTAGCTGTCTTAAAGTCTTAAAGTCCTCATTCTCAATTCCTGAGAAAGAGAATCTAATTGGCTCTGCTCTCATCAGGGTGTGACTCCAGTCTTACCAGACATGGTCAGAAGAGAGCAGCAGTAACATGTGGCCTTTGTTCCATCCACCTTAATGACGAAGAGTTTATTACCAACTGCTACGGTTGAATGTGCCATCCAAAACTCATGTTGAAACTTAATCCCCAGTGTGGCAGTATTGAGAAGTGGGACCTTGAATAGGTGATTGGATCCCTTATAAATGGATTAATGAATTCATGGATCAATAGATTAGTGAGTTAATGGATTAATAGGTTAGCATAGGAGGGGAACTAGTAGCTTTATAAGAAGAGGAAGAGAGACTTGAGCTAGCATGTTAGCATGCACTGTGTGATACCCTGCATCATCTTGGGATGCCACAGAGAGTCACCACTAGCAAGAAGGTTCTCACCAGCTGCATCTCCTTGACCATGGCCTTCCCAGCCTCCATAACTGTATAAATTCCTTTTTCTTTATAAATTACCTAGTTTCAGGTATTCTGTTCTAACCGACAGAAAATGCACTAAGACATCACCTGACCTTAGAGGATGCTGATGGAATAGAATAGAAACAGCACAGGGGTGAGCATAATATAATAATAGGAAAGAGAATGTGTTATAAATTTTCTTAAAGTAGTGTGACTACCTGTGACATTTCTTATATTTTGGAATATGGCTTTGATGAAGATGCTAAAAATTATCTTGCCATTAACCACAGGAGAAGTTCATCAAGTTCTAATAAGGACAGCTCTAAATCTCCAGACAACAACATAGTGGATTGGTATTTAGAAACTTTATTAGAGAACTCTTTAGTTCTGAGTTTGCAGTGATGATGCATACCAGACAGCTGTAGAGTTGCCTTGCTTCTTTCCTGTGGTTTGTTTCATTTCTAAATGGTTGTCCTGATATGAGACTGTGGGAACAGTACCCAGTCCAGATATCAGTCAATGATAAACAAAGATAGCTGTGTGCAGCCACAGCCTGACTGGTGCTAGTTTTTTCTCGTGTGTGTGTGGGTATGTGATGTCACAATCTGTCATCCCCTTAAGGTATTAAGTTTATAATTCCAAAATGTATCTTTTAAGATTTTCCTGTTAAGTTGAATGTTCTAATTTTTTAATTAGCATAACAGCTCGCTTAATTCTACACTTGCCATACCTGTGATAAGAAAAATATATCTAGTAACTGTTTAGAAACCCTATCGGGGCCAGGGTGGCAATGGGGAGTTGGGTTTACCAAAAACTTGAATTTGGGTCATCTGCAAATGTTTTGTTATTTATAAGCAATTATTATTTGATTTATGTAGTATTCCTGTGCCATTTACTCCACAAAAATGTGTTGAATATGTATAGTTCTGAAGTTCTGATGTTGCCTTAGTAGCATTCTTCTTTAATCAGAGATCTATAAAATTAATATTTGAGGAAATAGGTCATATTTACTGGTATTTGCCAACCATGGAGGTAATTATGCCATGATAGGACAATTTGAATTTGTAACAGTCCTGTGAATTCTGCTACTGAAGTTTACAGATTTTAGAGTCACTGATTGAATATTTTCTTCTTGTATAAAATTTTCACTAAGTAAAAATGAATTTCTTAAAGCATCTGCTTCTAGAAATAGTGGGAAAATTCCATTTGGAATCTGTCATTGACAATCCTTTTTTTTTTTTTTCTTAACATTTATGTGTATGAGACTTTGTAAATCACAACATTTTCCAAATGGGTTTATGAACTTGAATTTTGCTGCCTTTTCTCAGATTTAATTGAAGAGAATGGTTAGCACTGATTCAGTAGGAGAGATGACTGTGAATCACTCCTGATAGAGACCTGAAAGGTGATTAAACAAACAGCAGTAACCTTAAAAATAAGCACCGTTGTATGTTCTTTCATGATACTTCAATGTTTTGTTGGTCATTCCCATTGCTCAAAACACTGTTGTATAAGTGATTTACACATTTGAAACCATTTTCTCTTTTACATTAGTCATTAACTGGGAAAATGAACATGTTCCTTCCTTTTCTTTCACAGAAGTTTTACTTAAGTACCTTTGCCAGTAACCACATAAAATTCTGTGTCCTGGACTAATGCTTTAAACCACTTGTTGGTAAAAGATGAAAAAGGAAAATGAGAAGGTCTTAATGCAGCAGTGGATTCCTAGATGTGTACTTTTTTTTTTTTTTTTTGAGACAGAGTCTCACGACGTGTACTTTCTACACCAAGACTGAATGTACTGTATTAGCAGAGTTTGAATAAGTACTTAAAAATAAGGACATGTTTTTCTTCTCACTGTAGTACATAGAGTACTTTCAGTCTACCTAGAGATTTCTAAGTTTATTAAGAAAATGTTTATCCTCATTATACTGTATAATTCACAAATCAGTTGAGTAACAACATAGAAAGCTAATCGCAAGTTCCAAAAACATTAGTATTAGTACTTTAGTGCAACTATGTTGGTCTGAACATCTCTAGGGAAACCTGAAACCTTCAACTGAGTTCCAGATAATGAGGAAACTGCCCTGGCTGTTTAAGGGGAAATAAAACAAAAATTGTACTCAAGCCTGTGGGGGGAGAGAATGCCACTACAGGGGCAGTAAGGGAGTTTAAGAAAGCAAATAAAGTTCCATTGACTTGGCTTTGCTTTGGTGTTTGTATGATCAGGATTACATACAATTTAATTCAGTGACTAACAGGGACAGGAGAGAATTGTTAAAGGAGAATCTTTCAACAGATTTTTTTTTAATAAAAATGAACTGAACTTTCAGAGAAGTTTGGTCATATATAACCAAATATGGAACCTGAATATAGAAAATGAAACAAAGATAATAAATCAGTTATGAATGCTTTTTAAGCTATAACCATATGAATATTTATAACCAATGAGGAATATTGTTACTGTACCATATAAGCTTTGTTTCCCTAGTTCCTAACAATTTAACTTTTATTCTAGTTGCAACCATAAGGAACCAAATTATATTGCCCTGTGGTCATCAAATAACTTTGAATCTTTCTGTAGGACTGACTCTACCACCTAACTCCAAAATGTAGAGATTGGGTCTCACTATATTGCCCAGGCTGCTCTTGAACTCCTGGCCTCAAGTGATTGTCCTGCCTTGTCTTCCCAAGGTGCTAGGATTACAGGCATGAGCCACTGTGCCCTACAGATAGCTTGCTTCTAAACTGTAACTTTCTAAAGAGTAAAAGCCATCCATATGAAATTTATTTTCATCAAGTCATGATCACTTATTATTATCATTCTATATGGAATTCTAAGATACCGTTAACTCTGGACTATATCACTGGCTGACCTTTTGACTTCATAGCTTTTATTAATAATCTTTTAGACCTTGTTTACAAACTTTTAAATCTGCTTTCAGACATTTAGTTTCTTCAGAAATGTATTATAGGATATTCTGATCTGATTTTCATATGACAAAATTTAAATTCAGAGATGTTTCTATTTTCCACCCCATCCTTTTTAGGTTGTTCTATTATTAAGATTCTGTGTGGTGTTTACTCTTTAACTTAGATCTCAAATTCATTTGACTCAATAGTTGATGGATAAATAATATTGAAAACTATCTTCAGTCAATTGTTTTGTACAATGTTTGTGCCTTTACTGAGCTAGTGTTAAAATGCCCCTTTGTACACACACGTACATAAATAATACAAAGATATACATACATATTGTTTGTATATAATGGTATTAGAGTATTCTTTTTTAAATTTTTATGGGTAGATAGTAGATGTATATATTTATAGGGTACATGAGATATTTTAATACCCACGTACAATGAGTAATATCAGGATGAATGGGGTAACCATTTATCCTTTCTTTGTGTTACAAACAATCCAATTATGCTCTTTTAGTTATTTCAAAATGTACAATAAATTATTGTTAGCTGTAATCACCCTGTTGTGCTATTATCAAATACTAGATCTTCTTGATTCTATCCAACTATATTTTTTTACTCCTTAATCATCCCCTCCCTGCCCCAACTACCCTTCGCAGCCTCTGGTAACCATCCTTCTTGTTAAGTGAAACAAGCCAGGCACAAACAAACAAACATCACACGTTCTTACTTATTTATGGGAGCTAAAAATTAATACAACTGAACTCATGAAGACAGAGAGTAGAATAATGGTATTAGTTCTTGATGGAAATGTCCCTTAAAGATTTTTCTGGAAGATTTAAAGGCTGGGGTAGGTAATTTAACACTTATATAACATGGGAACAGTTATCTTAGTAGGTATGCTGTCATATCCAAGAAGTTTGAAAAGCTGAAATTTGTTACTCTTAAAACAGCTCCTTTCACATGTTGTCACTTTTGACAATTGCTTTTGGGGGTCAACTTTTCATGCATTTATTCTAGTGATGATAACAGCAATCAGAATATTATTAAAACTTTTGTTTTACATTACTTTACCATGGTATAAGAGGTAAAAATGAAGAAGGCATAGTACCTACTTACAGGATAGTTAAAACAGATACACAACTAAAATACAATTCAACATATAACCAATTTTATAAAAGCTACAGAACCAAACTTGTGGGTTGTCAGAAGAGAAAGTGAGAGAGAAAAACTTTTAGGAAGAAGGGGAGGTACTGTGGCAGTCTTCATTGAAAGGAGTTGAAATTTGAGCTGGGTAATATTTTTCAAAGGAGAGATTCAGGCAGGAAAACATTCCAGGTGTTATGCTTCTTCAAAGAGGGCATGAAAGTGAAAAATGGTCTTGTGTCATTGTCACTGAGTTGTTTGTATCCAGCACAGTGTCTGGTGTATAATAGGTGTTCAGTAATTATTTGTCACCCCTCACTCATTCTATACACAAGAATTAACTCAAAATGGACCATAGACCTAAATGTCAGAGCCAACATTATACAACTTTTAGAATAAAATATGATTAAACCTTCATGACTTTGGGTTAGGCAAAGACTTCTTAGGTGATGCCAAAAACTCAAGTGACAAAAGAAAAATAGATAAATTAGACTTCATCAAAATTTAAAACTTTGTGTTTCAAAGGATGCAATTAAGAAAGCAAAAAGACAATCTACAGAATGGGAGAGGATATTTGCAAATAATCCATCTGATAAGGGACTAGTATCTATAATATGTGAAGAGATCAATAATAAAAAGATAATGGAATTTTAAAATGGGCAAATATTATATTTTGTGAACTGGTTCTGTGGCTTGTGACCTGTGTGGCCTTAAGTATGTCATTTTGCCTCACTGGGCCTCAATTACCTTTTCTGTACTATGATGGCCAGAACCAAAAAGACAAATAATAATGAGAATTGAACACCTGGGGTTCTTTTGAGGATTAAATGAATGAGGTAGGATCCTTGGCATGAAGCAAGTGCTTGATAAGGTTAGCTATTACAGTTATGCCATGCTGCCTATGTGTGGGAGAGACAGTCTGGGACCACAGGTGTTAGTTCAGAAGATGGAACTGTCTCTGAGCTCTTTAGTGCAGAAAGAGCTTCTGCAGGAGGAGGAGTGGTGTGATATTAGATGGAGAGGTAGAGATCACAACAGCCAGCAGTCACTAACTACAGGTGAGCAGCAACATCCGGAGGATTTTCTAATCTGTCTGGGAACATCTGGGTAGTTACTTGACATCACAGCGTGTACCTGAACCCCAAAGATGGACTCCCTCTTCCCAGGGTGCTTCCTGACCTTGGAATTCCCAAGGTCAGGCATGTCCAGGAGCCCCAGAAATAAGCCAAACCAGAGTGACCACCAAGAACAAAGAAATGGGGGCCATGTTGGCAGGCTTCCTGTCAACCAGCTGCTTTTCCTGAATGCCAGGCATGTGCCAGGCACCCCACTTTAGGTGAGGCAAAGACTTTAGGTGAGGCAGAGACTGGCCAGATGCTCCACAAAACCCATTTCCTCTCCCTGATTACACAGCAAAGCAACATTTTCCAGCTCCCTTGCATCTAGGAGGGGGGCATATGACTAGCTCTAAGTCAGTGGAATGTAGGTAGAAATGCTGTCTTCCACACTTTTTTTTTTTTTTTTTTTTTTTGAGACAGCGTTTTCACTCTGTCGCCCAGGCTGGAGCACAGTGGCATGATGTCAGCTCACTGCAGCCTCTGCCTCCTGGGTTCAAGCAATTCTCCTGCCTCAGCCTCCCAAGTAGCTGGGACTATAGGCATGCACCACCACGCCCTACTCATATTTGTATTTTTAGTAGAGACAGGGTCTCATCATGTTGGCCAGGCTGGTCTCGAACTCCTGACCTCAGGTGATCCACCCACCTCAAACCCCTGAAGTGCTGGGATTACAGGCGTGAGCCACCACGCCTGGCCATTTTTTGTTGTTGTTTTTTTTGAGGGGGGGGCGTGGTTTGAGTGTGTCTTCCACACTTCTCTTTTCTCATCATTTGCTGGCTGGTTGCAGGAGACCCAGTGGGAGATTCCAAGTTCCCA
This sequence comes from Homo sapiens, assembly GCF_000001405.40. Lineage (NCBI taxonomy): Eukaryota > Metazoa > Chordata > Mammalia > Primates > Hominidae > Homo > Homo sapiens. Next base: position 49,156,329 of record NC_000018.10, on the reverse strand, counting down.
CAGGATAACATTTTCTGGATCCCTGGATCCTCTCACGGAAGGCCAACTGAGCATCTTGTTGGACTGTGATGCAAGTTAGCAATAAAATTTTTACTGCATTTTTTAAATGGGAAAAATCTTAATAGACATTTTTCCAAAGAAGATATAAAAAGTGGCCAATTAGCACATCAAAATATACTCAACATCATTGGCTATTAAGGAAATGCAGATCAAAACCATGAGATACCACTTCACACATCTATTTTGATGGCCAGAATAAAAAGGCAGATAATAACAAGTGTTGGTGAAGATGTGGAGAAATTAGAATCCTCATGTACTGCTCATGGGAATGTTATATGGTGCAGCCATTTTAGTTCATCAGTAATTAAACACAGAGTTGTCACATGATAGAGAAATTTCATTTCTGGGTTTACATACAAATGAATTGAAAACATATGTCTACCTGAAAATGCACATGTTCATAGAACCATTATTTGCAATAGCCAAAAATGGAAACAACTGAAGTGTCCATCAGAAGACAAATGAATAAATAAAATGTGGTGTATCCATACCATGTGAGATACCATGTGAGATACTACTAGCCCTTCTCAGTGCATCATACGATAAAAAGGAATTAAATGCTGATACATTCTTAATCATGGATGAACCTTGAAAACATTATGCTAAGTGAAAGGAGCCAGTAACAAGGCCACTTATTGTTTGATCTCATGTATATGGAATGTCCAGAATAGGCAAATCTTATAGAGGTAGATAGTAGATGCCTTAGGGCTGGAGTGTGAAGCAGAATGAGGTGTGACTACTAATGGGCACAGAGTTTATTTTGGGAGGTGATGAAATGTTTCAAAATTAGGCTGTGGTGATATTTGCACAACTCTGTGAATATACCAAAAACCATTCAATCATACTTTAGATTGGTGAAGTATATGGTATATGAATTGTATCTTGATGAAGCCATTGAAAAAAAAGTAGTGCTTTGAGCACGGGGGGAAAAAGAGAGCTATTTGTTGGGTGTGTGTACTAGTAGATAAAGATCAGCATGGCTAGCATTATGGCACAAAGGTGAATGTAGGAAAATAAATCTTGTACTTTGAAATAATTAATATTTTAAGGAGGCAAAATATGTTTGAGTGATTTGACTTTAGAAACTGCGAAAGTCAGCTAGATATGCAGTTCCACAAAGGTGTGTATATTCTTCAACCTTGTTTAAGAACAAAAAATAGAAATAAGCAAAATATCCCTCAATAAGGGACTTATTAAATAAAGTATAAATTCATCCAATGCAGTATTCTACAGCTATTTTTTAAATGAAATCAATCTACATGGGTTTATATGAAAAGATACCCATGATATATAAACCAGTAAGAAAAATACTTTATAGCATGTAGTTTATACATACATGTATGCTTGAAAATTATGCATTAAATTTTTCAATAATGCACAACTATTAAATAATGGTTACTTCTGGGGAGTCAGACTGAAAGATCTCAAAGAAAAAAGAATAACATACTTTTTACTTTATATTCTTCTTTGTAGGTGTAGATCTTGAATTTCTGTCAAGTATACATGCAACTTGCTTTCCCTCCATTCCTCCATTAAGATAATTTTAGACTTATAGAGATGTTTTAAAGAATTTCCAGCTGGGCGCATTGGCTCACACCTGTAATCCCAGCATTTTGGGAGGCAGAGGCAGGTGGATCACCTGAAGTCAGGAGTTGGACATCAGCCTGAACAACGTGGTGAAACCGTGTCTCTACTAAAAATACAAAAATTAGCTGAGCATGGTGGCACACGACTGTAATCCCAGATATTCGGGAGACTGAGGCCGGAGAACTGCTTGAACCCAGGAGGCGGAGGTTGCAGTGAGCTGAGATTGCGCCATTGCACTCCAATCTGGGCGACAAAAGCGAAACTCTGTCTCAAAAAAAACAAAAATGAATTTTCATATATACTTCACCCAATTCTCCCTTTTGCTAATATCTTACATGATCATGTAACATTTATCAAAATAAAGGAATTAATACTGGTACATTACTGTTAACTTTAATAACAATCTCATTCAGATTTTACAATTTTAACATTAATGCCTATTCTTTTCTGGGACCCAACCCAGGATCCCATATTAAATTTCCTTGTCATGTCTCCTAAGTCTTTCTTGTCTTTCATGACCTCAACACTTCTAAAGACTACTAGTCAGTTATTTTGTGGAATATCCCCCAATTTGGATTTGGCTGGTGTTTTCTCATGATTAGATTGAGGTCATGCATTATTGACAAGGATTGGGAAGAGGTGAGCCCTTCTCAGTGCATCATACTGGGAAATACATGATATTGATATGTATTACTGGTGAGGTTTACCTTGACCATTTTGCTAAGGTGAGGTATGCCAGGGTTTTTTACTGTAAATTTGTTATTTTTCTCTTTGTAATGACTATATATTTTGGGGAGATACTTTAAGACTATGCCAATATCCTGTTTCTGCTTACAAATTTTCCCACAAATTTTGAAATCCACTGATGGATCTTGCCTGCAGCATATATCACTGATTTACTAGTGATTTTCTTTTTTTCTCATTCCTTCTGCCATTATTAATAGAATTCTATAAGGAAGAGTTGTCACTTCTCCCTCGTGTATTTACTTATTCAATTATTTATTTCTATCAGTTTGGACACATGGATCCTTGTTTTATTCTGTGTGTTATAACCAATACTGTTATTATTCTGTTGCTCACATTGTTCCAGCTTTGGCCATTGGGAGCTCTTTCATGTTGTGTCCTCTGCCCTCTCAGTTTACTCTTATCTTTTTTTGAGACCATCAAGATGCTCCAGTTCATCGGGTATTTTCTCTGCCCCAGCCCTGGAATCAACCATTTCTCCAGGAGGATCATGAAATTTGGATCAAGATCTTTATATTTACTTTCATATTGAAGAAACTGTGTAAAACAGAGCCAAACCCTGTGAATAAAATTGGTGAACATCCCTAGCACAACTGCTTTGAACTTAAATAGATTCCAAGCCCCACATTGATTAGGTCCCAGTGAGTTTCTTCTTTAGTGCAATCGATTTTTTTCCCAGGTTTATGAGTCATAATAAATAAAAAATTGTATATTTTGGAGTATATGACATGATTTGCTATATGTATTCATTGTGAAACAGTTACCACAATTAAGTCAATTAACACATCCATCACCATCACCTCACATAGTTACCATTTTGTGTGATGAGAACACTTATGATCTACTCTCTTAGCAAATATCACGTGTACAATACAGTATTATTAACTACAGTCACCATGCTATACACTGGGTCCACAGAACTTACTCATCTTACATAACTGAAAGTTTGTTCCCTGTGACCAACATCTCCTTTCCCCCACCCCCTGGCAACCACTGTACGGCTCTGATTCTATGATTTTGACTTTTTTGGATTTCACATCTAAGTGAGATCATGCAGTATTTCCCTTTTTGTCTCTGTCTCATTTACTTAGCATAATGTTCTCCAGGTTTATCCATGTTGTCGCAAATGATAGGATCTCCTTATTTATGGCTAAATGATATTCCATTGTGGATATGCACCACGTTTTCTTTCTCCATGTATCTGTCAGCGAGTACTTAGGTTGTCTTCATATCTTAGCTGTAGTTAATAATGCTGAAATGAATATGCAAGTGCAAATATAGATACCTCATTTCCTTTGGGTATATACCCAGAAGTGGAATTGTTGGATCATATGGTCATTCTATTTTTAATTATTTGAGGAACCTCCTGCTGCTTTTCATAATGGTTGTACCAATACAATTGATTTTAAAATTCAAGCAAAGTCTGTAGCGAGTAAGCAAACTCCTCATCCCCCCTGACCCTACCACTTTTTTCCTTATGAAAAGCCAGGCCTGACTTTGACATAAGACAACCAATTTTCGTGCTTGTGTTCTAACTTGGCTAGGACCTGAGAGTTCCAAAAATGTTCTGAGAGTGATTCTAAGGACAATATTGAGTTGGAGGGCTCCCCTCTTTTTTAAAACAAAAACAAAACATTCCTTCATTTTTAAACTGAAGGATCGAATGAAACACTATTGCCTTTTCTTACTTCTGAAGAGGAAGATCGTTCTGTCCCTTCTTATGGAATATGGTAGAATATTATTTTTAAGGACTTTTAAAAAAATTATTAAAAAACTTTTATGTTCCTTCGTCTCTCTGGCTTATAAAAAGAAATAGGATGTGTTTGCATTGAAATCTGGCAATGATTAATTAACTTTCTAAGTGAAGTTTAAAGAATACAGAAAAAATAACCCATGCATATTCAGTAGTAACGTGTGATAGATTTCTAAAAACCAGTGATCACAGTTTCTTTCCCCCTCTTTCCATTCTAGTGAAAAAGTTTTTACTTCCTGCTGCATAGAGCTAATATAAAAACACCTTTTCCTGAAATATTTTAAATTTCCTTTTACTTATTTGAGAAATCTTTAATTTTCTGTTTGCTCAGATCTTGATTGTTTTTCATTCTGTTTCTCCCCTTCTGCCTGTTCATAGTTCCCAATAGGAAGAAAAGAAGTCTCCTATTTGGAATTTTCTTTGATTTATCCTTGATTTACATGGCAAATAGAAAGCAGCTGTCTATTTAAGCATCTAATTCTTGAAACCATAGTCCCCTCAAGCGTCATCTGGAAATAATGTAGCTTGTAAAACAAAGCTAAGAAGAAAAGGCAATGTTTGTTTTATGTGGGATGAATGATTTCTGTTGGGGTCCTTTAATTCGGCTATTATGAGGGTTATTAAAAAGCAGTATTACAAAAGAGGCTTAAATGAAAAGAATTTTTTAAGCTGGTATCTTATTATTACAGTTGATTATAGTCAAAGCTACAAATGTTTTATAAATGCCACTTTATTTGAGTTTCTCTAAATAAGACCCCCAAAACCAGTAATTTTATTCATTGTATGAGTGGAAATTCAACCCTTTCCTTGGTTGATTTAATTTCTGAAAACAAATTGTATTCGAGAATTCAGCTCTGCTTGTTTTTCTGGAAATTTCACGGATTTCTGACAAATTCATGAGAAGAATCCTTAACAGGAGTATTTGAGAATTACCTTATAAATGCAGAGAATGAACATGAAAAGCATCAGACTTTATCTAGACTTAAGATATTATTAGAAAATTCACTGAACACTAGATAAAGTTAAGTCCTAAATTGTTTCTTAATTTATTCATGAATTCTTTGAGTTTCTGAGATAGAAATTTGGAGATCTTGGTAATGGGCAGTGGTATACTTTGGGAAGTAGGAAGGCCAGTTGATTTGTGCTTTGATGGTTGTTGGAGGTCATTCCATGATTGGAATGTGTTGATTTTCTTGATTTATTTGTTATTACAACAAAGCAGTTATTCTTGGACAGTTGACATTTCAGAACTAAACAATCCTTAAATATACTTGGAATTACAGAAATGGAATTACTTGGCACGTTTGTTTAATAATCAACAGGGCAGTCCTGTTTAATTATTTTCACACATTTGAGTCACCTGTAATCTCTCCCCTAATCTCTTCTATGATCTTAAATTTGCATCATGCTTGACATCATGAGGAACATTGTTGCTCAGAAACATATCCTTTGTCCTTTAATAGGCAGTGCTAGCTAATCAGTCTGGTTGCTGAATGAATGATCCATCTTCTGTAGGGCCATGTTTTAAGCCTGTGTTAGTCAGCTCAAGATGCCGTAACAAAATGTAGACTGGGTGGTTTGAACAACAGAAATCTATTTCCTCACAGTCCTTGAGGCAGAAAGCCCAAGATGGAGTGTCAGCACAGTTGGGTTCTGGTGAGGCCCCTCTTCTTGGCTTCCAGACAGCCACCTTCTCAATGTGTGCTCACATGGCCTTTTGTTAGCATCTATGTTAGCAGAGAGACCAAGAGCAAGCTCTCTGGTGTCTTTTACTATAAGGGTACTAATGTCATCAGACTAAGCTCTGCCCTTATCACCTAATCTCCTCCCAAACACCCCCTCTCCAAATATCATTACACTGGGGGGTTAGGCCTTCAGCATATGAATTTGAGTGGGAACACATTCAGTCCATAACAAAGCCTAAACAGTACTGAGCCTTTAATAATCAGATATGATCTCTCTTAAGTTTCATACTAGTTAATGAATTCCAGTTAGACTAACTTTTGTTCCATTAGTAGTAGTGCTTTAAACCTCTATGTGAAGTAACTCATTAACCAATTCCAAGTCCTAAATTTCCCATACCCATTATGAATGCGCTATAAGTTATAAACATTCTCCAGGTTACCAGTTTTAAATAGCAATTGTGAAAGACTAATGCAAGTATAAAAACACTTTGTGAGGCTGGGTGTGGTGGCTCATGCCTGTAATCCCAGCACTTTGGGAGACCAAGGCAGGCAGATCACGAAGTCAAGAGATCGAGACCATCCTGGCCAACACGGTGAAACCCCGTCTCTACTAAAAAAATACAAAAATTAGCTAGGCATGGTGGTGCGCGCCTGTAGTCCCAGCTACTCGGGAGGCTGAGGCAGGAGAATCGCTTGAACCCAGGAGGTGGAGGTTGCAGTGAGCCGAGATTGTGCCACTGGACTCTAGCCTGGTGACAGAGCGAGATTCCATCTCAAAAAAAAAAAAAAAAAAAAAAACACTTTGTAATGGTGCTTGAAATTTCTTACTCTTTCATCCAACAAATATTTAGTGAGCAGCTTCTATGTTCTGGGCACTGTCCTCTGCCCAGTGACAATAAAAAATCTCTGCTCTCATGAAGCCTCTGTTCTAATGTAAGGAGGGATATATAATAATTTCATACATAGGTGAATGAATGAAAAAATTAATAAAATGTTAGAAGATAACAAGTTCCATGGGAAAATAAAGCAGGATGAAGAGATTGGGAGTGTTGGGAATTGGAAGGTAGCAGTGCATATGGGTGATCAGTGGAGCATATATCTCATTTAGAAGGTGATAGTTGAGCAAAGACCTAAAGCAGGAGAGGGAATGAGCTTTGTAGATATCTAAGGGAAGTGTGTTCTCATGGACCAGTATGGTCCATGGGCTGTTGGAACTGAGCCACACAGCAGGAGGTGAGCGGCGGGCAAGTGAGCAAAGCTTCATCTGTGTTGGCAGCTTCTCCCCGTCACTCCATTACCTCCTGAGCTCCACCACCTGCCAGATCAGCAGCAGCATTAGATTCTCATAGGAGCGCCAACCCTATTGTGAACTGTACACGCAAAGGATCTAGGTTACACATGCCTTATGAGAATCTAATACCTGATGATCTGTCACAGTCTCCCGTCACCCGCAGATAGGTCTGTCTAGTTGCAGAATAACAAGCTCAGGGCTCCCACTGATTCTACATCATGGTAAGTTGTATAATTATTTCATTAAATATTACAATGTAATAATAATAGAAATAAAGTGCACAATAAATGTAATGTGCTTGAGTCATCCCAAAAGCACCACCCTGCATCCGTGGAAAAATCGTCTTCCATGAAACGGTCCCTGGTGCTACTCTAATAAAATAGAGCAGGGAGTGCAAAGGCTTTGAGGCAGGAGCCTCACAGACCCCTAACAAGGTAATGGGGCTGGAAAGGAGTTTATCTGAATCTTGTTTATAATCATCTTAAACAAATGCTAATTGAGGAATGATCCAGAAAAGTTTTGGATAGAGTGACAGACTGAGAATTAGAAGACCTGAGTTCTGTTTTTAAGCTAACTTTAATTTACTATGAGCTTGGGCAACTTATTTTGCCATTTTGACCCTTGATTTTCTTGTATTTAACATGTATCTTAAAGGCTTGGTGCCGGGGCTTGCACCTGTAATCTAGCAATTTGGGAGGCTGAGGCAGGAGAATATCTTGAGCCTGGGAGTTCGAGACCAGCCTGAGCAATATAGGGAGACCCTGTGTCTACAAAAAATTAATTAATTTAAAAAATGTTAAATATATTTTTAAAATGTATCTTAAAGTACATTTTCTATTTTCTTTTTTTTTTTGTTCTTTTTTTAAAATTATACTTTAAGTTTTAGGCTACATGTGCACAACATGCAGGTTTGTTACATATGTATACATGTGCCATGTTGGTGTGCTGCACCCATTAACTCTTCATTTAACATTAGGTATATCCCTAATGCTGTCCCTCCCCTCTCCTCCCACCCAACAACAGGCCCCGGTGTGTGATGTTCCCCTTCCTGTGTCCATGTGTTCTCATTGTTCAATTCCCACCTGTGAGTGAGAACATGCGGTGTTTGGTTTTTTGTCCTTGCGATAGTTTGCTGAGAATGATGGTTTCCAGCTTCATCCATGTCCCTACAAAAGACATGAACTCATCCTTTTTTATGGCTGCAGAGTATTCCATGGTGTATATGTGCCACATTTTCTTAATCCGGTCTATCATTGTTGGACATTTGGCTTGGTTCCAAGTCTTTGCTATCGTGAATAGTGCCGCAATAAACATACACGTGCATGTGTCTTTATAGCAGCATGTTTTATACTCCTTTGGGTATATACCCAGTAATGGGATGGCCGGGTCAAATGGTATTTGTAGTTCTAGATCCCTGAGGAATCGCCACACTGACTTCCACAATGGTTGAACTAGTTTACAGTCCCACCAACAGTGTAAAAGTGTTCCTATTTCTCCACATCCTCTCCAGCACCTGTTGTTTCCTGACTTTTTAATGATTGCCATTCTAACTGGTGTGAGATGGTATCTCATTGTGGTTTTGATTTGCATTTCTCTGATGGCCAGTGATGATGAGCATTTTTTCATGTGTCTTTTGGCTGCATAAATGTCTTCTTTTGAGAAGTGTCTGTTCATATCCTTCGCCCACTTTTTCATGGGGATGTTTTTTTCTTGTAAATTTGTTTGAGTTCTTTGTAGATTCTGTATATTAGCCCTTTGTCAGATGAGTAGACTGCAAAAATTTTCTCCCATTCTCTAGGTTGCCTGTTCACTCTGATGGTAGTTTCTTTTGCTGTGCAGAAGCTCTTTAGTTTAATTACATCCCATTTGTCAATTTTGGCTTTTGTTGCCATTGCTTTTGGTGTTTTAGACATGAAGTCCTTGCCCATGCCTATGTCCTGAATGGTATTGCCTAGGTTTTCTTCTAGGGTTTTTATGGTTTTAGGTCTAACATCTAAGTCTTTAATCCATCTTGAATTAATTTTTGTGTAAGGTGTAAGGAAGAGATCCAGTTTCAGCTTTCTACATATGGCTAGCCAGTTTTCCCAGCACCATTTATTAAATAGGGAATCCTTTCCCCATTTCTTGTTTTTGTCAGGTTTGTCAAAGATCAGATAGTTGTAGATATGCGGCATTATTTCTGAGGGCTCTGTTCTGTTCCATTGGTCTATGTCTCTGTTTTGGTACCAGTACCATGCTGTTTTGGTTACTGTAGCCTTGTAGTGTAGTTTGAAGTCAGGTAGGGTGATGCCTCCAGCTTTGTTCTTTTGGCTTAGGATTGACTTGGCGATGCGGGCTCTTTTTTGGTTCCATATGAACTTTAAAGTAGTTTTTTCCAATTCTGTGAAGAAGGTCATTGGTAGCTTGATGGGGATGGCATTGAATCTATAAATTACCTTGGGCAGTATGGCCATTATCACAATATTGATTCTTCCTACCCATGATCATAGAATGTTCTTCCATTTGTTTGTATCCTCTTTTATTTCATTGAGCAGTGGTTTGCAGTTCTCCTTGAAGAGGTCCTTCACGTCCCTTGTAAGTTGGATTCCTAGATATTTTATTCTCTTTGAAGCAATTGTGAATGGGAGTTCACTCATGATTTGGCTCTCTGTTTGTCTGTTATTGGTGTATAAGAATGCTTGTGATTTTTGCACATTGATTTTGTAACCTGAGACTTTGCTGAAGTTGCCTATCAGTTTAAGGAGATTTTGTGCTGAGACAATGGGGTTTTCTAGATATACAATCATGTCATCTGCAAACAGGGACAATTTGACTTCCTCTTTTCCGAATTGAATACCCTTTATTTCCTTCTCCTGCCTAATTGCCCTGGCCAGAACTTCCAACACTGTGTTGAATAGGAGTGGTGAGAGAAGGCATCCCTGTCTTGTGGCAGTTTTCAAAGGGAATGCTTCCAGTTTTTGCCCATTCAGTATGATATCAGCTGTGGGTTTGTCATAAATAGCTTTCTATTTTCTAATGTGGTTTTTTGTGTGTGTGGTTGTTTTTAGCTTCAGCATTCTCTCATTTCATCATTTCCTTGAGGTTACCCTGGATATAAAGAAAGGGATTTAGGATATTACTTCAAGTCAGATGCTGGGAGAGAAGGAGGAGGAAGAAAAGGAGGCAATTAGCTAATTTGAATATTACATATGGTAGGGAATCAATAGAAAATGACAATTAAACTAAGGGGACTAGGGAGTTATATAAAGTTATTCATGTAAAGGGAACTATTAGAACAAATATATAAACCTTCCTAAATACCAAAAAAAAAGGTAAAAACTAAAATATAAAAAGAAAACAAGTAAAATAGACCACATATTGAAAGACTACTTGCATAAAAGACTTGAATACATAGACATATATATAAGGACATTAAAAACAAACAGATAAATCTTCTACCTACAGCTCCATCAGTAAGAATTTGTTGAATAAGCTTTGGTACATTCACACAAGAAAGTATTATACCATGCAGCTATAAAAATGAATGAAAACATCTCCATATGAAGCTCTATATGCCACCACATAGGCATCCTCGGGACAGGTTGATACTCATTTGTATCTGTTTATATTTTGGAAACAAATAGGGGAAGGACAAACTATAGAAAAAATTGTTAAACAGTTACCTATAAAGAAAGTGAAGAAATTGGGTAAAAGTGAAAGAGGAATGAAACTCGACTTCTTTGAATATTTTTTGTTCTTTGATGTAACTTAAGAACTCCATAAATGTTTTACATGATTATGAAACAAAAGTTTAAAGGAGCAGTGTCTAAAATTTAAATAAATTGAAATCAGTGAACCTAAATATATATCCATTTGGTGGCATAACTGAACATCTAAGTGACTATTCCTAGTAGGCTATACCTTAAAGACACAATTGAAAAAATAGTTTTTACTAATGACATTTGTATAGAAACCTTTATATTGTTACTTCAAGACGGGTGTAATGTGAGTTTAATAAAACACATTAGTAATTGTGAAATATTCTAATTTTGTTTTCCCATTGGGGACCTATATTTGTATATTATATATATAAATTATATATATATATATATATATATATATGAATTTTTTTGAGACGGGATCTTGCACTGTTGCCCAGGCTGGAGCTCAGTGTGTGATCATAGTTCACTGCAGCCTTGAACCCCTGAGCTCAAGCAATACTCCCGCCTCAGCCTTTCGAGTAGCTGGGACTATAGGCACGCATCACCACGCTCAACTAAGTTTTTTATTTTTTGTAAATGCAGCAGGGTCCCACTGTGTTGCCCAGGCTGGTCTGAAACTCGTGCCCTCAAGCAGTCCTCCTGCTCTAGCCTCCCAAAATGCTGAGATTACAGGAATGAGCCCTGATGTGCCTGGCCCAGGAACCTAGGTTTTGACATGGAAACATTATATGCAGATTTAAAATAGAAGAGATTAACTAAGAACCCTTTGATCTTGAATTTGAATAGGAAGTACCTGCATGGACTTATGCTTTTGTTGTTTTAATATTTATAGTTATGTCTAGTCATTCTACTTCTGTCCTTTGAACTCATTGTAACAGTGACCAACCCAATAACAGCTTTGAGCATCTGTAACAACCAGATTTCTACTAAAAGGAACTGGGGATTTGTCCTGCCTTTCAAATAAGATAGTAACACTAGATGTCAAAATAGTAGATATGGAGAAGTTCCACTTTAGAGAAATATTCATAATTGAAAAAGAAATGATAGAATTAGAATATCACTATTTTGCAAACCCTAATTAGTAGATTCGAGCATTGAGCATTAGTGACTGCAAACTTACGTAAAGAGGGAACCATAGATTATGTTTCTCCTGATGTAGAACACACCACCATCTATGAAGTAGTCTTGCAAAAAAAAAACCCAAAAACTAATCAGACCAAGCCTCTAAATTTAGCTACCAATTTTCTGGGGAAACCCAGAACAGAGAAAAATTAAACATCACCAAAATCCAGGATGCAAGAATCTATATAGGACAAATAACCTGGTTTCTTCAACTAACAAATTGCAATAAGAAAGGAGAGAGAGAAAAACACATTAATGAAGACCAATTACACCATAGAGATTTTATTTGAATTCTCATTCTGCCTGTAAGAAACTTTTTTTAAAACCTAATTAGAAAGTTGAGCACTGGCTGGATATGTGGTAATTTTCAGGGATTACTATTAATTTTTTATGTGTGAAAATTGCATTGTGTATATTTTTTAAAGAATCTTTATATTTTAGAGATACTTAACCAATATATTTATGGTTGAAAGATTTGTTTGGACTTTGCTTCAGAATAACCCTGGAGAAGAGGAAATGAATGAGTATAAGGAAACAAGATTAGCCATGAGTTGATGGGCTGGGTGATAGGTACATGGAGGTTCATTATACTATCCTGTCTGTCTTTGTATATATTTGAAATTTCTCGATAAAGAAAGTTACAGAGGTTATACAGCGTATGAATATGCTTGGCGTCACTGAACTGTATACTCAACAGTGGTTACAATGGTAAATTTTATGTTTATTTCACCACAATTTTTTTAAGTTAAATAATATGAGTATTGGAATCAGAAAGAACTATATTTAACCTTTATGTGACCTTGACCTTACTTAACCTCTCTGATATTTGGTTTTCTCAACAGTTAAATAAGACCAATATCCGGCTTGCCAAATTTTATGAGAATTAAATTAAATACTGCATCGAAAGTACTTAGCAAAATATTTGGCATATAACAAGTACTGTGTAAATATTAGTGACCTTAATTACTACCACTACAGCTTCTACCACCTGAAAGATAGGAAGATATGCCCTTTATTCTCTTATCACCTAAAACCAAAGCTTATTACTGAGGAAGGCTGTTTAAAATTCTCTTTTCATTGCACTGTGGCATAAAGGAATAAACTTACACTGCAAGTCAGACAGACTTCACTCCCCATTTTAGGATTTACTAGCTATGCTGTGTTGGTTAGTAGTTACCTTAGAGAAGTTACTGTGCTCTCATGTATAAAGTGAGAATACTAGTATCTACTTTCCAGAATTGGATTGAATATTAATAATTATATGTGTAATGTTCTTGGCATAATGCCATGATCATAGTAGGTTTTCAGTAAATGATAGGTATGATCATATGATTGTATTCAAATATGATTATCATTGTTCAGGAATGGAAAGTAAGAAAAGGTCTTTTCCATATATTCTTCCTGAACGAAATTGATCTGAACATCAGAACAATCTTTCTGATTTAATTACGGGCTTTAGAATATATTATTAAATGGTATCTATTTTCTCAATTTTAAACATTTATAACTTTATTTAACTGGGGTTTTATCAATAGCACCTTATCATCTTTCCTATTAGGGGGATGATAAGTTGCTACTGTGTTGGTGATTGCAGCAGATTAAAAATAACTGGTAAGTGATGCCCAGGGTTAACCTATTCTTTGGTAAGTAACTTGAAAATTTTATACCAAAAAGGACTTGTTGTTTACCAGATGCAAATAGACAAAGTACTCTGCCTTTCCCTTTCTCTACTGGAGATTCAAGTCCAACAGAGATGAAGTCTGCATCTAACAGAAATGTTTTTAAAACAGACTCTGGAAATTTTTTGTCTGGAAAGAGACAAAAAAAGAATTGATTGTAGAAAATCTGTATTCTCAATACATGAGTAATGTAATAACATGCATCCTCTTTTTCAGAATGAAAGCAAACCCTTCAAATTCTCATTTCTTAAGTCATTGGTAAATCACTTCATATGTCCAAGCTTCAGTTTCCCCACCCAAGAGCAAAGACTCTAGATTAGAAATATCTGGATTTGAATCCTAGTTCTGTCTCTTAATAGCCATGTGACAGTGAGGAAGTTACTTAATCCTTTTGAGTTTCAATTCTACATCTGAAAATAAACACAACACTGTAATTAATTTGCTATAATTAATTATCTTTTAAATAGAGTAGATATAGTAGATGCAGAAGCAAAATATGGAATAAATACAAGGAAAACATCATCCATAAATATGTTTAAAACATATTGGCCAGGCGCGGTGGCTCACACCTGTAATCCCAGCACTTTGGGAGACCGAGGTGGGCGGATCACAAGGTCAGGAGATCGAGACCATCCTGGCAAACATGGTGAAACCCCTGTCTACTAAAGATACAAAAAAAAAAAAAAATTAGCCGGGCGTGGTGGTGGGCGCCTGTAGTCCCAGCTACTCAGGAGGCTGAGGCAGGAGAATGGCATGAACCCGGGGGGCAGAGCTTGCAGTGAGCGGAGATTGCGCCACTGCACTCCAGCCTGAGTGACAGAGTGAGACTCCATCTCAACAAAAAAAAGAAAACATATTTATTGATTTTATTCATGTCATATTTTGTCCCAGACATTGAGTCCATAGCGATGAATAGGCAGTCATGGACCTTGCCTCAAGAAGCTAGTGGAGGGAAAATAAACATCATTTAGCAATTAAAAATGGAGCTAAAATAACAGGGACATAATGCAAGAGAATCGCAAGAATCCTGTTTTAGATTTAGAGGCTTAGGATTCAGGGGTTTGCTCTCTGAGAAAGTGATATTTAACTGAGACCTGATGATGAATAAGAGTTGCCAGAGAAAAAATGAGGATAGAGTGTTTTTAACAGCATGTGTGAAGGCCTGAAGCAGGACGGAGCTCTGTTTATTCAAGAAACTGTTAGCAGGCCAGTATAGTTTGGAGTGTGGATAGTGGGGGAGAGTAGCATTAAATGAGTATGAAGGAATAGGTCATTGTAGGGCTATGTTCAAGGCCTGATGAGCCCATTTACGGTAAAGAGTTTGGAGGTTAGCCATAGTTCAGCATAAAGTCATTGAAGGATTTTGGGCACTAGAGTAACCTGGCCTGATGTACCTTTGAAAAAAGCACTGTGGAGAAGTGACTTAAAGGGCTAAGTGTTGAGGCTGGGAGTCCAGTTGTCAACATGCTGAGAGATTACAGTGGCTTGGAACTCAAGAGGAAAAGGCTAGGCTGCAGATGGAAACATAGGTGACATCAGCATAAATAAAATGTTCGGAGTCATGGCAATTGATGAATGAACAATGGGAAGGAAAGAGGGATAATCCAGAGCTCTGAGAGACCTCCAACCTTCAGAAGCTGGGTGGAAGAGAAAATGCTAACAAAAGGAATCAGAAAAACCACAAGAGCGTGGTGTCAGGTAGGTATGTCTTAAAGTGGAAGAAATAGTGAACAACTATACATGGAAGATTGAGGGTAAGATGAGGATTAAAACACATACATTGGATTTGGCAAAACAGAGGTGGTGTCTGGGCATGGAAAAGTGGGGATTATTTTGAATAGTATAAACTGACAAGTAGCTAGATTAATTAATCATGAGAGGATTCTCTTAGGGAATAGGTTTTTTAGTTGAAGTCTAAGAAAGGGCATGAAATTTATTATTCTCATTCTCCTATTTAGCCTGTCTCATCTTAGGATATGTCCATACCCCTGTTCCTGTTTTTTAGCCAACCCAACTTTATGAAGTTCTTGTGGAGTCTAATGATAATAGATAAACTTGTTTAAAATACAAGTTTTATATCACTACATTAATTAATAACAGCTCATAATAAACCTTATAGTTGCTAAATGTCTTGACTTTTTAAAATTCGTATCAGATTTTAAATTAAGTTATGCTTAATAAACCAAGTGAAAAATACTAAAGTCAAAGTGTATTACTATATCTTAGGTTATAGGAAGCTCCACATGGCCTCATCATAACACTGGAATTATTTCCATGAGATTGCAGGATGTATTTAAGTATCTCTTACATTATATAATAAGCCTTGCAGTGATCAGCCCATTTCAAGGAAATACTCCTTGCAAGTATGTATAAATGTGTTTCTGCTTTACAAATGTTTGTCATTTTCCTATCAAAAACTATAGAGGAAGAGGTTTTGAGAACTGAGTACAAATGAGGAAAATGAATGCTATGTGGCAAAGGATGACAACTGTGTGTGTGTATGTGTGTGTGTGTCTTCTGAAAAAGCTTTAGACTTTTTTTCTTTTTAATGTTTTATCCTAGCCTTTTTACTATTATGTTACTTATGTAGAGCCCTCTGTCCATTGAGTTCAGAGCACTTAGAATCATCAAGTCATTTATTTTTTGAATTTATTGAATGGGTGCCCATTGTTCAAAAGCCTGTGGGCGTAAGTACAGAGTTATAAAAGCACGCAAATTAAATGTAATGGCACAGGAGTAAGAGAGAAAGCCAGCAGGATTACCGCTGTGCCTATTGGGAATGCCACACTCTTAAAAAGAAAGAAAAGAAGAGAAGCAAAAGAGAATAAGAAAAGGAAAAAACCAACAACCTAGGATTCATCGTGTTCTGAGAGTTAAAAAACAAATTTGTCAGTCAAAGGGAATGACCATGGGGTGCAGTTAAGAGAGTCCTAATTGGATTTGCAGGGCACTCTGAAAATGCTCCAGCACTCACAGACCCAGATTTTCCTCTAAAAACTAAGCCTGATAAACTATTGTTCTGTTTTCTTCATTTTAATGATAGACATTCAGATATAAGGGGATTTGCTTAACTGCCATTGTCTCAAAGCAGTATCGTAAATTTGAAGCATGATCTTATTCTCAGATTCCCAGTTAATTCTTGGTTTTGTTTCTTTCAGTCATTTATTTTAGAGGAATATCCATTACATTTTAGTTGTCTCCCTCAAACAGTAGTTTTAAAAATGGATATTTTCACAGTTTAGCATATCAGTAAAACTTAGTAAGCTCCTTCTAAAATTAATTTAGAAGAGGGAATGCCTCGTTTTTTAAGAGTAAGAAGTCAATAGATAATTGAAAATTATAAAATTTAAAATAATAGTACACATTATTTCAGAATAAGAAAGCAAATGTTGGAGGAAATAGAAAAAATGGTTCAAAGTATTTGCCTCTAGGTCATGGATTTGGGGAAGGGAAAGGATGGATCAGAGGGCTGCTCTTTTTCTGTTTTAAGTCTAGTAATCTTGAATTTCAACTGCTCTCTTATCACTCTGATAAAAATTAAAATTACAACAAAAGTTTAGGAAAAAGAAAAATGAGAACAGGAAAGCTATTCCTCATGTACAATAAATTTTTGAAATCGTTTTCAAAACTGAGCTTAATATATTATTTTCTAAGTATTAGTCTGTACAGTTAATAGGTTCATCAGCACCCTCCCTCTCTAAAGCATAGTCTAACTCTCGGAGAGATTGGCTATAACTGCTAATAAATTATGCATTCCACAATTAGGCCTTTTCTCCTATTTCTGGTATTACTCCTCATTTAATTGGAATTTCTAATGACGCTTGACTGAAACTCTTGAAAGTATTATAACATGAAGACTTAAATCGGACACTTCCTGTACTTCTGTATTCAGGTCTCAGTCTAAATCGTATTAATACTTACCTATCCTCCCTTTTCTCTGCTTTCATAGCATTTTTCACAATTTTCAGTTCTCCCCTACTGGACTCTAAATTCCAGTTAGTACAGTACCTGTTCATAATGCCACTGTTTAGTATTTGTTAAATAAATGACACATTTCATCTGGGAATATTGTGGTGTATAACTGATAGCTATTGGGAGAACTGATTAAATTGCATCAATTAGCCTGTTAATCTGAAGACGTTAATAAAACCTCCCCACCTGCCTAGATTACATTGAACCAAACCTACCAAAACCAGTAAATTACAGTGAAACAGAGACTGCTGGGCAGGTATTAAGTATCCATGTTATCAAGGCCCCTAGGAGGTGGAGGGAATATTCCGATAGCAACTGTTCTGGGATCTTTTGTAAAAGGCAATTTGCAACTGTGGTTTTTTGTGTGTGCAGTTAATGCCTTTTTAATTTCTCCCTCTGTGTCTTTGCCTTTCAGTTTTCTTATTCTTGTTGTTCAGCATGTCTGATTCCTCATCCAATTTACTCAAAATTTAATTGACATAAAGCTGAAGCCATTTAGAAGGTTATAATCATTCTTTTATTTGTCTTGTTGACATACCAAAGGGTTAGAGTTAGCAGTGACTATTGAATAATAACCAGTAAATTAGTTCAGATCATGGCACGGCATGTTTCTTATATATAAATCACATACATAAAAAAAGAAAAACCCCTTCCTAAACATTTTGCTTGATGAGGCAATTTTATTAAGAAGGCAATTAGATTACACACATTGGTTTTATACTACCATTTTCCTATTCTTTGGGCATAGAGATTTCTTGTTCACCTAACTCCCAGTGTAAAACCAAGGGGTTTTTAGAACTATTTTAACTGATCATTGGCTTTATTGATGAAATGTGGCAGAGATTTTCTAGTTGCTTCTGTGCACATTTAGGCGCTTCCCAAGGTTAAATGAGTTGTGTTCACTACAAAACACTTTCTGTTGCTCCCTATCTCTGTGATTGGTGCTAAGGTGGTGTGTACAGTCTGTCCCACTGGAACTGGTGCCTGTCTCATGACATCTCTGACTTTGGATCTTAGGGAAAGTATGGTTTGCTTTTAACTAAAGAAAAACTATCTGTTATTTATAAACTTAGAGGACAGCTGACCAAAGAGAATTATGGCCACCCTTTATCCAATGCTAAATTATCTACCCTTATTGTTCTTTCTTAATATTCCTACTAAATTAGGGGATGGCAGGGTTTCTAGAGTCAAAGGCAAAAATTCAGTCTTAATCAACATGGTTGATTATACATTTCTGTAGCATTTACAGTTAACAAGTCATTTTCAAATTAGTTCTCATAAAGGCAGGCAAGCATTATATTTCTACTTAACAAAAGAAAAGAAATTCTCAGATTAAATGAGTTGCTCAAACTCTGAGGTGATTATTTAGCAGAGTCAGGTCTAGAACTGAGGTCTTTTGACTCCCTGCCAGTATTCTTTCCATGTCACCAGGACAGGACTGAGAAAGTGTTCTGTTACTACTTGCCAAGTGTGAGGCCTGTACTGGGTGTGTTATTTAACTCATTCAGTTCTCATGGCACCACCATGATGAAGTAGGTCGGTGCAGGAAGGAAATGTCTACTTGTCACGTTGGTCATAGCAGAAGATATGCTGTGGTGGTCAGTTCAGTGTGTTCTGGTGATAGGATTGTCCTATGCAAATGTTACAAGGTCCACACATTGTAGAATCAGCTGCATCTTCATTCTGTACTGTCACTATACTTTGATAAGAAATGCTACCAAGTAAATTTTAGCTTTGTTGCCATTGATACTAGTATGAGTACTCAATGTTTTCTTGTTATAGTGTATTCATTACCATAAAATGTCTTTTACTTGCATTCTGTGTCTTCCTCTTAACAAAATCTTTTCCTTATACCCAAACCATTATGAGTGGATTAAAGAAATGCAATAGAAGAAAGGAGGGAGTTGGGTAGGGATCACATTCCTTCTTGCCAAGTAAACTTTGACTGAGAACACCCTTTAATAGCATTTTCCTGCATTTCTACATTAATATCAACTTTTCTTTGCCTCAAAAGAAGAGGATTTCCTTCATGCCTGATTAAGAGTATTTTTATTTCTGGTTTTATATTTTACATATTGAGAGTTGTTTCTACACACTTCTTCCCAAGAAGACTCTCAGGAAAATAAAATTAAGCATTTGTCTCTTCCAAAGAAATTGACACCATATAGCAAAATGACAGGCAGCTCCCAACTCATGGTGTAATTGATTGCTAGAATACGATTCCCAAGTGGAGCCGTTTTAAGTCAGACCCTTATAAATATTATACATATTAAGTCCTATCCCCCCAGACTAAATTCATTATAAAAACACAAAAATAGGTTACAACAAATGAAAAGTTTGTGTTTTAAAACCATGTAATCATAAAAGTAGCTAAAAATTGGGATATATATATAACATATATGTATGCTTTTGGGTTCCTTTGGGGCTTTGAAAATGTAAGTCCAGTGCTATTTGGACTGAAGACATCTTGTTATAGTAACACTTGCTGTAGTAAGGATTCTTCATTACACTCTAAGGACTTTCAAACTGTTTTTAAAATTAGTTTCTGCCACAGGAAATAAATTGCAAATTTAATACAGGATTGCCTCCTAAAGTTCTTGAATGGCAGTGGCTGGGCCACAGGGAGTTTCCATGGCAACCTCAGTGATCCCTTGCTCTAATTGTACCAGCAGACTGAGTTAGCTTCACTGCTGTTGACCTTGACTGACTCATGAGCATTAGCAGTTGTTTGGACAAAATGTAGGCATTGATGCCATTCATTAGACAACCATAAATACAACTTTTGGTCATGATTGTGAACTATAGTTATAATGCAGTGAGGTTTCAAAGCAGGCTGTCTCCAGTCAGGGTTACCTGTATTTCAGCACTAGACTTAAAATATTTTTTAAACATATACATAATATTTTCTCAGGAGATTAACCAGAGTTTAGTATAACAATAGCATTTAGGTTCTTAAAGATCTCAGATTCACAGCTTAGAGCATTTCATTGTAATGTACTTAAATGTTCTAAAATTCAAATTTCAGCCTGTTGGAAACACTTCTCTGTAAGAAGACATTAAAGTACAAGTCAGAAAACGTTAGTTTCTCTTAGTGCCTGATAGCCTTCTTATACCTCCTAAATACATCTGTACCTAATAAGAAACATTTGTTATTACCATTGCTTTTACTAGTAAGAGCAACAATTTCTTGAGCTGCTCCTCTGTATTAGGCATTGGGATAGGTGTTTTGCATGTTCATTGTCTCATTTCCACTCTTCTGTAATAGTTTTGTTGATAATGAAATCAAGGTTCAGACCCTCGCCCACGGTCATATAAGCAGTAAATAGTAGAACAAGGATTCAAAGGCAAGTCATAAGGAGCCTGGCCTGTTAACTCTTGTGCCACAGTGTTTCCTCTTGTATATCTGGCCAATTTTTCATACAACTGGGGAGTCTTTAATACACAGAGTAGTAGCTCCTGATTTGAATCTATGACAGTAGTTTTTTGTGTCTTCAGTAAAGTTCAGCATTCTTCAATTGTATTTGCAGTATTATTTCCAAGTGGAAATAGTCATTTTTTCTCTTTTTTAAAATGTTGTTTATTTACGTATCTGGAGAGAAGTGGTTTTTTTATGTTTTGTTTTTTTCCGAGATGGAGTTTTGCTCTTGTTGCCCAGGCTGGATCGCAGTGACACGATATCAGCTCACTGCAACCTCCGCCTCCCGGATTCAAGTGATTCTCCTGCCTCAGCCTCCCGAGTAGCTGGGATTACAGGTGTCTGCCACCACGCCCAGCTAATTTGTTGTATTTTTAGTAGAGATGGGGTTTCACCATGTTGACCAGGCTGGTCTCGAACTCCTGACCTTAGGTGATCCACCGCCTCAGCCTCCCAAAGTCCTGGAATTACTGGCGTGAGCCACCATGCCCGGCTGAGAAAAGTGTTTTTGATAGATTTCTGCCGTACAAAACTAGACAAGATTTTATAACTCCAAGGTGAAATAAATGACAAGGACTACATCTTATTTTATGTCCTTGGTATCTATTCTCAGTGCTTAAGACAATGCTACATGTCATGATGTTGGCACTCAGCTAATGTTTGTGAAATCATCGTGGTTATTTTCTATTCATTTTATTGTTTGTCTGTTTCAATAAACTGAGGATCTGTTTTGTCAAATTTTGTTAAACTGTGAGGTAGATTCACTTATTTCCATGTAGAAATAATTAAATCAAGACAGCATTCGTTTTATGTATTAATTATTCTAGAGGGAACTTTCCTTTTGAAAATAAAAATTCCTCAAGCATATTATTTGGCTTTTCACTAACAGTTCAAAAAATGCATCCTGTACTATTGCTTTTCTATTTTAATTTGCTAATTACTTGAAAAATAAAGTGAGGTGATATTTAATGCTGTTTGAAACGTAATCTCCTTATAAACCATTATGCAAAAGCTTACTCCTGCTGCTTCGCTAGAAATATCTTCATAAATGTCTAGATTTTCACCCAGTGAAGTTGGATCATTGGGGCTAATTGGTTTTTTTCTCCAACATTTTATTATTAAAATTTTCAAATATACAAAAAAGTTGAAAAATGTTGCAGTAAATGCCCATATACCTACCACCCAGATTCTTCAGTAAATTAACACTTTACTGGACTTGCTTTATTACCCTCTATTTATCTCTCTGTTCTTCTATCAATCAATCAATCCATCCTGTTTTATGCATTTCAAAGTTAGTTACATGATATCTCATTTTAATAGCTTCATGGTATTGCTTTGTCCAGATGTACTATAATTTAGTCAATCATCTACTATCGGACATTTGGAATTGTGGTAGGTATAATAATAGCCCCTGAAAAGTGTCCACATCCTATCCCCAGAACCTGTAGGTATGTTAAGTTACATAGCAAAAAGGACTTTGCAGATATAACTAAGGTTATGGACCTTAAAAGAGGGACATTAGACTGGTTATTCCAGATGGGTCTAACCTAAACACACAGGCCCTCAAAAGCAGAGAACTTTTTGTCCAGCCAAAGCAGGAGAGATGTACCAGATGGAGATCTCAGAGAGCTTCAAAGCTGAGTGGCATTTGACTTGCCATTGCTGGTTTGAAGATGAAGGAGGCAATGTGATGGGGAATGCAGGCACAGACTCCAAGCTTATACCAGCAGGAGAATAGCTCTGCAGCTACAAGGAAATGAATGCCTCTAACCTGAATGAACTCAGAAGAGATTCTCTCCCTGAGCTCCCAGAAAAGAACCCTGCTCAGCTGACACCTTGCTTTTGGCCTCATTAGATGCGGAGGAACCAAACCTATCTGAATGTCTGCAGAACTGTGAGACGACAAATTTTGTGTTGTTTTAAGCGGCTAAATTTGTGGTAGTTTGTTATGACAGTAACAGAAAACAAATTCAGGGATGATGAAAATTTTGAAAATTTTTTGTTATTGTGCAATAGACATCCACAAAGTAAATCCGTGGGCATGGTCTTATTTCCTTAGGATAAATTTCTAATATTAGAATTGTAGGGACAAAGAGTCTTCACATTTTTTAAGACTCTTAAGTACGTATTTATAAATGGGTCCCTGGAAAAGTAGTTTCAGATTATACTTTCATCAGTGCTCTGTTGAGAATGCCATCTCCTTTCTTCTTGACAACACAGAATTATAATCATTTGTTATTTTTATAACAAAAACAAATGGCAAAGAATGTATAGCATTATAATTTAACAGACATTGTTTAACTACCAGCAAAGTTGAACATATTTTAATATTTTATCTTTGGTAAATTGTGTGTTTGTGTCTATTGTACATTATTCTTGCGAGTTGTTTGTCAGGAAGCCCCTTTCTCCTACTTTACTAAAACAATTTTTTATATGAGAAGTGCCTATTGACTTTTCCCTAATTCCTTTTCAAAATCTATTAAGATGATCATGACTTTTTTCTCCTTTGAATATTTACTATGAGTACATCAATAGATTTCCTAGAATTGTACTCTTCCAGAATTCTTGAAATTACTTGGATTGTAACCCTTTTAGCACAATGTTGAATTTAATGTTCATATGTTTGAGTATTTTAATGACGGTTTTTGTTTTTATTTTTATTTTTCAACTAACTTTACCAATTTTTGAAATTATAGTTATGTTACCCCTGTTTAAGGAAGAACAAAATGAGAAACGTTCTTTTTCTCTGATTTAGAAAGCTTAAATGGCATAGTAATTATATATTCCTTGAAGATATAAAGGAGTTTACTCATAAAACCATATGAACCCAACCTCCTTTTTTAACAGTGTGTCTCTGACAGATTTTTCCCTTTTTTCATGGTTATTCTCTTCACATTTTTTATTTGATCTTAGGTCAAGTTGAGGAATTTATAGTTTCCTACACAATTTTTCCTTTATTTAAGTTGTCAATGTAAAAAATTTTATTATGAAAAAGTTCAAACATACACAAAAGTAGTTTAATGAACCCCCATATCTCATTACCTTGTTTCTGCAATTAGATTTTGTCATATATCCTTTATCTGAGCTTTTTATTTTTCTTGTGCTGAAGTATCTTTAAATAAATCTTGAGATTTTACTCCTTTATATTTTGGTATGCATCTCTAAAAATAATAACATTTTCTTTCATAATCACATATCATTATCACATCTAACAAAATTAGAAATATTTCCTAGGTATAATCTAATGCACAGCATATTAACATTTCTCCGGAAGTCTCAAAAATGGCTGTTGGCAATGTGTTAAAATCAGAATCCAAATAAAATTCACACATTTGGTTGTTGTGTCTCCTGTCTCTTTTAATCTAGAGCAATCCTGTCTTTCTTTTTTCTCCCATCCAATTATACGGCAGAAATTGAACCATTTGTCCTGTAGAATCTTTCACATTCTGGTATGTCCTTTTGTTTCCTTTTGGTGTCATTTACCTTGTTCTCTGTCCCTCATATTTACTATAATTAAAGTTAGCTCTAAAGTCTTAAATAGATTCAGATTCTCCTTTCTTGTTAAGAATACTGCATAGCTGGGTACTATTTGGTTCACAAATGAGAAGGTATGATTGTCTCACTTTAGTGATGGTTAAGTGTTATATACTAAACTGTTTTCTCCAAATTAATATGTTGAAGCCCTAACCCCCAATAAGACTGTGTTTGGAGACAGGACCTTTAATGAAGTAATTAAGGTTACACAAAGATGTGCCCCTTATCCAGTAGGGGTGGTGCTCTTATAAGAAGAGGCAGAGACTGGGCGTGGTGGCTTAGGCCTGTAATCCTAGCACTTTGGGAGGCCAAAGCGAGTGGATTGCCTGAGCTCAGGAGTTCAAGACCAGCCTGGCTAACATGGCAAAACCCTGTCACTACTAAACATACAAAAACATTAAAAAAAATCAGTCAGGCGTGGTGGAGCAAGACTGTGCCTCAAAAAACAAAGAAGAGGCAGAGACACCAGAGCTCACTTGCTCGCTTGCTTGCTGCTTACAGAAGGCCCTGTGAGGACACAGGGAGAAGGTGGCATCTGCAAGGCAGGAAGATTGAAATGTCCTCCATGTCTGTAGTCACATTCTCTTTGTCACCTTAAAGTTGGATATTTGTGTTTTTCCTCCTTTTTTCTTCCTTCTTGTTTCGGGTTAGCATTTTGTCTGTTGTTTGTGGTAAGTATTATAATAACCACCAAGTAAGGAACACTCTTTATCTGCTACGCAAGACCATAAATAGTTTTAAATACGTTATTTAATCCTCACATCCTCTAAAGTAAGTAGTTCTCTCATTTTTCTCACGGGAAAGCTGAGGCTCAAAAAGGTTCAGTGAATTGCCCAAGGGCACACAGCTAACATATGGTAAAGCTGGGATTCAAGGCTGACTCCAGGGCCTATGTTCCTACTATTTGTCTATGTCCTCCTCCCCACAAAACCCCCAACCCTATTCCAAGTGCTCCCATAGCGCCTTGTACTTTCACAGGGTGCCTCTCCCCTAAATGGTAACCTGTGTGAGGGCAGGAACATGTCTGGATCCCCACTCCAACCCAGCATCTGCCATAGCACCTACCAAGTCATACAGTCCATTGTATAATTCTAGGAAATCTATTGATGTACTCATAGTAAATATTCAAAGGAGAAAAAAGTCATGATCATCTTAATAGATTTGAAAAGGAATTAGGGAAAAGCCAATAGGCACTTCTCATATAAAAAAAAAATTGTTTTAGTAAAGTAGGAGAAAGGGGCTTCCTGACAAACAACTCAAAAGAATAATGCACAATAGACACAAACAGACAATTTACCAAAGATAAAATATGGACTTATGGACTCAGGTGTCTCATTTTCTACTGAATGCCGGACATTGTGCTAGGACATTCGAATCCGAGGTTAAAAGCATTTATGCCTGTAAATGGGGAGACCTTTGCTTTTAGACTATTAATGGGAGTTGGTTCCTTCTTGAGCAGAGTTGGGTTTTGTGTCTTCAGTGCACCACCAGCTTCAGATTCCCCTAGCAGCTCTTTATTTTATGCTTAAAGGGTGGAGTCTGCAGTGTCAGAGGGCTTTTTTCAGTGTTTCTTTACTACTCCGTTTTCAGCAGTCCCAGCAGTAGGGCTGGAGAAGAGACCTCTCTGTTGTCCTAGTCCAGCCTCAATCCTGGAGAGTCCCTGTGTGCACCTGGATCTCAGAAGTAGACCTTTCTCTGCATTCCTGTCCCTTCTCCAGTGGTAGCAGACCTGTGCTTGATATTGGTATGCGTATAGGATCCTGAACCCAACTTGGTTTCCTGCCTCAAATCCCAGAACTAGAAAGTTTTTTGCTTTTATTCCTCTATCATCAGGATTGGATCTTTATCTATGTCCTGGAGGTGAGAGAGCTTCCTACCTCTTGTTCAGGGGCAGACATGTTTCTACCATCCCCCTAGAGACAATGAAAATTTGCCTGTGCTACAGGCCAAGAGGGTTTGCTGCCCTGTAGCTTACGGCTTTTTCTTAGCATGAGAGAAGAGTCAGGGAAGAAAATGAGTCTTGGAGCCTGCCCCCAGCAGCAGTTATCACCTCCTGCAAGCTTGAGCAGTGGTAGAGGGGCCCTCTTCAGTCGCCTGCTCCATACCAGCCTTTCTCATGAGCACCTAGTAGAGGATAGTGAGAAAGAACTCTTAAGTGAACATAAAATCTCTTGCATCTGGGTTTCAGGTTTCAAGACTGACACATTAGCCTTTAATAATTCATCAACATTTTAGCTGCTTTCTTCTTTGCCACTTCTGTGGACACCACTTCTTCCTTGCATGCTCAGCCAAAGGTGAATGTTTGTGTTCCTTCTTTCCTTAGAAGAGGTACTTGACCCTCTTTGGAATTCATTTATCTGGTTGCCTTGTGAAATCATATTCTGATGAACTTAAGAAGATTTAAGATTTATTAAGTTACCTGGTTTTTTTCTCCTCACTAAGGAGGGTCGTTCTTTGTTACTTTGCACATCCTACACGGAAACTGAAGTCCAGGTTCCTTACAATGTGTACACACGTGACCTAGAGAGCCTATTTATCCTACATTTGAAGGAAATGAGGCCTGTGAAAGTGACGTGCCCTGTCCATGGCAAAACTGGGACTAGAACCCAATCTGGAGCTTCTCTCCATGGACTTGGAGCTACTCTGTTTTTCTTTTTTTTTTTTTTTAACTTGAGCTTATTACACCCCTATTTGTGACCCTTTACTGCCTTTTTTGGCATCACTGACTCTTCTTCCCAAGAAAGAATGAAAAAAGGGCATCAAGCGTCATAGGTCTCTGAAGTCAATGTGTAATCCATGACACACAGGTTTACAGATTATTTCCCTTCTGTTTATTAAGAGTATCAAAGATAAATAGCATATATTGAAAACAGAAGAATCAATAGGTTCCTTGGGTTGGAGAATGATTATTTTGAAACTTAACTTTGTGCATTTTTACTTACAAAGGTTTTTGGATTTTCTTCTTCTTCTAAAAACCAATAATGACTCTATTCATGGTGGCAGGGTAATCTAAATTCTGAATTTTCCTGAAGTTTGAAGTTACCCTGAATACGTTTCTATTTTAATTACATTTTTTGGTTATATTAATAAAATTTACTTTCCAAATTCAGTATTGTCTAAATACTTTATGAAGCTGAGACTTGAGACTAGGAAGGGGTTTTAAAAAATTATGTAAGTACTTATTTTTGCAAATAAAAACTGTAACTCAGGTGATGTAGCAAAGGTCACAGCTAATTATTGGCAGTGCTGGGACTCCTGGATCTCAGATTTGGGATGAGACAAGGCACTCAGTAGAAAGTCAAAGACTTTTTTTAAAAAAGACACATCTTCCTAAAGTATTGCTTTACTTAGATTTTACTTTTCGTAGGCTGTGGAAAGGGATTTCTTTTTCTAATAAAACACCAATATAGTCTAAGAAGAATAAAAATGAACACTAATACTTAAGGTAAAACATTGAACTTTTAAAAACAGAACACCAAGCTCTGGTACGCACTTGTCTCTTCTGCTGGCAGTGGGCCTGAGGAAGGGTGAGAAACTCTATTCTGCACCCCAAGTTCTGTCCACTGCAAGTGGCCTGCTAACATAATCTGATTGTCAGAGGCTGCACCTTTGCTGGATTTCAATCAGAACACTCTTTGTATGAGTTCTCTGGCTCTTCTCCGGATGTGGAAAAACGTGGCTTTAGCCAGTGTACCCTAGCAGCCACAGTTCTCTTGTCACTGCCTCCAGTGCCTTTGCAGTAGTGTATGTTAAAGAACGACTTTCCAGAGTGTTGTGGTTGAGGCTTGTGGGTCACATTCAAACCACATCCAAGGAGTGTAGAAAAAGACCACATGGTTTTACATCCCCGCATGAGACCAGTGGTGCGGTGACTGCTGTCTGCTCACCGCCTCCCCCTCCCACTGCTTTATTAAGGTTACCCATTGTCTTTTTAGGTCACAGGATTTATTCTTCAGCTCTGATTTTATGTGTAATATAAAACCTGTTCTTTCTATCAGAAGCTCAGTATTTTGGACAAATCCAGTTCTGGCTAGAAATAACATGGCCACAAAGCTTTCCAGTGTGTGCACCAGTGAATTAGCAACGTAAAGATAACAAGAGTCTGTCACCAAGTGATTGCCTTTGAAGGCCATTGGCGCATTAACTTTAAAGAGAACTTTGCTTGTGCATTTCCTCCCCCTACTCCCCACTTTTGGCAAAATCCCATTAATTTTGTTGAAGGTTTTATTTTCTGCTGAAAATGCAGGAAATTTAGACAACTCTCTTGGAATCCCCCCAAAACTAATACAAACAAGATACATATGCTTCTCTTAAGGAAACTAAAAATAAAGATTTGAAACTATTTAACTGTATAAATTCCCTCTTAAAAGGAAAAGGAAGTTTATAGAATGAGAGGCAACTCTGACTGCTGTTAACAAGGTAAAATATTCCCACAATGGCCAACTTCTCTATTTGATATGAAATTACTACTTCGCATAGAATTTGTTGAGCTTTCATTCCCAACATATTTGATGTATCAGAAACATCTGAAAATGGGATCATTTTCTTGTTTTTACGTTTGAAATTGTCTGCAGTAAAATAAGTATGCCCATTTTTTGGAGGAGAAAGCCTGTCTGATATGAGATCTGTTCCTGTTACAGAAGCTGTAAGGACTAAGAGGAAAATACCATGGCTGCTCCATTGATGAGCTAGCAGATTCTATTATGGCTGCTCCATTGAGGAGCCAGCAGATTCTACCTCTGACAAAGCTAATTTTGACACAATACTGAGGAAATACGGTTAGTTTTCAAAAGCGTGTCTTCCATAAAATCTTATTTCATAAATGCAAGTCAGTTTTTCTATACATTGACTACTTTTATAAATTAATAAGAGTGGGATTTTGGACTTACATTTAAAACTAAGAAACATGAGTTCTGAGTTCTTTGCACTTATAGTAATTTCAACTTTGGAAAGCCATTTATATTTTTTATGATAATGTCTAAAGCTAAAATGATTTTTCTCCTTCAAAATACTTCGAAAATATGTTTGTGGATGTTTTGGATAACACTCACATAGTGCTTACCATGTGTTACACACAGTTTTAAGGACTTTACAAATGCTGCCTCATTTAAAATTTATGAAAAAAAATCAAATAATATTAAATACCATTTGAAATTCTGACACCCAAATCATGAGATTAGATAACATTTTAGGTCTGTTTAAGTACTGAAATTTGGATGGTTTTGTAATTTTAAAGAAACTCTCCAAATTCATGATTTTTCTTCTTTTTACAAGTGGTGATTATAACCCAATAATGCTTTTAAAAAATGAAACATAAAGAATTTCATTTATTACCAAGGATGTCTGAACCAGACATCTAATCATAGTAGCAAGTTGAAGATTCAAGTAACTGGGAAATTATAGTTGTTGAGATAGTTTTCCTTAGAAATTAGAATTAGTCAAAAATTTGATACTTTGTTTTTAGTAAATCAGAATCTCAGGGTACATAATTTACCCCTCTGGCTCCTGATTATTTCATGATCTGCTTGGTGCCTTGAAGCTGTAGTTGATCTTCCAACACCAATGGGAGGATCCAGAGCATGGTTTCCAGGAAACGACTTACACGGTAGGAATTCTGGCTGTTCCCTAAAGGATAATTAAAGTAGTGGTTAGCAGAGAACTGTTGTCACTTAAAAATGGAAATGAATTAGTTGCAAGGATTACAAATGTATAAATACTTATGTATCTTAATGGAGATAATGGAATACACAGCATTACATCTATGATCAAAACAATCCAAATGCTAGACATCTAGCAAAGTGCAAATAAAATGATGAGAAGGCTTTAAGCCAGGTTGTATTGAGGGACACTTGAGGTTGCTGATGGGCTTGAGAAGAAGATGATAGCTATAACAGTGGAATAGACTGAAGACTGGCGAGTAGGAGTAGGGCGACAGACTTCTGCCAAACTGCAACAGCTTTCTGTACTGCATAGAAAGAATGAGGAGCCTTTCAAAAGTGTTCTGTATTCAAGGATGGGCTGGTTGACCACTTGGGATGAATGTTATAGAAGGGATTCTAGCATTAAGGGGAGTCACTTTAGTGTCTTTTGTATCTTCTGAGGGTGTTTTATAATTTTACGATTCTTTGACCAAATTCTAAGCTTTCTAATTGGATAGATAGTAACTGAATTAGTAGTAAATTAAAGAATTGCTGAATTGAATAAAGTAATGCACGTAGAAATTCTTGGTATAGTTTTTGGACTATAATAAAACCAATTAACGTAGACCTGACTTCAAGGAAACTTCATTTTATTTTTCTTTCTTGAAAGAGAGTATTTATGTCACTACTACCACTGACATCCAGCCAATGCAAGCTAGTAGGGCTGCCCTGGTTGTGCTCAACCTGCATCTACTAGGACTAGCAGTGCCAACTAGTTGTTAAATATTTGGAATTTCACGCCTGGGTATAACCAGAAAGGAAACTATTCTTTCTGTATAGGGATTCTTTATATTGAAATTTTAATAACTTTATTTATTTATTTACCTTTGAGACAGAGTCTCACTCTGTCACCCAGGCTGGAGTGCAGTAGGCAATCTCGGCTCACTGCAACCTCCGCCTGCTGGGTTCAAGTGATTCTCCTGCCTCAGCCTCCTGAGTAGCTGGGATTACAGGTGTGTGCCACCACACCCAGCTACTTTTTTTGTATATTTAGTAGAGGCGAGGTTTCACCATGTGAGCCAGGATGGTCTCGATCTCTTGACCTCGTGATCCGCCTGCCTCAGCCTCCCAAAGTGCTGGGATTACAGGCGTGAGCCACCGTGCCTGGCCTAATAACTTATTTAGAGTGTTACATATTAAAGTAAATATTGACAGAAAATTATAATTAGCCACTCTTCAAACTTATTTCTGAATTATGTTATTCATTTTTGTTTTTCAAAATAGTTGTACATTAAAATACAGAAGATTCTTTCTAGCATGGCAGTCCAGCCAAATACAATATCATGTAAAATGTGTTTGCTGTAACCTCCCACAGTATATTGTTAGCCAATTTGAGTAATGCTAGAAATGATATGTTCTTGTCATTTAATTTATAAATCTGCAACTGAATATAATCTATAAAAGATCACATTAGAATTTGTCACAGAAACAATGTAAGAGAAGTTTGGTAAAATACCCAATAACTCTAAAAATAAGAGGGTTAGTGTAACTCTTAAAGAGCCTTTAGTCA